>NC_000004.12:7264992-7571489 GCF_000001405.40 Homo sapiens
TCCCAGGCCCTGACACCAGCTTCTATGCCGCCCTGGCGCCAGGCTTCCCCGATGCCTCTGGAGTTGGGGCCATGCTCTGCATGGGACTTCTGCTCCATTCGGGGGTGTGTTAATGTCCCGTGGCTGCCGTAACTAAGGACCACAGACTGGGTGGCTTAAAACAACAGAACTTTATTCTCCCACAGTCCTGGAGGCTGGAAGTCAGAAAGCAAGGTGTAGGCTGGGCACGATGGCTCATGTCTGTAATCCAAGCACTTTGGGAGGCCGAGGCAGGTGGATCACGAGGTCAAGAGATTGAGACCATCCTGGCCAACATGGTGAAAACCTGTCTCTACTAAAAATACAAAAATTAGCTGGGCATGCTGGTGTGTGCCTGTGGTCCCAGCTACTCAGGAGGCTGAGGCAGGGGAATCGCTTGAACCTGGGAGGCAGAGGGTGCAGTGAGCCGAGATTGCACCACTGCACTCCAGCCTGGTGACAGAGTGAGACTCCATCTCAAAAAAATAAATAAAAGCAAGGTGTGGGCAGGGCTCGTTCCCCATGAAGGCTGCAGGGGTGGCTCCTGCCTCTCCCAGCCACTGATGGCTCCAGATGTTCCCAGGCTGCAGTGGCATCATCCCAGTCTGTGCCCTGTGGACACACGGCCTCCTCCCCTGTCTTCTTGTCTGTGTCTCCTATGAAGACATTCATCGCTGGCTTTAGGGCCGCCCAGTGTAATCCAGTGTGAGCTCATCTGGAGATCTTTAATCACATCTGCAAAGACCCCTTTTCCAAATGAGGCCACGTTCGCAGGGGCAGGTATCAGGACACGGACATCTCTTCCTGGGGGCTGTGGTGCCGTCCACTGCTGGGCCCCATTCCCTTCCTGCAGAGGGAGGGGCTGGCTCTGCTCTCTGTTTGCAGTCCCCAAATTCAGCCCAGGACCAGGGCTCAGGCTGAAGTTGTTTGTCGAAAAACAGCCTCCGGCTCATCCTCCTCCACTTCCCCAGACTCCTACTCTTCCTCCGTGTCATCCTACCTGTCTCCCTGTTCTCCTTTCCCGGCCCTGCACTTCCACAAGACTCAGACCTGACCCTAAATTTCCCTTTTTTCTGGAGCCCGAGGTGTTTCTTGCCTGGGCCCTGGTGCCACAGAGCTGAGGGACCCTTTTCTGTCCCTCACGAGTTGGGTCCAGCTCACCCCAAATCATGAGCTCCCTGGAGCTCCCAGCCAATAGGGCTGTGCAGGCCAGCGGGTGGCCTGGCCTGGGAGGGCACAGCTTGGTGGAACAATTCAGAGTCCCTCCGTGGAAGTTGGGAGAAGATGCTGGACTCCTCTGGTGAAGTGTCGGAGCTTCCTACCCGAGCCCTGGCTTGTTTCGGGAGCAGCTGTGAAGGGAGTGGAGGGCTGAAGCGCCCCTCATTTCCGTCCTGCCCTCCTCCCTTCTTTCTTTCAGGAGACCCGTTGAACACCTTCCCTGTGCCACCTTCTGTGCTCTGAGCTTTCCCGGGATGTCTCTGATCATCTCCAGGGATTTTCTGAAGATCATTTGGGAACAGTAGTTCCTACCCAAAGCATCTGGGGCCCCTGTCTTTACTCTCTCCACAGCCTGTTAGCTGTGAGTCATCCATTCATTCATCAAGCACTCCGGTGGTTTCCCACAGTGTGAGGATGAAGCGGACTCAGCCCTGCCCTCAGCATTCCTGCAAGGCCAGCTCAGATACCCCCTCCCCCAGGAGGCCCTCTCTGATTGCCCAGCATCTATGGGAACGCTGCCTCTCACTCTGCTGCTTTGGACCTCAGCTAAGACTCTGGCCACGTTCTGCCTCAGTGGCTCCAGCATTGCTGTGCTAAGCCTAAAACACCAGGGTCAGGCTGCCGGGCTCGAGTCCCAGCTCGGCCCCCTGTCGCCACGCCATAACTGCCTCCCAGCGTGTTTCCTCTGCAGACGGTGGCTCATCACAGTGCCAGCTTTTTGGGCAGTCTGGAAGAATCAGTGGGGGGTGGGGGAGGTGTGGCAGGGGAGGGCCACAGAGAGGGAAGGAAGCCCTCTGAACGCAGGCTGCTATTGGTACCAGCCTGGATCGCTGCAGCCCCCACAAAGCACGAAATAGTTTCTCAATAAATATTTATTGCATGAATCAGTGAATCAAACTTTCTAATTCAGCGGAAACACTATGACCACCAGGGACGGGACAGACAAGAGTGATGATTAGAGATGAGTAGGCATCTTCCTTTCTCCTAAGCCTTTCTTACCCTTCTGGTATAACTACTTCTTCCCTGTTTTACCTAAGCGTTAAATTCGTGGATGCTGATTTTCAATTCTTAGCACAAAACACCTGCTTACTTGAGGGCAGAGCCTGGGAGATCCTGGAGAAACCCCCGTGGTGGTAGAGTAAGGACTTGCCGCAGCTCCGAGGATGGGTCGAGTAGGGCGTCTATTTCCCCGCCCCTACCCAAGCAGGCTGGGGCGAGGTCTCTGCAGATCTCCTCCTGGCCACCCCAGCCCTGGCCCGTAAGCAGAACTCGCTGGATACATGGAGGAAAGATGGAATGGATGACAACACCAGCTCAGCCAGCCAGGCACCGTGGCTCATGTCTGTAGTCCCAGCACTTTGGGAGGCTGAGGCAGGCAGATCACCCGAGGTCAGGAGTTCGAGACCAGCCTGGCTAACATGGTAAAACCCCGTCTGTACTAAAAATACAAAAATTAGCCAGGCGTGGTGGCAGGTGCCTGTAATCCCAGCTTCTCAGGAGGCTGAATCAGGGAGAATTGCTTGAATCTGGGAGACGGAGGTTGCAGTGAGCCGAGATTGCGCCACTGCACTCCAGCCTGGGCAACAAAGCGAGACTCCGTCTCAAGAAAAAAAATACCAGCTTGTCTGGGTCATCGGGGGTCTGTCAGTCAACCCGTCAGTGAGTGATGAGACGAGCAGCTCCTGTTGTAGAATGAGGTGACAATGGCACAGGTAGGTGACCTTTATGCTCAGGGAAGTCTGCACACCTTGAGGAAGCTGGAGCCGGAAGATGCAGGCCCGCTGGTGCCGGCTGTGTGGGGTTTGGGGTTTGTGGGTGGGGTTCTGGTTGTCTACACAGCCTGAGGTGTGAACTGAGTGGTGGGCCCCGGGCCCCTGGAGCTCCCTTCTCCCCTTGTGGGGCAGTCCATGGCCTTGGAGGATCCCTGGATTCAGAGGACCCTCTGGGCTGAATTCATTGCATCTGTGAGAGGGAGCTGTAAGTAAGTGGGAGTGAAGGGATGAAGGTTTCTGTCCTTTGGTGAACATCCCTGTGGTTCCTGCCACATTGTCTAAAGGATGCTTCCTTGAGTTTTTCAACCCTTTACCTTAGTGGGGAGCATGTGGGGAGTTGTCAAAGGCCTTTTCCTGGAAAGTAATTGACAAGGAGGGAGACAGGGAGCTTCCTGTCGGCCACTTAACAATCCCTCAACCCCTCTCCCATCCCTCGTCATCCAGCATGCAATGGGGCCGTCAAACTGAAGGAAGCTGTGCCGATGGCCACCCCAGATCAGGTGCCGTCGTTAATGAGGCTGCCAGGATCAGGCACTGCTGTTATTAGTGGTAACTGCAAACCTCCGAGGGCCCATGTGTGTCCTGCTGGGTATCAGGGGCCATGCAGACAGTAAAGCCCAGGGCAGCCTGCAGGGCTTTGCACACACGAGTGGGTGACCACCTGTGAGTGAAGGGAGTGCCCAGGGTGGAGGGAGCATAAAGGAGACAACAACCTGGCCAGGGAGTGGAGGAGGAGCAGGGAGGGCTTCCAGGAGGAGGTGATGCTGGAACTGCTTCCATCTTAAAGCAGGTGCAGCAGGTAGCAGGCCCATGGGCATCCCAGGGAGAGGGCCTGGAGGGGACCTCAGCTTAGGGTGAGTGAGATGCCACAGATGGAGGAGGCTGATACTCAGGGCATTTTAGGATTGAGTGGGAATTCATAAGGCAGAGGGAAGGAGGGAGGTGGCAGGACTGGAGACCCAGGCTCCAGGGAGGAGGCCTGGCCTGGGAAGGAGACTTCTAGAAGCACATGGGCTGGGGCCTGGTGGTTGGCAGAGCGGGGGTTGAGGTTGACGGGAGTAGGTCTAGGAGCCCCACAGGCAGCCGATTCAGCATCAGCGTTGCAGGGCGTCACCTCTGCCAGGCCCTGTGCTGTGCTGGGCTGGGCAAGAGGCCTGAGGGCCTGGAGGAGCTTACATTCCAGTGCTGGGATGAGGGCCGGTGATGCCAGGGTGCTGGTGGTGTCCCAGGAGGATGGCACTGTCATTCTCTGGAACAGCAAAGGTCCTGAGTGAGACAGGCAAGTGACCGGCAGGAAGGGAGCTGCCGTTGTGCAGGGCCGCCAGGGCCCCCGGTTGCACCATGACATGCGGCCAGGTGATGTGTGTTGAGGGTTTAGTGGTGTCCTCCAAAAAGAGATGTCCGTATCCTAACCCCTCCCAGTATCTGTGAACACGATCTTATTTGAAATCAGATCTTTATGGATGGAATCCAGTGAAGGATCTTGCGATGAGATCATCCTGGACTTAGGGTGGGCCCTAAATCCAATGGCTTGAGCCTTATGAGGGAAAGGAAAGGGAGCTTTGAGACATTCGTCACACGAAGGAGAAGGCTATGTGAAGACAGGCCAGATCAGAGCGATGTATCCCCAAGCCAAGGTATGCCAGTGATGGCTGGGAGCCGCCAGAAGCCAGGGTGAGAGGCCTGAATGGCTTTGTCTCTGAGCCTCCAGAAGGAACAAGCCCCCCAGCCCCCAACACCTTAATCTCAGCCCAGTGATACTGATTTGGGACCTCTGGTGCCCAGAACTGTGATGAAAATAAATTTTTGTTGCTGTGAGCCACCCACTGTGTGGTGATTTGTAGGGCAGCCTGGGAAATGAATATGATGTGGATTGTACTACTTATTTTTTATTTTTGAGATGGAGTCTCACTTTGTCACCCAGGCTGGAGTGCAGTGGCGAGATCTTGGCTCACTGCAACCTCTGCCTCCTGGGGTCAAGCGATTTTCCTGCCTCAGCCTCCCAAGTAGCTGAGACTACAAGTGCCTGCCACCATGTGTGGCTAATTTTTGTATTTGTTAGTAGGCACAGGGTTTTACTGTGTTGGCCAGGCTGGTCTTGAACTCCTGGCCTCAAGTGATCCTCCCGCCTTGGCCTCCCAAAGTGCTGGGATCACAGGCATGAGCCACCGTGCCCATGATGTGGATTTTAAATCTCATCCAGAGGCATATGTGATGCTTGGGGATGCTACCTGTGAACGGGGCCGCAGAGCAGGCGGCACCAGGAGCTGACAGCACGCGTGTGGGTGCAGCACCCGCCAGTGTGCTGCGTTCCAGAAATAAACGTCAAGTGGCAGCTCCCCACGGCTGCGTTCACCCTTGCAGGGGGAGCTGCGCTGGTCCTGTCTAAACCCCGGCTCCGGGAAGCCACCTGTGCTGGCCTTTCTGTTTGCACCACCTGATTATGATTTGGATCTGGCCTGGGGTCTGGTTCCCTCCAGCGCTTCCTCTGAGGGAGTTTGGTGGGATCTGGCCCCGCAGCTACGGGTCCTCACACCACATCCCCCTGAAGCTGGATGTTTGAAAAGTCATGTCTGGGGACTAATTGTTGCTAAGAAGATTGTTGCTTAGAACACTTAACCTAAAATTAAAATGTGCCTTTCCACTAAAAAAAGATCCCTCCTAGATCCATCCGTTGCCCTTCAAGCCACTGTCAAGGAGGTGAAGACCAAAATACAGATTTCGTTTTCTTTTTGTGAAGCATTTACCAAATGTGAAATAAATAGAAATTTCAGGACTTAAAGAACATCAAGGAAGAAAAACACTTTATTTTTCTGAGTTAGAACCACACACCCCACTGGGGAATGAAGTTCCTGGTTAGAAACCCAGCCCCACCGAAATGAAACAAGGGGTTGTTTAGGATACTTACGTTCTCTCCAGTTCTCGCTTGTTCGTTTGTTGGTTCATCCATTCATTCATGCCCATGCTTGATGCTGCTGTATGCACTGGGCAGGCATATGAAAGAGTGGAGCACAGCTCTTGCTAAGGGAAGGGGACATTTCCATGACAACCACAAGCCAGCCCCCAAGCGATGAGGCTACTGTGGGAAGCTTGATCATGGAGGTAGGTGGTACTTGGACAACCTCCCAGCTGGTCCCCTGCTCCCACCCTGCTGCTTCTATCTCCTCTGTGCCCAGCAGCAGCCAGAAGGACCCTGTCAAAACATCACCCTCTGCCCTGGGGATGTCGCTCCTCCACTCTGAGCCCTCTCACCACTCCCCACTGCTCTCAGAGAAAGAGTCTAATGATCCCAGTGGCCCCACACGGCCCTAACAATTCAGCCCCTGTTCCTATTCAGCCTCATCTCCTGTTCCTCTCTCCCTCCCAACTATGTTGGCCTCCCTGCTGCCCCTTGAACCTGCTAGGCGTGCTCCAGCCATGGCACCTTTCGTGTCTGCTGTTGCCCTTGCCTGGAATACCCTTCCCCACTTCCTTCAGGCCTATATTTTAATCCCACCTTCACAGGAAGGCCTCCCCAGCTACTCATCTAAGATGTCAACACCCCCAGCCCTTTCTCACGTTTCTTTCCAATGGCATTTCCCTCCGGGACACGTGTTATCTAAAATGCCATCGACTTCATCATCCTGTCCATCTTGTGGCTCCCGTCTGCCACAGGAGGGGTGCGTTTGCTGTGGTGTCCTCAGTACCTGGGGTGGGATTCAGTGTGTGGCAGGAGCTAAGTCCACAATGATGGCATGAGTGGGCTGCCCAAGTTCTTGGAGGATGAATAAGAGTTTTCCAGGTGGAGAAGAGCTGCAAGTACGGCCTATGCCGGGGCCCGAGACAGCAGAGAGAGTGGGTGTTTGGGGGCAGGAAGGATGGGCCCTGGATGGGAGCCCCAGGCTGCAGAGGCAGGTCCCAGGTGGGCGATGGGCTCTGGGTGTTCGCTAAGGAGTCCTGTCCTCAGCCAGGGGCAGCAGGGAGCTCTGCGGGCTGTTTAAGAACAGAGACAACATGACTGGCATATGGGAAGGGTGTGTGTGCACACTCACATGCTTGGGCGGGGTAACGTGGATGGGGTTTCCAATGGGAGGTGCTTTTGAGGACTCGTGAGACTCATCTTGGATAACTTTGATTAACCGCTGAGCACAATTTCTTACCTCTAGTGCAAATTTATCTTCAAGGACTCCATCCTCATTACGATAAGATAGTATTAAAAGGCTGCGGCAAGTTTCTCCAGGCTAGGAGAGGTAGCATCACAACAATAAAGAGGCGCCATCTTTGCTTTGCTGTCTTCAAAAATTTCAAAGCGTATATTTCATATCATCTAAAAACTCTCTTGGATGCACTCTAAGTTGCATCATTACTTTATTCACCCCTGAAGAATGGCGTTGATTATAAGCCACACTCTGATTTTAGAGATGTTAAGTTGTGGAAAATAAATGGAGGTCTTAGAATCAATGAAATGTGGTAATAATGGAATGTACAGATATGTGCTATAGCATGCCAGTTTCTTTTTGTAAATGCATCCAGTCAAATTTATGTTCTGGGGGCTTAAGTGAAACAGGCTAGGACCTGCTGTAAATCACTAGGCACGTGCCCATGCAGGCTTCCTCAGAGGTGAGACCTTCCGGTTCATTCTGGAGAGCTGGCCTGGGAAGCATCTTGCAGGGGAGTGGGGCACCCCACCAGCGTGAGATGGGGCTTGGGAATTTCCAGGGGATGGACAATTTGCGAAGGAACAATACCATCCGCGGCATTGCAGCCATCAATAATCGCAATCAGATCTCGCGCTTCAGGGCGTAAGCTGAACTCTGGTGGAGGTGGAAAGGAATGTTTCTTCAAATAGAACCCTGCAAAAATTTCCAGAGCATTCCTGCTCCAACTTTCCCCACCAGCACAGGCTCTCCAAGACCCTCTTTGCTCTGTAATCATTTCTTCTCACCCCTGAGGGCTGGTGTGTCCCACACAGTGGGCCCTGGACCAATGTGGTGGAGTTCAGGGATTTGCCACATGGAACAGAGCTACAGAGCAGGAGGCTGCAGGGTTGTTTCTGAGTAGGGGGCTGCTACCTCTCCATGTGCCTCAGTGGGCTTTAGAACATGAGCTTGCAGAGGTGGGGAAGGACTTCTAGTTTTCAACAACATCTGGCTAGCAGCTTCCAATGAGGCCCCTCAGCATCCCTTATGAATATTTACAAAGACACAAAACAGACACAAATGCATATCAAGGAAAATGAAGAGTAACTGGCAGTCTTATCCCAATCAGGGAGAGAGGATCTGTCAATGGAAGGCTGAGGAAGGTGGATGGAGAGAAGAAAATCTAGCCCTCTTTCCCTGGTGTGCCCAGCAGGAAGCACCTCAATCCTTGTCTCGGTCCTCCCTCTGTCTTGGGGACCATGGCATAACCCAGCTGAAAGCCACTTGCATCCATCATTGCTGGAGGGCTGCTTCTGGAACACGGGTGTCTGCCAGGAGTGGGCTGAGACTGTCTCCATGGCCAGAAAGGAGGCTGAGGCAGAGGGAGAGAGAGAGACTCAGGTGTGCCCAGTAATCAGCCCTCAGCATGTGGGGGTGGACGTCCAGGGGTAAGTGGACATGGAGGGCCCCATCCTTCCACCTTTGCACCCCTACTGAGAGACTGAAGCTTCTGGAAAGGAATGGGGCTGGCTAGGGATTTCTGGGAGGCATGCAGCTTGCAGGAGACAGCATCCTGAAGAGTGAATGCAGACTGTGACTTCAATGTGGATTTGGAACTGGACATCCAGGGGTAAAAGCTGGCTCTGTCATTAGAAAGCTCTGTGGCGTTGAACCTCAGTGTGCCCAGCTGGGAATGGAGCTTGGAGGCCATGCCTCCCTCCCCCAGGCTGCTTGGATGCATTTAGTGCCCCAGGGATTGGTTCAGAAGTGAGCTTGTTAAGTGGGTCATGGTGTCCAGGGGACCATGCTGGGGCTCTGACATGGAGACAATGTGGCCTCCGCACATCCCTCACAGGCGGAACAGAGCCCTCCCTCTGCCTCGTGCACTGCATTTTAACATCCCTGACTCTAGGTTTGCAAACACATGTGGATCTCTCTCTCCTGCCCTCAGCCTGGATTTTATGAACTCAGCAATGTTCCCTCCTGTGACCTTTCACCCTTTCTCCTCTCTTCCTGGCATCCAGTCTGTCCAGCTAGCCCAAAAACAGATCCGGCTGGACAGACGTTAGACTGGGAACCCCTTTCCCCATAGGCAGATGCTGTGAAGTACTGAAAATACTGAAGTGGGGAACTTCGGGTGCACTGGTTTGGAATTGTTGGAAGAGGGCTCCGCCTCATTTATCCATCATGGGTGAGGGAGGTGTATTAGTCCTTTCCTGTGCTGCTATAAGGAAATGCCTGAGGCTGGGTAATTTGTAAAGAAAAGAGGTTTAATTGGCTCACAGTTTTGCAGGCTGTACAGGAAGCATGATGCCGGGCATCTGCTTGGCTTCTGGGGAGGCCTCAGGAAACGTACAATCATGGTGGAAGGCAAACAGGGAGCCAGTACCTCACCTGGCTGGAGTGGGAGGAAGAGGAGGAGTGGAGAGTGGTGCTACACACTTTTAAACAACCAGATCGTATGAGAGCTCACTATCACAAGAATGGCAGCAACGGGGAGATCTGTCCCCATGATCCAATCAGCTCCCACCAGGCCCCACCTCCAACATTGGGGATTACAATTCAGCATGAGATTTGGGTGGGGACACAGATCCAAACCATGTCGAGAAGGTTTGTTTGTTCATTTGTTCATTCTAAAATTGTGTGTGTGGAGCCTACTCTGTGTGGGCCTGGTGTATCCCACATCAGTGTCTTCTGGGGGAGGGGTGTCAGGCTGACTTGAAGGGAGATGGGGAGTCTTGGGTTCAACACCCTGCTCCCCCATCACGTGGTGCTTCCTGGCTCTGACAGCTGCAGCGCCCATGTCTCCAATGTGGCATGCCCACAACACGCGCTCTGTGGGGTTGTCCGTGTGTTTAACAAGATGATGGGTGTATCAGCACCTGGGCTGTCACCACCTAAGCCTGACACCTTTTAATGCAAACACATTGCCTTTTCTGTTAATGATTTTTGATGAGAATCTCTCCAAAATGCATCATATAATTTTCTGGGAGTAAACGGGCATCTTCGTGGTTGCCAAGCGTGTCCTAGTTGGGCATAAGTGTCTCTAGTTTGTGGGTTGTTGGAGGCATTAGAAAGATGATATAGCTGCATCTGGCAGGCACCCACTCAGAAAACAAATAGAATTGTTATGTTTCTCCATGACTCGAAGTCATGGTCAAGAGCATGAGGACAGGGCTGTAGGGTTGAGGGCTCTGCAGACAGGTCTGATCACAGAGTACTTTCCAATGAAATGTATCCAAATAAACCTGAGCAATCAATTTATTGATCCTTGATAGAGTACCTATCATGTGTCTGGCTCAGGGCTGGACACTGGATGGTGCCTGGAATCACCCGTGTCTGCTCTGCGATGTTGCCAGAGGAGACTGGACTGGGTAAAGGGGCGACTTTGTAGAGGCTGAATGTCCCCAGGCTGAGAGGCCTTGGGTCAACGTGGGTGCAGTTTGCAGATCTCCTTTCCTTTAGAATTTGGAGGCCAGACTTTCAGCTGTCACTTCCTGTTGCTGCTTGTGTACCTGGTTCTAGAATTTCTTCCCCTGGTGATTTTATGCTTCTGTTGTCCTGTGGTCCAGAAACCTGGATTGCTATTCTTACTAGTGTTGCAAGCAGACTAAGTAAACAGTCTGAGTAAGGAATGGAGGCAGTTCTCCAGCAAGGTGCATGAGCTTTGATGTGTAGTGTCGTGATGCTACTGCACTTCTATGGAGGGTCTGACTCTCTCCTGTCTCATTTATTCAACCATTCATTCATCAAATTTATATCGAGTACACACTCTGTGTCAAAAACCCGGGACTCCTAGTGTCCGAAAAAAGAATGCAAATGAAGTGCATCCAGGCAAGTGCCTGGACCGAGGCTTGGAGAGTGTGAGACGGTAGAGTGAAAACTTCGGGCTCAGTGGGGAGTTGCTCTGCTCATAATGCGTAACGGGGGCAGTTTCTGCCAGTTACTGGAAGGTAACACAGGTCCCTCTGTGTGAGCTGAGCAGCCACTGTTGCAAGTTTCCTTCCAGCCACCAGCCCCGCTCATAGCCTCCGTGGCTCCATAGAAGCCCTGGGAAGGGGCTTGGGGGCTGTTGCACTTTGGTCCCTGTTGCAGGTCAGTGTGTGGATCATCCTCAGGGTGCTGCTGAGATGTCATGGGGCTTTGGAAGAGATTGCTCTTCCTGGGAAGGCAGCCTGCCCATGCCCTGTGCTGAGGGAGTGCCTGGAGTGCGGGAGGCCTGGGACCCCCATCTCAAGCTGTTCCCTCCGGCAGACAAGATACGTCCCCAGCTCCACCTTGGGGCAGGCGTCCTTCCACTCGCTGGAACGGGCTTCATGTTCAGTCTGTTCTGTTCAGCCCCCAAACCCAAGCCATCTCTTCCTGGCCAGCTCCCTTGTCCTGATGTAGAGGAGGCCCCTGTATCTGAGAGGGCTGTGAGGCCCCCTTATTGCTGCCGCTTCCTGCCTCCCCCGCTCCAGGCCCCGGGAAACGCACTGGAAACTCAGGTGGGCCTAATTCTTGGCCTACAGCACTTTGCACCCAGGGAGCTTCCTAAAACCACTTCCCTGCTTGGGAGCTTCCAGCCCTTCCGGACTTCCAGATGAAATCTAAGCTCCTGAATGCGATTTAGAAGGCAGGCCAGAGCTGACCTCATCTCTGTCTACTTCCCCTCCGGAACTTTCTCTCCAGCCACACCTAGTGGAGCAGAAGAGCTTCCATTCATCACGCGGCAGACCCTGTGCTCAGAGTTGATGTGTGTGGGTGCATCCAACCCCGTGGGGAAACTGAGGCACAGAGCTCCGCTCAGTGGTAGGGCCAGGATTGGAAGGGAAGCCATGTGGCTCTGAATCTCATGACCAGTGGGCCGTTCTGTCCACACTAGAGTGACCCTGTAGCTGTTTCCTGCTTCTGGGCTTTTAAACACCTTGGCTATGTTAACTGTCCAGCCCCAGGACAGGAGAAAGCTCCTTCAGGAGGCTCTCCCTGCCCCCACGTCCTGTGAGGGTCTCTCCTGGGCTCCTTTGGCTGTGTATGGAGGGTGGGTGGGTGGGGATTCTTTTTTGCTTCCAAAAGCTCAGTGTAAACTTTCCTGCTGTGAGGAAGGAGGCAGGGGCTTGTGGAGTGGGAGAGGAGGTGAAGGCAGAGGAAAGAAGGGGGCTCATTTCTTTCGGAAGGAGCTTTAAGCCAAAGGTTTCTGTGACCCTGGCTGCAAATGGTCATCCCTATCCCCAGCTCGCTGAGCGGGGGTCTCTGCCTGTGTGTGCCCCACACAGCAGCAGGGATGAGTGTGTTTGTGTGTGTGTGCAGCTTCTCCTCAATACAGACGGGCTTTCCGTGACGAAGATGAGAAACGTGGCCCAGTAAGGTAACCAGGAGTCCTGCGGAGACAGTAGAACTTCTAGGGTCAGCAAGGTCCTTTGGGCTTGGGAATTTCTGGGGTAAGCTAAAGTTTCATGACATGCCGGCAGAAACTGTTGATTTACTTGAAAGTCAGGGGGAGAGATGATTGGATTAGACGGGGGAGATGAATTGCTGCCTGTGCTCGGAACACCACTCCCTCCGGACTCTGAGCTTCTGGGAGCAAAATAATTTGGGGGTGGCCGTCTGCCCTGGCCAGTCAGCCTCTGGAGGGCCCATCCTGGGATGCTCAGAGCCAGCCTGCCTACCGTGCCCGTCCTCCTGCAGAGCGCTGGGTGCAGACATTCATCCGCCTGAAGCTCCTCATCTGTGCACTGGGGCTTTGGACCTGATGGTGGCTAGGAGTGCCTAGCAGGAGATTCTGCAGCTCTGCAGAGTTCAGGGACAGCTCCGGGGGAGGCTGTACCCACTGGCCCTGGACATTGCGGTGTACAGGGGAGTGTCTGAGCACGTCTTGGCTTCGCTTGTGGATACCTTGTCATTGGTAGTGGGCCTGATCATTATGCCTGTGACAGATGAAGAAATTGAGGCACAGAGAGGCTCAGCAATTGGCTGAAGATTGCAGAGCAGCAGCAGAGCCAGGTCCCTATCCCAGGGCTCCCCGGTGCCCTCTTATTCATCTACAGCCCCACGCTGCACCCTGGGCCCAGCAGGAGCTGTGTTCATCAATAGCGTGTAAGTCCCCACCTGGTGGGAGGAGCTGCATGGGCATCACAGCCTCTAACATGGGCATCCCTCTCTCCTCTGAGCAGCCTGGAGTCTAAGCGCATTGCCAGCACTGATGTCTGCCTGGTTGGGACGAGTTCACTGAGCGTGACGGGGTCTTCGTTCTTCTTCATCATCAACTCCTCAGGCATCACAGGGCTTTGCCTCTGTTTTGTGAGAGGGGGTGGGGGGCAGACTATTGCGATGTCCCAAGAGTTGTTCATGAGGAAGGCAATTTCCACACAGCACAAACAGCCCAGGGTCTGCTTAGCCCTCCCTTTCCCACAGGTCCAGCTCTGTCTGTTGGGTGATGTTGACACAGGGCAAGGTGCCGGCTCTGCAGTGGTAGCGTGCCCAGTGTACATCTGTTTCATAGACCCAGGGACATTCCTCCTGGCCTTCCTTCAGCAGGTGTCTCTGAGCGCCCCTAATGTGTGGGCCCAGCACATGCGCTTATGGGGCCAGCTGTCCTTGGATGGGACGGGGACATCCAGCACAGAGAGCAGCCTTGCTTTGTGTTCTGTGTTTGCTGCCACCCAATGCTCCCTGTTTTCAAGCAAAATGGATCAGTTGGGATGCAGGTGCAGATAAAGGAGACCCCTTTAACTGGCTTACCCAGAAGGGATCTGACACAGGAATGACATGCTCTCTTAGAGCTTAGAAAGGCTTGAGAAGCAAGCTGAAGCCTGGATCTCCTACATTGGGCATCCAGAAAACCCCACAGGGCTGGCCACAGTCAGGAGGCCAGCCATTGCAAGTCCTCGTCCAGGGAACGACCCTTGAAGCCACCATCTACCCCTGCAAACGAATACCCCACCCACCACCTAATTTAAGTTTTGCTCCAGTGCTTCCTATGGGAGAACTGAAATCACAGCTGTGATCCTAGCTGTCTGTGAGGGAGTTCTGGAAATACAGTTTACACATTTTTCTGTATTGATACACCCCTCCTCCCTTTTTTGGTGGTGGTTCAAAAAGAGGAATTGAATGGCTTACAAAGATGTAAAAACAGTGTAAAAATAAAATCAGCAAGAAAAAAAGGAAAAACATCAGATGGAGCTAGGGACAGGCTTAGCAGATAAAATACTTGCAGCGTTGCTAAAGGTGGGGCAAAATGTGTCTGTGAGCTTCCCCACAGCCAAAGTAATAAGGAAAAGATGAAGCAGTCAAAGTAAACCAGTTGCTCAGGAGAGCCTTCCTGAACCGGATGGTGATGTCAGTGGCCACTGGGCTGGTCTCATGCTGTTACAATAAATGCGGTGGTCAGTTCCATTTCACTGTTACTTGTAACGGCTCAAAATGCAGTTTGATGGCTTCATCCCCAAGCCTAGTTCACTAAGATGTCTCTCACAGAAACCAAGACAGCCAGTTCAAGGGCGATCTTCCCTGCATTATCAAGGCATGGCGCAGGCCTTAGGTTTGCCTCTGTAAAGCGGGAAGTACGAGATTGAGTGTCCAGCCGCGGAATTACAGGGAGGTACGTGGGAAGGAGGGTGGAGTCCATTCATAGGTCTGCTGTGTTTGCAGAAACAGACGAAGGGAACATTTTGTACCTGTTGTGGGTAACATTTGTATTTACAGTTAACAGGACAAACTATAAATTTGGGCAAAATATCTATTTCTGGACGCACCTCCCCTCCCCCGCCCCCCAATTAATCCACTGTGTTACATTTTTGCAACTCTCAGGCAAAGGTGTCACCATCGCTAGGGAGACCCTTCCAGTTACATCCCAACTCCCAGCTGACCTTAAACTTCAGACCTCAAAGCTGTCCTTCCAAAAACTGACTGGACTCAGATCAAATGGTGTCGGCTGCAGCTTCTGATAATTTGGGATCATTCACGGTGCTGTGAAGTGATCAGTCTGGAATTCAGGCCTCTCTGTCTCCTTTTTGGGTGGCATGACTCATATTTCCTAAGGACAAAAGAGTCAAGACTCAGGCAAAGCAGCCTACCTGGTCATATCTTCTACTGCAACTTCATCCCGGGTACCCACAGAGAAACAGGGACTCAACACCCAGGAAATCACACGTGGATTTCTGTGCTCCGGTAGGAAGAGGGGCACTGGGTCTCTCCCAGGGCTCATATCAGCCATTTAAAAAAATGACTGCACTCTCGAGAGGCGAGGATGGGAGGACTGGACCAAAATTGACTGTTGGAAAATGCCAGGGTTTTGAAACTGTTGTTAACATTTCCAGAATTTGTGTGAAAGAGTGTGTTCCTTCTTATTTAAACCATGGCAGGGTGGGCATTTGGGGAGCCCATCTCTTTTACTTCTTGCAGAAGGATAACCCCATCATCGTTCGCTCATGAGAGGAAGTACTGCCTGTCATTCTGGGAGGGCCAGTGTTTAGACATGATGTTTGGATGGCGTGGTAAGAATATACGTAGCTCTGTCAGGAACTGCCAAACTGTCTTCCAAAGTGGCTGTACTGATTTCAATTCCCACCATCAATGAATGACAGTTCTTTTTGCTCCGCATCCTCGCCAGCATTTTGTGTTTAGGGTCCTGCCTCAGTTTCCCCTTTTGTAAAATACAGAGATGACTAGTACTGCATACGATGATTGTAGCAAGGGATGGATGCGCTACAATGAATGAATGAATGCATGAATGATATAACCCAAGTACAGTGCTCAGTCAGCACCTGGTACCCGGTGAGGGCTTAGGAAGCGTCATTATCCAGCACTCGGTAGGCATGAGGCCAAGCTGCACAAATGAGTTAATATGTGAATAAATACTCAAAGCCCTTTCTCCCACTGCCCAAAGAGCCCAGTGTGAGGACTTAATTAGTTGAGTACAGCCCTGCCACACCACAAATGCGAGTCGCGTGTCTGAACGTGCCCTGCCCACGGTATCTCTACATTTTTGAAGCACGGCCTCATAAAAGGAGAGCTATGATAAAACCCAGCAGAAAACACCCGGAGGCCTTCAGTGTTATTCATGCTGCACAAAAGTTTTTTCTTGTCAGGCTCACTGATGGAAGCAGAGCATGGGGTCACTCTTGCCACAGCCGTGTTCTTGAGAAGAGGCTGCTGTTTCAGCGAGAAATCATTCTCTCTCGGGGGGACCATTTTGCCCATCTCCGCTTGTCGGTGATGGTGGCTGACATGTTGGCAAAACTGTCTCATTTCTCCGTAGCCCCTTCATTCGGGGTGTCCCCTCCTCCAGGCATCTGACTCACAAGGGGCTGTGTCCTGCAGCTGCGCTCTGGAGACCTTGCCCTTTCTCCTGCCTGCTGCGTCCCCTCCGCCTCCAGCACGTGGGCCTTTCTGTCCTGTTGCTGGGCTGTGCGTGCGTCCAGTCATCCTGGTCTTATTCTGGAGCCAAACAAGAGCGTTCCATCCTCTGTGTGTCTCTGGTCACCACCAGACTCACTCATGTCATTGCCATCTGTTTCTTGCAAACCCGGTGAAACTGCGAGCCTCCATTGGGCCGTTTGTGTGGGCAGTGAGTGGCCAAACCCTAGCCTTGATGGCAGCCTGGGGGCCGCAGGCTCCCCCATGAGAATAATTGTGTTGCGGTCCCTCTTTCCTCTCACCTCCTGCCTTCCCTTCTGGGATGATCCTGTGTGCTAATCACAGCCGGGGCCTCTGAAGTTTCAGTGCCGTCTGTGGGTGGGGGCTGGGTTCCTTCTTATTCCTTTGCATGCCAGAGATGAGTGCCGAGGGACCGCATTTTCCAGGACTCGTGACATGGTGGCCATCTTGCACTCCCAGCTGCCTGGGCACACGCCAGTGTGTGATGGAAACTCCACGCACCCACTCCTGAAATTGCTTCCCTCGCCACTCTGCCTCGTGGAGCTCCTAAGGGGAAGGGGAACCTCACTTTGGCCCCCACCGCACTCCAGACTCATTCTAACCACAGGGCCTGGTTTCACTACTGTGGTTTTTCCCACGGAACTCAGCCCCGGGCCACCTTCATGGCTTGGTTCCTGGGAGGGAGGCTGTCATTACAGATGGGAAGATCCTATCAGTGCCGGCTGCTGCTGTTACCGTCTCTCTGGCCTATGGGGCCTTTGCTCCCTAACGATGTTTAAATATCAACATGCAGTTATTCAAGGACTTCTTTGAAGGTTTACCAGAGTGATAGACATGTTTTTAAGACAGGATCTTTTCCTCCACCCCTTTAAAAAGTAGATCACATTATGATGTTTGGGGAAAATCTCATGATTTCAATGCATAAGCCTGTATAATACCTTATTCATTCCGAATGCAAAGAACTCAGGATCACAGGGTATAAATGAACTCAGTTTGTATTGTTGGAGTGTTTTGTGCCATATGCTGTTCTGACTTAATGAGGATGTAGCTGTATATTATAAGGATCACCAAAGCAGCCTAGATCTGAGAATCTATTCTTAGCTCCCCCACTAATCATGGGGTGAGCCTGGGTGGGAGCCGGTGGGAAAGGATAGCACAGCTGGTCTTTGGGTGGTGTCAGTCACGCCAGTGGCTGTAGGACCCTAGGTTGGAGGTGATTTGGTCCATAACACACAGATGAGGAAGGAAACTGGGGCTGAGAGTGGTGTGATAGTCTCACCGCGAGGCTCAGCCAGCGGCAGGTGGTAGAGTTGGGATTCACACTCTAGGGGGTCTTGCCCTGTGGGACCCAGGGCTGTCATCAGCAAACGCCACCCACTAAGATGCTTGTCTGTGCCAGGATGGCTGGGAAGTGGGGGGTTCAGCATCTGGGGAGGGAAATCTAGGTAAGAATTTACTCATTCACTGATTCATTCACACTCATTAATTCATTCATTCACTCATTCATTCATTCATTCATCCATTAATTCACTCATTCACCCATTCACTCATTTATTCATCCATTCATTCACTCATTCATTCACCCATTCATTCATTCACTCATTTCTTCACTCATTCACTCCCTCCCTCCTGAAACATCTGTGGAGTATCCACCATGTTCCAGGCACCTTTCTAGGACACCATGGTGAGCAAGACCCTGCCTCTTTGGGCTTCGTGTCCAGTGGGGGAGACAGATACTGAGCATGCATGTGTGATATGACATAAAGCAGCTGAGAGTTGGAGGAAGTTCGAGGACAGTTTCCCTGCGGGAGAGGGTCGAGGAGAGAATGACTTGAGGAAGAGGAGACGTGAATGTAGGCAGTTCTTTCCTGGGCTGCTTTGCAGGGGAGCAGAAGGTGGGTGTTGGCTGGAAGCAAGACCGGGGCAAAGTGCCTGGCACTCAGTAGGGCTTCGGTAGGTGTTTGTGGATTGAATGGAGAGTGCTTGAAACTGCTGCAGAGCCTCAGGGCGGGGGTCTGGAGTGATTCCAGGTTTCCCAGCTCCTGGATTCAGAGTCTCAGCCATTCACTCCAGGAACAGTGTTCCCCTACTCTGGGGTCATTTGATTTCGGCCACTGCTTAGAGTTTTGCAAAGTGGTCTCTGACCTGTGCCTGCCCTTGTGGGGTGACATTGGGTTGGCGGCAGTTTCTGCAGCACAGCAGCTCAGAAAAGCACTGTGCGGTGGGCAGTTCAAGGCCAGGGTTTCCACCAAACATAGGTGGGGCCCAAGCAGGAGTTGGGAGGAGTTGGGTCTGGCTACAGCATCCAGGTGAGGGGGTCCTGGGGAGAGAGGAGATGGAGGAGGGGGCAGGACCAGAACCTGGGGAGCCTTGGGCAGTTTTGGCTTCTCCTGCCTGTGCTGGGAGCCACTTGAGGACTTGGGCCATAGGAGCGAGGGATCCTTTGTGTTTTGATCTTGCCCCTTGGCCTCTAGGAATCTGAGTTTGTAGGATCCTTCACTGGCAGCCCTGATGGGATCACCAGGGATGGGGATGTACAACGTTACTACAGCGTCTGATCTGGGGACACCTGGAGTAAACCATTTTGAGCCATCACAAAGTCAGAGGATCAGCTTGCAGGATTGCGCCCAGGGAACCTGTGAACACCCACAGAGAAGGCAGGACCGCGCCCCCTTCACTCAAGCACGAAGCTCCTTCCCTGGCCATTTTCAACTGGGACAGGGCAGGAGGGCATCCTACTGAGGAAGGATGTACAATTTCCCCATCCAGTTGTTTCTTTCTCCAGAGTCTGGGAGGTGTGAAGGGAAAGAGCCGAGGCTGGGGTCAGACGGTCTGTGTTCGGGTCCTGGCTTCCCTGCACACCCACTGCTTGGCCTTGAGCCACTTTATCAACCTCCCTGAGCCTGTTTCCTTGCCTGTGAGATGAAGCAAGCTGTGCACAGCCTTCAGTACAGTGCCTGCACATAGTAGGTGCTCAAGAAATGGCAGCCATTCACTGTGGGAACCCAGGACTTTCTCGCTGTGCAGACCTCAGGAGAGCTCGAGGTTATGACCTGGCAGCTCCATGACCCTCAGTCCATCCCTCAGCAGGTGCTCCAGGAGGTGAGGACAGCATTTGACACAGAGGCCTGAAGGGGTCATGTCTCCCCATCCACTCATGTTCTGAAGTCTAGAGGGTGCCATGCCTTGGAGCTCATACAGGCTGTTTATGGCAGAGATGGTTCTAGAACTCAGGTCAGCTGGCTCCTGCCCACCATAACAAATTGCTACAACCGGGTGGCTTAAAACAGTAGAAATATTCTCTCACAGTCCAGGGGGCCAGAAGTCTAAAATTCAGGGGTCCACATGGCTGTGCTCCCTCTGAAGGCTCTGGGGGAAGATCCTTCCGGCCTCTTCTGGTTTCTGGTGGCCCCAGGTATCTCTTGGCTTGTGGCTGTGTCGTTTCACTCTCTGCCTTTGTCTCCATATGGGCTTCTTTCTTGTGTGTCTCTTATCAGGACACCTGTCATTGGATTTAAGACCTACCCGCTCACCTGGGACCATCCCATATATATATATATATTTTTTTTTTTTTGAGATGGAGTTTCACTCTTGTTGCCCAGACTCGAGTGCAGTGGCATGATCTTGGTTCACCGCAACCTCCACCTCCTGGGTTCAAACGATTCTCGTGCCTCAGCCTCCCGAGGAGCTGGAATTACAGGTGCCTGCCACCACGCCTGGCTAATTTTTGTATTTTTAGTAGAGATGAGGTTTCACCATGTTGGTCAGGCTGGTCTCGAACTCCTGACCTCTGGTGATCCACCCACCTCGGCCTCCCAAATTGTTGGGATTACAGGTGTGAGCCACCACGCCCGGCCCCATCTCCTCATGTTGACATTACTTCATTACAGCTTCAAAGATGCTGCTTCTAGATAAGGCCACATGGCAGAGTGGAGACATTAGGATGTGGACCAGTCATGTAGGAGGCCACCATGCACTCCCCCACACTGTTCACTATCTCATGCCCCACTCACCACTGCACGGAGCGCCTGGCTGCAGTGGGCGGTTGATTTTAATTTTCCGGTGTTCCTCCCTGGAAGACATGGCCTCTGCCAGCCAAGGCGCGAGCCCCTCCTTCCCATGCTTTCTGCCATTTGGCATCCAGCTCTGCCCTCCAGACAGCTGGCAGAGGGGATGGGGAGGCGCCTATGCTCCCAGGAGGATTTTCCTGGGGCCTCGTTCTTCCTTCTCGCTGGAGGACCAGACCGCCAACAGAAGCTTCCGGAGCATGCTGGGCCAAGGCAGATCCCCGTTTCTTTTAGTCTGGCGTGGGCTGCTAAGTCCGAGGGTGCGGGAGTGTGTGGGCCCTGGGCTGTTAGAGCAGAACTGAGTGAGTTCAGATGCTCCTGCTGAGGGGGCCGTTCTCTGATGTTCGGTGCAGCCCTGATTTAGGAGCCTGGCGTGAGGCCGACAGCCTGGGGCTGCAGTGTAGCGTGGAGGCCCAGTGCGGGGACCAGCACCACCATTAATCAGCACGGCGGCCGGCACCGTGCTCCGTGCCCTGCCGAGAGCCAGCTGCCCCGCCGGGGGCTCCCTGCCTGCCTCCCATCCATCTTCCCGGTGCCTCTTTGTGGTGGGTGTAACTGTCAGCATCCTTGCTGTCCCCCTCAGTCCCCTGATGAGCTGGTAAACAGTCTCCTAGAGTCTCCAGCTGGGTCTCCAGGCCTGTGCCGGTCCTCACTGCACGACTCGGACCCTGAGTCTCCTCGCGTGGGAAGTGGGCACAGCCTCATGGTGTCTCCGTAGAAAGAAGATAGAGGATGTGGGAGCCTGGCCAGCTGGAGCCACCGCTGGAGAGAGCAGGCCTGTTGTGGGAGCAGCGGAAGAGCCTGGGGTGGCTCTGGGGCTGGGTTGGGGAGCTACCTACTTTGGCCAGAACGGAGCAGGGTGTGGGCGAAGGGAGACGTCCTGGAAGGCAGCCACGAGGCCTGACGTTGGAGATGCACCATCCTCTCAGCCCTGTTTCTCTTCTTCTCCTGAGGTTTCCAAGACAAAGGGTGGCAGGCTGGCTGGGCCTGGCACTGGAGCTGGGGTCGGTCCCAGGACCAGAAGGGACATGGTCCCATTCGGTCCCAGGCCAGCCCCCCGTATCTTACGGATGGAGGACACAGGCCCAGGGAGGGAGGTGCTCATGGTTGCAAGGGTGAGAGAGAGCTGGGACTCGACTCTGGGCCTCCTGCCTTCTGGCCTGGCACTTTTTCCACAATGCCTCAGAGGTTGCACATGTTCACGGGCCTCGGTTAACCAGAGCAGATGATAACTGAGGCAGACTGGGAGGCGTCTTGGGTCCCAGACCGTGGAACCTGGGTGCTGCTTTTCAGGGTACAGGAGCTATGGAAGGTCCCAAGAGGAAAGTGTCCTGACGGAGCTTCAGTAGCTGAAAGTGGGTCCGAGTGAGGAGACACAAGTCAGCAGAGGCAGAGAGAGGGACCAGGGCCACTGGTACGAACGCTTCTTGCATCAGGTGGCTGCAGCCCGGCCTGGGAGTTGCCTCCTCCTCCAGGAAGCCTTCCTTTCTCTCTTCTGGGTTTCCAGGGCTCCCTGTGCTGCCCTGGGTCACAGCCTTCTGTGTTGACTTCATCTGTGCACTCCCTGAGGGCAGGATTTGGGGTTCCCTTGGGGGGTCTCCTGCCTTGCCCAATGAGGGGTGCAAAGTGTCCTTAATGACCGACCAACTGGAAAATCCCAGATGAGAAAGATCAAGGACCCACTTGGGAAGAAGAGAAGGCTCTGGGTGCCACAGACCACAAGGCGAGACCCTGGGAAAGGTGGGGTGTCCGAGAGGCTCTGAGGCCCCCAGGCAGCTGTACCCTGTCCCTCCTGGGTCCTCCCGTCTGGGTGCGTCCCAACGGGTTCTCAGTCTGGCAGTCTTTTCCAGAAAGGTTCGAGCCAGGAATGGAAACCGTTCCTACTGGGAGCTGGGCGTGGGGGCACATCGCCCTTGCCACGGCCCCCAGGCTGGATGGGTGGGGAGACGGGAACCTTGTCTCTTTTGGCAGCAGGAGCCCCTACTTCATGGCCACTTGCATTTGGCAGGAGGGAGCACGTTCGGACTTGGGGAAGGGGCTTTGTGCCGCCCTCGGGAGAGAAAGTCTAATTTTACAAGTTTAGAGTTCAGCCAGTGGACTGTTTGTGTCTTTTATTTTAAAAGGAGATGACAATACTGGCATTGACTGTCTTTAATTTGACATTTGACTGAGAGAACAGCCCAGCTCCTTAGTGGCTCTGGTGTATTGATCCCGTGCTGTGGGCGGGCGTGGGTCTGCGGCTTCCTGTCTGAGGGAATGCAGTGCCACGGACAGACTTGATTTGTTTAAAGGTGGTTTTTACTTTGAAGGAAAGGCTGTTTCTTCCGCTATGGTAAAAACAGTTTTCTGGTTTGGAGAAAAAGCATGTAAATCCTCCACATGCAGGCCGATTGGAGCCCACCCTCTGAGCCTCTTCTGACAGCTTCACCCAGCCCCTGTGGGATGGGAGAGCCCGTTGCTGGCGTTGCTGTCCCCGCCGTCGATGGCAGGAGGCGTCCTGAAAGCCAGCTCATGCCATGCGGCCTCCTCCGGTGATTTCAGATGGGGCTCCCCGGGGTTTCGATGCAGTGTTTAAGCACTCGAGAGCTCGGCTGCTTAATGAAGGAGTTAATCTGTGGGACGTGCGGTGGCTCAGCCAGAACTGCCACCCATGTCCTCAGGATGAGCACCTGAAGGAGCAGGCCAGCTGGACCACGAGAACTTGAACCTCACACCACACTGCGATCTGAAATTCGGGGCCTTGCTGAGACGTGGGGGCCCCGTGGTCCTACCTCCACGGTGAACTTCTTTTGTTTTGGAGGCTATAGAGGCCCATAGGGGAGTGAGGGGCTCTGTATTTGTCAACTGGGGCTGCTGTAAGGAAACACCACAGACCAGGAGGCTTCAATAACAGTATTTCTCACGGTCCTGGAGGCTGGATGTCCAAGATCAGGGAGAGGCAGAACTGGCGTCTGGTGAGGACATCTTCCTGGCTTGTAGATGGGATGGCAGCCTCTTCTCCCAGGGGCGGGGGGCGGGGGGCGGGGGGAGAGGGGGTGGGAGGAGGAGAAGAGAGAGGAGAGAGGAGAGGGGAGAGAAGAGAGAGAGAGAGATTGCATCCCCACTTCCTCTTCTTCCAAGGCCACAGTCCTATTGGATTAGGTCCCTACTCCTGTGACCTCTTTAACCTTAATCACCTTCTTACAGTCCCTGTCTCCAGATACAGTCACATTGGCAGCGAGGGCATCAATACAGGAATTCATGTGGGGTGGGGGGGGGAGTTGGGGAGGGCACAGTTCAGTCTGTCCTCAGCATGAACCCTTTTTGTTTGAGGTGGCTGCTGCCCAGCCCAGGTACCACCTCCTCCAGGAAGCCTTCCTGTCTCTCCTCTGGGTTTCCATGGTGTCTGTGCCACCTCCTCCAGGAAGCCTTCCTATCTTTCCTTTGAGTTTCCACAGTGTTTGTGTCATGCTGCCCTGGGTCACAGTCTTCTAGGTTGACTCTATTGATCAATCATCCCTCTCCCTTGGGCTTGGCACTAGATTTTGGCAGAGCTAGCAATGGAAAACACCTGTTCAGTTCATCCAGGTGTAGGTGACATATGGATATCTGTCATCCAGGGAGCCCAGATACAGTTGAGGAAGCATTATTCCAGTAGTTGGGTGCTTTCAGGTTATGACTGAAGTTCCTTCCCTGTGGCCCTCTGCAGATGGAGGTCTCTCTACCTGGAAGACCCTCCTTTGCCTTTGTCTGGCTCACTTCTTCTCCCTGGGAATCAGGCTGGGGTTTCCTCCTCCAGGAAGCCTTCCTGGATTTCACAGCTTGGAGCCCACTGTGCCAACTCTGACATCACATATTAGTGTCTGGTCCCTTGCAGGCAAGGCCCGGCTGTCATCCCCATTGTTTTGCAGAGCCTGCCACCCTGCCTAGCACTGAGTGGGTGCTCAGTCAATATCTGCTGATAGGATACAGGCTCCTAGTGCCTGGAACAGTGCTGGATGCTGGGGGCACGTGGTAAATGTTTGATGAATTCATTGAAGTCAGCACTGTGGATTGGCAGCAGCTGCCACAGAGACCGAGCTGCAGTTAATAAAGCCCTCCCAGGCCCAGGGCAAAGGTAAAATATCACAATTCATGGAAAGCTTTTCATTAAAGCTCTGCGGGGAGTTTTCTCCAGTATTAGCATTTTTCAGACTCTCCTATCAGCAGCGCTTCGAGGATAAAAGCTGTGAGCTGCAGAGGCGGACGTGGGTGAACAAACACAGGCTATTTGCACATCCCAAATAGAGACGGCGCTCGGCTTGCGGCCCTTCCTCCCGAGACGCTGCAGGGCCTCCCCTTTGCTCATGCTTTCAAAGGACCCTAAAACATTCTGCATCGCCATTGTCACCTGCAGCACCCTGATCGCAGCCAGGGGACAAGGACAAGAGTCCCCTTCCGATTGCCTGAAAAGCCATCCTCTGAGTTGGCCTTGGCACTCCCAGGCTGCGAGGGAGGACTCCACACGGGAGGGCTGGGGAGACCTTTGCTGCCTCTGAGTGGCTCTGTACCAGGGGCCAAATATGGGGGAGACTGCAAGTAGCTGAGTGACCCTGGGCTGGCAGGAAGCTGATGGCTGGCCCCAGGGGAGGTGGGTTCACACCACATGGCCCAGCGCCCTTATGTATTTGTCAGGACAACCCGTGGCAGCTCTTGTAACGAACACATCTCAGGGTCTAACACAGCGCCCGTCTACCTGGCTCTCAGTGGGCTGGCTGCTCTCTGAGTAGTGACCTGCCATCTGGACCCCTTCAGCTGTGGGCGCCACTATCTGTAACCTTAACTTCAGTGTGTGACAGGAAGAAAAACACAGATGCTCCCACGGGGTGCTCAGGGCTTTGACTGTCCCCCAGACCCAGGGTCTTCTGGTGTGAATCACAGAGGAACCTAGTTGATTTTTTTCCCTTCCTGGATTTTTCTCCCTTCCCCATGCTGCCAACAGAATCCTCCCTTCATTTCTCCAGGTCTTTATACCTATTGCCCAGGTGGGGAAATTGAGGCCTAGAAAGGAAAAGGGTTTGCAGTGAACCATACTCTGCAAAGGAGCATGGAGACTTGAACCCAGGTCTTTGAGCTCCTGGGGAGTGTTCCTCCTGCCCCTCATCCATGTATGCACACATGTGCATTATGTATGTGCGTGTGTGCGTGCAGATGTGTGTATGTGTTTTGGGGAATGTAGGGCAGGGCTAGCTCTCAGTTGATTTGTTGACTGTAATGACTGCAGAGGCTGCATTCTTTCATTCATTCATTCATTCATTCAGTGAATGTAGGTTAAGGGCCTGCTATGCTCCAGGCAGGGCTGAGGAGACAGTGAGGAATGGAGCAGACATAGTCCCTGGCTGGCTGGCTGGGGAAGCTGTAGTTAAAGAATGAATTACACGGTTCTTTATTTAATTGCCCCAACCTGATCACTCCTAGAAGGGAGACAGTCCTGGGACCATGTTTTACCCAGGGGTTGGACAAGGTCTCTCTGAGGTGGGGACATCTTAGGGAGATGGCTAAGTGGAGCACAGGGCATGGAGCAGGGGGGACAGCATGTGCAAAGGTCCTGAGGTGGGAGGGACCCTGGGTGTCTAAGGCAGAGGCACCTGTGACATGAATAGAGGTGAGAGAAGGGGCTCGGATGAGGCGGCGGTGGGGGCAGAGCTGAGGCCACATAGCAGGTGAGAGGGACTTTAACTGAACAGCTGTGGGGGGCCAGGAGAGGGTTTAAAAGCAGGACAGGGGTGTGGTCGTTTGCTTTTCACAGCAGCTTCATGACTGCAGGTGCAGACGGGCCACGGAGCCTGGAGGAGTCCACGCCTGGCCCATGGGAGGCCTCTGCCACCCACATCAGTGCTGGTGGTCGGGCCAGCGAGGGGCTGGTGGTGCCGTGAGCAAGAAGGCTTTCATCATGAGGGCTCCCAGGGTTCTGGCTCGGTGGTGGATGGTGGTGCCCTTCCTGGGAGAGAGAGATCACATGGCGTTTTGGGCCCCGGGCTGTGGGATCTAGGCCAGCGTTTCTTCTACAGCAGCAGAAATGCCTCAGCGTGAGCGTCAGTGCTCGGTCAACTGCACGGCTGGGTCAGGGCTGCCTGCCAGGAGAGCCTGGTGTGTGAAAGAGTCTCCGAGACAGGAGAAACCAAGGAAGGGGACTGAGATGCCACCAGCAAGTCCTGTGGGCCCATCCCTGTCTTATGTCTCATCTATCCCTCCCTGCTCCCTTGTGATTCTCACCAGAGAATTCATCTTTATGGACACGGAAGCCGATATGCAAAGAGGAAGGTCTCCAGGGTTTTCCAAGGTCACCTAGCCCATAAATGACACAGCTTGTTCCCATTCAAGTGGGACAAGCCCCTCAACCGTAAACATCCCCACAGTAAAACTGGGAATGCGGCCACACAGGTCTCACGGGGCCAAGGCAGGGATGGTAGGAGATGGTGTAGGGAGATGGTGCTCCTAACTGTGACTGTTGTCTGGGGGAGGGTCCCTTGGGGCTGGCCCTGGAGGGGACCGTCATGGGAAACCAGACCAGCCTCACAGAAACTGAGCTCGGCCTGGATCTCAGCTCTCTCCCGCTGATCTCCTGGGGAGAAAAGCTGGGTTGCCGCTTCACAGTCCGTTCACCAAGGAGGCTCCCCCCACCATTGACAGTCTGTTCACCAAGGAGGCTCCCCACCATTCGCAGTCCGTTCACCAAGGAGGCTCCCCCGCATTCACGGTCCGTTCACCAAGGAGGCTCCCCACCATTCGCAGTCTGTTCACCAAGGAGGCTCCCCACCATTCGCAGTCTGTTCACCAAGGAGGCTCCCCACCCCACAGCTCCCATCACTGCATTGAGTGCTCGGGAGATAAGAGGAACCCAGAGATCTGATCCGGGCACTGGATCTCAGGAAGATGCACTGGTGTGGATCGTGGTGGTGGTTGTGTTCACAGTTAGTGTGCTCTGGGGACCTGGGCTTGGCCTGGGCAGGGAGAATCAATGTAACTTTAGGGTGCACAGGAGAAAAAGATTGTATTTCTTTGGGGTTCTCCTTTATTTGCTCTTTTAACATTGGCTGCTGCTTGTTAAAGGGAGAGAAGACCTGGATCACTGACTGGGAGCAAATCTAAAGGTTCAAGGGGGTTTGGTGACATCTGTCTGCCTGTGTCCAGCTGGGATGGCTAGAGTCAGGCAGGGCAGGGCTTGGGGCCTGGGTCGGGAATCCCCTGCTGTTTTGGAGACGTTGCCATGATGCCCTTGATGAAGATGCTACGAGCACAGATTGCACGCCTTGCTGTGAACTTGGGCAGTGTGCTGAATTTCTTTTCCAGAAGGCATTTACTAATTAAAAAGGAAAAATAGCCCATGCTTATTAGAAAATACAGAAAAGCAGAGAGAAGAAGAGTGGTCCATGCAGATAGTGTCTGCTGGGTTACCTCTGCTGATTTCCTTTTCTCTTTCTCTATTGAGGAGTCTGTGACATTGAAAATGGTGCTTGAGGCTGGGCGTGGTGGCTCACACCTGCAATCCCAGCACTTTGGGAGGCCCGAGGCGGGCGGATCATGAGGTCAGGAGATCGAGACTATCCTGGCTAACATGGTGAAACCCTGTCTCTACTAAAAATACAAAAAATTAGCCAGGCATGGTGGCGGGCACCTGTAGTCCCAGCTACTCGGGAGGCTAAGGCAGGAGAATGGCGTGAACCCAGGAGGTGGAGCTTGCAGTGAGCCGAGATCGCGCCACTGCACTCTAGCCTGGGCGAAAGAGCAAGACTCCATCTAAAAAAAAAAAAAAAAGAAATGGTGCTTGAGATGTCCCAGCCACCACCTTTGTCCCCTGACCGACTTCTCTCTTGGCTTCTGTCATACACAATCTCACGACCTCCTGCGGTCCTTGTAGACATGGCTTTGTATAGCAGCCTACATCTCCATGGAGTGGATACCCCAGAATGTCTCCAATGATCCCTCTGCTGTTGGTTATTTTTGGCTCCCCTGAGTGTGAATGCACCGTTTGCAGAGTTTAAGATCTTTTCCCTAGGAGAGATTCCTGGAAGTGGCATCATTTGTTGAAGGTAGTGAATGGTTTTGGGGAACTGGGTAAAGCCAACCTGTTGCTTTCTGTAGGCAGGGATGGCATAGACAGGTGGGCTGTGCTGGGGGACACAGTCAATGCCTTGGATTCTCTACTGGCGATCCCTATGCAGAAGGTGTCTCAGTGCGTGGTGCCCAGCGATGTGCAGCTGCCTGGGGGAGCCTAGAGGCTTCCTTTGGTCACAGTAGGGCATGCCTGCATTGGCTTCTTCCAAATTAGCGTCTCTCTTTCATTAGTGCTTTTGGTGATAACTTTTCAGCCAGGACTTGGCTATTCCGAGGCGCTGTCCAGCAGGGCGCATTTGGATGGTATTGCTTGCTGGGATTTTCCCTTTCCACCAAGAGCATTTTGATGTATCCAAATTATTGCCGTACCCTTTTCCTTTTATTTTTACCCACGCTCCTGAGACTCCCCCTGGCTCTAGTGGCGTGTCCTACCTTCCGGAAGGTCAGGTATGACTGAAGCCAAAGTTGCCTCAGAGGCTGGGGAAGGAGTGGCTTCTGGTTAGTTACGTCTCATCAGCTGAGAGGTTCTGAGCGTCCTATGTGCATACGCACCGGTGATGCCTGGCAATTAGGAAAGAGCCCATGATGAGGCAGTGCCGGGGCGTAGGGGAGAGGAGGGTTTCTGTGGGCAGATTTGGGGTGGGGCAATTTCTAATAGAGGGTAAAACTGGGGCCAAGGCCTATTTGGGGGACAGATGTGAGAACAGGCATCCTCTGGTGTAACCAGGACGGGGCTAGGTGGTGCAGGGGTGGAAGGACTATGAGGCCAGAGGTAGGGCAGGAGGCTGTGTCTCCCCGCAGCCGACCTTCTGGGAACTGCGGCCTGCAGACCTTCAGATCATCAGAGAGGCCTCTGACAGTGTGCAGAGCACCTGCCCCAGGGAGCTCCTCCTCCATGCCCCAGGGAGCTCCTCCTCCATGCCCCAGGGGTGCAGGGGGTGCTCTGGGACTCTGGAGAGAGGACTGTTTTTGTCCTCTGGGCCCAGCCAGTACTTGCCGTGGGCAAATCCTCCTAGTTCACCTTTCCTCCCCCTCTCCCTCTTCCTCTCCCTCCTCCTCCTCCTCCTCCCCCTCATCCTCTCCCTCCCCTCCTCCTCTCCCTCCTCCTCCTCCTCCCCCTCATCCTCTCTCTTCTCCCCAGCTCCCTCCTCCCCCTCCCCCTCCCCTCCCTCCTCCCCTCCTCCTCTCCCTCCTCTCCCTCCTCCCCCTCCCCCTCCTCTCCCTCCTCCCCCTCCTCCTCCTCTCCCTTCTCCCCAGCTCATTCCTCTCCCTCCTCCTCTCCCTCCTCCTCCTCCTCCCCCTCATCCTCTCCCTTCTCCCCAGCTCCCCCCTCCCCCTCCCCTCCTCTTCCTCCTCCCCTCCTCCTCTCCCTCCTCTCCCTCCTCTCCCTCCTCCCCCTTCTCCTCTCCCTCCTCCCCCCTCCTCTCCCTCCTCCCCTCCTCCTCTCCCTCCTCCCCCTCCTCCCCCTCTCCCTTCTCCCCAGCTCCTTCCTCTCCCTCCTCCTCTTCCTCCTCCCCCTCCTCCTCTCCCTCCTCCTCCCTTTTATTTTCTCCCCCCTCTAGCCCCAGCCCCCTCTTCTTCCCCCGGCTCCTCCTCTCTCTCTCTCCTCCTTCCCCTCCAGAGGAGACACCATTATGGCCGCCCACACAATGAGGCGATTGTGCACAGCAGCCCCTCTGAGCCCAGAAACATGGCGCAGGCCTGATTTTCATGAATAATCAGACTCCTGGCCAGGACCGCAGCAGGCAGCACCCTGAGCTCTGCCGGCCGGCCGGGTGCGTTGCTACTGGGCTTTGTCCAGGGATGAAGAGCCCCTGGCTTGGTGCCCTGTTCCTCGGCAATAGGGTGGGGAGATGGGGCCGGCAGTGGAGCCTGGCCGTTGGCTCGAGCCGCCCAGCCCTGGGAGCAGCCGAGAGGGGCCAGAGCCCTTGCCCAGGGTCCGTGGATGGGAAGCGCTGGTGGGGGCTGGACTCCAGCCTCACGTCCATGTCCTCTGGCCCTGTGCCTGGGAACCCTGGAGGGCAGCCCTACTGTAGGCACCCATAGGGTTACTGGTGTGAACGGGACGGCACTCTCAGCCTTATTGTTGCCACCATGTGGGGTGGGGACATGCCCAGCATTGGATATGGCACCCACCATTTGAGGTGTGGCCTCCTGGGATGGAGCCTTGGTTTCCTCACCTGTCCAATGGGCATTCCCACACCTCTCCCACCTGGGATTGGCCAGGCTGATGGAGCAGCATGCCCAGCACACAGTAGGTGATCAGTGTGGAGAACGCCAGGACGGCTGCTTTCCCATGGCTGGGGCTAATGGAGAAGCCTGTTGCAGGGGCTTCCCTGAGGTTGACATGTCAGAGCCAGGAGTCGTGGAGCAGAGCCCTGTGGGAGCTGCGTCATGGCTGCGTGTGTGGCTGGGGGTCCGTGCTGGGGGCCACAGGGAGAAATGCGATGCAGAGTGTTGGAACCCAGCACCTGCCAGCCTGCCTGGCCTCTTCCTCTTGGCTGCAGTGACACCTGCTGGTCGCCCCATGCTGACCTTGTTTCTGTGGCTCCTTGGGGTGCTCCCTCTGGGGTGCCCCCATCTTCCTGGACACCCATGAAAACACCCGGAACCCCTGCCCCTGCCCTCACAGCCTCCGGGAGCTGGAAGTCTCTTTTCCCCGGAGCAAGCACTGTGTACCCTGATTTTCTCTCTGGCCTCAGTGGTGAGCTCGTGTTAGCGGGCAGGCTCATGCCTCAGCGAGGTTTTAGGAGCCGAGGTTGGGCTTGCTGGCAGGAAGCTCTGCCTCCTCTCCGTAGACCCTGAGGTGGGACTCCTGGGGACAACCCAAATCACGGGCAGGGTGGCAGAGACAGAGAGGGTTGGGGCCCTCTGCGGGACTCCACCTCTCCTCTCCCCACCCACCCCACCAAGGACTCAGGGTTCAGCCCTGGTTGAGGCCACTCGCTCCTGCGAGGCACCGATGGAGGGGTGGCTACAAGCATGGACCTTGGGCAGCTAACCTCATTGCTCCAAGCCCCAGTTTTCCTCTCCATCATTTGGGAATCGGAGTAGCCCCAGCCACTGAGAAGTGCGGGGAGGGGTGAACAAGTTAATATTCACTAACACGGGGCCAGCACCGGGCCTGTTCTTTGCAGGTCAGCAGAGAAGACATCAGACTCTTTCCGGAGAGGTGACCCCCCAACACACATACACACACTGCGTGGCTTCCCTCTATCGCTCGGTAGTCCTTGGCTCTCGGGGACAGAAGAGGCATGGGTGCCTCGACTCCCCAGCCCCCTCTGGCCAAGGTCCGCGTGCCCGGCCTGGTGTCCGAGGTGCCCAGGCCAGCTTCGTGCTCCTTCCCCCTCCCCAGACACCAGCATCTTCCGGCCTCTGGGGATTTGAACTTGCAGCCGAACACCTGGGACAGCCATGCCCCCTGTCTTCTGTCTCAAGACTCAGTTGACCTCTCTCCTCAGAGTGCCTGGGGGGGTCCTCCCCACCTCCCCTGGATGCCCATGGGTTCCCTCTCTGGGCATCTCCTCTGCATTAGGTGGAGGGGGCTGGGATTCCTCAGTATGCCCCCTTCCCTTCCTGGAGGCCAGAGGCCCTGTCTGAGTCACCCCGGCACTCCCAGCTCGGGGTTCCACACCGTGCTCAGAGCCTGAGGGAGGAATCGGTGAATGAGCCCCCAGAGTCGGTGGGGCTGGAGGGAAGAGCCACGCCCCCTTCTGCCTCTGCCTGTCCTCAGTCTGCAGCCCTGTCCCCTGCATGAATACCACTTTTGTGCTTTTTCTGCAGGCCCCCGCCCCTCCCCCACCCCCACCCCAGGGATCTTGCTGGGTGGGGGATCGGAAGAGCTCTGGGGGTTGGGAAGCTGCCTCTGCTCCTTCTGTCCAGACAGCCTGGGCCCTGGCCATGCCCTGCCCCCTGCTGAGTCTCCCTGGGTGAACGTGGGGCAGAGAGGGCTGTGCTCAGTGACTGTAAGCTCCCTTCCTGTCCCCGAGTTCAAGGGCTGCTGTTCCTAGATCCTCGTCTGAAGTTTCTATAAAATGAGAACCGTGCTCTATGGTTCCCAACCTGAGACGAAAGAGCTGCCGTGTAGAAGGGACTTAGACGTGTCTCATGCAACTCCAGGAGCAAGGCTGGCTCACACTCAGGCTGGCCTCAGGCAGCACTTTTGGGCCAGTGGTGCTGCCTGGGGTCATGGCACTGCCTGGAGCCCAGGTGTCTGGGGCTTTGTGCTGGCCCCACCGTCCAGAGGGCCCAGCCCTGTCTGTCCTCTGGCTGTGACTCTCTGCAAGGGCCAGAGAATCTGTGGAGCCGAGACTGAGCCCCCTGGGGCTGGTATCCGCCTTGCAGGCCACATCTGGATACCCAGGACCCTGTAGTTCTGTGCCCTGCTGGCCTGAGCTTGTTTCTAGGGCCTGAGCCACCTCTTCCCCAGGTCCGTCCTCCCAGAGTGGGCTGCACAGCCAGTGTGTGCACTTGGAGTCCCAGGGGTGGGACAAGGAGGCGACGGGGCTGGGGACAGAGGGGAACAGAGCGTGGCCTTGGAGGCTGTGTGCACCGCAGGCATGCAAGACCCCCTGGGGTCCAGGACATGACCATGGTGAGAAGAGAAAGGGGCAGTTTGGGGACATCCGTTTGTACTCTCCAGGGCTCTGCACATATGAGGGCAAGGCACCCCAGCAGGGGTGAGTGAGGAAGGGTTGGGGTATAGGAAAGGGAGTATGGGAAGTTGGAGGTGGGCCTTGTCTTTCCTGGGGTCTTAGTTTGGTTTCTGGAGTAATTTCAGAGGCCAGGATGCCCTGACATACAAGCAACAGTGCAGACTTTTCTGGAGAGGGTGCCGGGAGCTTCCTTTGGCCTCTGATCGGTCAGCGACCCAGGCAAGGGTAGAACTACTGACCAGGGTGCCCCAGCAGCTTCAGAGCAGGCTTCTTTGTGGACAGCATGTTTCTTGGAGCCACTGGCGGCTGTGAAGGACCCAGGTTTCTGCCGCTCCCACGGTGACGGGAGAGGGCTGCCTGTCTGATTTCCAGCTTCTGCAGCAGCCATGCCGCTGGTGTCATGGAGGAGGAGGAAGCCAGCACTCCCGCCGTAGTATAGGGAGCGGGGCTCATGTCCATGCTAACCAAAGACCTGAGCAAACATTTGTGAGCCTGAGGTCCCCGGGCCTAGCTGTGCCCAGGCCGGGTGCTGGGCCCCTGTTCTGCAAACATCCCTGGGATCCTCATGCTGCATCCGGTGCCCCACTGCAGAGCCTGGCGGAATCAGCCCGCAAGCCCGCCTCCATTCAAACAAGTGTTTGTCCTCTTCTGGGACAAGGCCGGTGGGAAGATAATTAAAAGTGACCCAGCATCGCAGAGTTGTGCAAATTGCAGGATTAGTGGGGCATTAGCGGGAGGCCTCACAAAAGGGCCGTTCTGGCCCCGCCACCCCCTCTTGGGTCCCCCAGCTCCCCCAGCTGGGCACATAAAGCCGGGGGTTGGTGGTGAGACAGGCTGGGGGAGGAAAGTAGGAGGAATTAGCGTGAGGTGGGATGAATAGGGATGCTTTGCAGTCAGGGCGGCCTGTCCGGGGCTGGGGGTGGGCCCCCTGGCAGCCGGAGCCAGGCGAGGTGGGGGCCGAGGCTGTGAGCGGGTGTGGAATGCGTCTGAGTGGATGGCGGGCTGTGCCCTAATGAGAAATTGGTGCTGCCAATCAGGCATGGCCCACTGAGCAGCAGTCCAGGGCCCTGGATCCCAATCCGCTCTCCACCGCTTGTCTTCCCCTCAGATGGCTCTGCCCCTCAGCGGTGCTAAGTTCCTTTCTGTATGGATCGCATGGCCTCGGATACATCTCTCGGGGACCATCTGGCCTGGAACATCAAAGAACAGCTGGAGATATCTTCTTTCCCCTTCCTTTTAAAAAACAAAGCGAAAGCACCCACACCTCTAGGAAGCGAGAGCATGTTAGATCCTGGGGCATTTTCTACTTGGTTGGTTTCTGTTGTCCTTTCTTCTTAAAGCTGTATGGGAAGGGAGCACGTCTCATCCCTGAAAGGCTGTGCTCACCCTAATTGTCCTATTATCTGAAAACAAGGGAGATGGGGAAGCCGTGGTCCAGGCCTGTGTCTTCCTCCAACTTCCCATCCCATTTTCCTGGGGCCCGCTGCCTGCGGGGCGTTTCTGCTTCCTGGGACTTCAAGCTCTGCAACGGACCCCTGAGCTCTCTGTGTTCCCATCTTACCGTCCAGCCAGGCATGTAGGCAGGAAAGCTGGCGTTGGCCTCCGCTTGTCCTTCTCCCAGAGCCCGCTGGACACTGCACCCTGCTCCAACTGCGGCTGCCTTCTGAGCTGAGGCAGCCAAATTCTAGCCCCTGCTGAGCTGTGACAGGCAGGAGTCAGGGCTTGGTCAAAGCTGCTCTTTGTCTTTGGGGGTTGATAAGAAAACTAAAGCCTGGCAGAATCAGGACGAGAGAGGATGGCGCGCCCTCCGCCTGCTGAGGACCGGGAGGTGGAACAGGCATCGTCCCACCCTTCGTAGCTACTGATAAGTGGGAGATGCAGGAGCCGAGCTGGGTTCTTGCACTGAGGGTGCAACGAAGGCACAGTCACTGCCAGGAGAGCTTCCTGGAGGAGGTGGCCCAGGAGTGAGAGGTCTGGAGGGAGGAGTGAGGGTCTAATCTCGGGGATGGGGTGGGAAGTACTCTGGGCAGAAAAGCGGGCGGAGGGTGGGGGGTACTTTTCTGGGAACCCAGCAGAGTCCAGGGCAGAGAGAAAAAGCGAAGGACTTCCGTGAACTCACCGTGCAGTGATGCAGAGAGGTGTTCTTTGCCTCTCTAGCTTCTGCACCACTCTCACCAAGCCCTGCTGAGCCTCTCCTGTGAAGAGAGGCACCCCTGCCTCTGCTTTCAGTGATGAAGCGGTGGCATGAGTCCCCGCCACCACGGCACTATTGTAAGCAACGTGCACGCGTTGACACAGTAGGTTCTCACGGCGACCTTTGGAGTAGGTACTGTCATTATGCCCGTTTGACAGATGAGGACACTGGGGCAGAGAGTGGAGAAAGAACTTGCCAGTCTGTGAATTCCCCTGGTCCAGCATCCATGCCCTTCAACCACCGCAGGCAATGCTGCCATAGCCTGAGGCTACCCTCCCGTGACCCTGGTCCCGCTGGCCTTCCTCATCTCCAGGCCTTGCTTGATTTCTGTCTGCAGCCAGCCTTGACCTGGCATGGGGACCTGAGCCAGTCCTGTGGAAGAGCCCTGTTTGAGAGCCATCTGTGTCTGGCCACTCGGCCTCTCAGGGTCCTGTTGCATGTCCCGGCTGTCTCCTTCCTGCCTCCGTGCCTGGGCAGCTCCCTCTGCAGACACCCTTCTCGTGCCTTCCTGCCTCTTCTGTGTGGCCCAGCTGTCTGTGAGGTGCTCAGTCTAAGGTCAAGCCTCAGTCTTCCAGAGCTGGTTTAGCAGCATCTCCGTGGGCCCCATCTTCTCCTTGTTTCCTCGGCCCAGCCCTGGCGGGACTGTGTCCTTCTGTCCCTGCTTAGGCCTTTCTGGCTGCCTCTGGATCCCACAGCACAGCCCCGATCTTGGCAGTCGCTTTTCCTCCACTCATTTCCTTCCTTCATTCTGCCAGGGTTTGCTTAGCACCACCTATGTGCCAGTCACTGTGCTAGACGTTGAAGACACAGCAGCTATCGAAACAGAAACACTGCCACTCTCATGGAGCCACAGCCTGGTGGGGGAGCTGCCGAGGAGGTGCTGAAGCCCACCCACCCTCAGCACAGGCCCAGGGAGGGACGAGGGTGGCCAGGGCACCTGTGTGCTCAAATGAATGAGTGAAGGAATGATCTCGGATCAATATCACACAAAGTTCTCAGCAGCTGTCTTTATGCACCAGAGAACTCAGTCCAGCGCTCAGGCGCTGGGCTGACCCCTGAGTATGGGCCCACATTGGCTGGGAGCACGGCAGGCAGAGCACCCTCGACCCTTCTCCCCACGGGGCAGAGGCCTAGGTTGGCGCCTGCTGCCAGCTGGAAGCCGGGCGGCCCAAACCCTCTGTGTTCCTCAGCAACCCAGACTGAGTGTCGTGAATCTTTGTGGCCCCAGCAGAAAATGCATTTCCTGAAACTACCAAAATGAGGTGAAGATGGGCAATTGCTCTCCTTTTTCCATGAGCTGCGCTGGCCTCCCAAATGATGTCGCTCTGCATGTTTCTGGATTACATTCTCCTGAGCTGGAAGGACGGGGTTAACACTAAGGTTCCGTTCTCCTGCAGGGCTCTTTCTTGGATAAATCCAATATTCAGAGAAACACATCAGTGCCATGGCGCCTCTCCTTCCCTTCCAGCTCTTGCTGCACTCCTACATCCTCTATAAAAATCACTGTCCCCTACAGTGGCCTCTGTGTCCCACCGGGACGCACAGGCAGCATCCCACCTGGTTGGGCAGTGGGTGGGTAGGCCAAAGTGTCCGTACCTGCATCCCGGCTTGCCGGTCTTAGCACTTGATGACACGACATTTTATTTTGCTCACTAGTTCTTGTCTCTGGTCTCATCCGTGATACCTGAGCTCCTGGTCTGATGGTGAGATCCTCACAGGCAGGCACCATCTTGTATCTCTAATATTTGTGTGGTGGGCGTTTGCAGGGATGCCAGGTGCAGACAGGAGTCAGACGCAGTGCCTGCCCGCAAGTAGCTTGCACGTTGCTGGAGAAATGACAGGTAAGTGACTAGTGGCTGTGCAGTGGTTCCCATCTCACTCAGAAGAAAAGCCAAGGTCACGACCGGATCCTCCATGCTGGTCCATGGCTGTGGGCACACTCCTGCCTCGGGGCCTTTGTACTTGCCACTTCGTCTGCCCAGAACGCCCTCCCTGCAGCCAGATGTCTGCCTGGCTCTCTGCCCCTCCTTCGGGAGCTGCACGGTCCCCACTTTCCAGTGAGGTCTCCCTGACCACCTTATTTAAAACTGCAACCCAGGGCCCTCCCTGTAGGCCCTGTGCCCTGACTTGGACCTGTTTTTCTCCATGGCAATGACCACAGTTGGACTTAACCATGTAATTTCCCATTTATTTTGTCTCTCATCTGTCTTCTCAGTAAAGCTAAGCTCATTTTGTCCGTTTGTTCACTGCTGTGCCCCCAGCTTTGAGAGCAGTGTCCGGCATCTAGTAGACAGTCCACATATGTGTGTGTGTGTGTGTGTGCGCGCGCGTGTGTGTGTGTTTGTAGGAGTGTTCTCCTATACCTTTTTACGCACAAGGGTATTGTATAGCATTTTATGGTATCAATAAACAAGAATATCATCTAATTAGCACCTCAAAGTTCCCCTGATCACACATTCGTAATTGAGGTTTGTGTGCCCCTAGCTGCGTGGGGGCCGCAGCCAAGCGGCGATTTCACCTCCAAGCCTCCGTGGAGGGTCTCTGCGCCCCTGGGGTGCTGTGTGCACAGTGGAATGTTAATGCGGCCAGTGCTCTGGGCCACTCCTCCATGCACACAAAACAGAGCTCAGACGAGGTAATAAAAAGCAAACCTAATTTGATTTTTCAAAATTAGTGCGCCCAGAGGACCTTTTTAAAAAGAAGCCGGCATGGGGTCAGCCGAGAGACAGCCATAGTGTGGGAAGTAAACTCCCGAGGGAAACCCAATATCTAAACCACTGAGGCGTTCCTGGCTTCATTAAGTAAAGGATGGCAACTTTTTAATTGTGTCAGGAACTCAGCTTTCAAGGAGTTATTAATGGATGCTCTCTGCTGGTGACGATGACAATGAATGTTTTTTATGCGTTTCCAGTCCTCCCTTTTCTAAAAAGAAACCCGTCTCATCCCTTTTTGCTGTTTCATAATTCCTCTATGCCCCTTTTTAGTTCTTGAGATGCATTAAGTATGAACTGACTTCATTTGACATGCAATCAAATTCTCCAGGTCAACTCTGGTTCTTTCTTTCAGTGTTTTTATCTACGCTTGAGTGACGTAGGGCTTAAAGGAAGAGTGAATTTCGGCGTTTGGTGATGGTCTTGGCACCCTGCAAACCATTCTGGGAGCTGAGGTATATGGTGCTGAGTGTCAGGGTATCTGTTGAGTTGGCGAGCTGCCCACCAGCCTGCTCCCCATTTCTGGGGTCTCAAACAGTGGGTGCTCAGTCATCACTTGCTGAATTGTGGGTGAAGGAAAACACCTTCTAAGGCCAAGTCAGAGCGCAGGACGCAGACCTCGGCGCGTCTCTGTCCGGCTGCCACAGAGCTCACCGTCCAGGCAGGAGAGAGCGATGTTCCCTGTGGACCTGTCCTGAGAGTGTGGGGAGAGAAAGGATGGCAGGGGCCTGAGGGGCCAAGGGGTCACCACGGCTGTGTGCCTGTTTACCAGGCCCTGCACATGTGTGATTTTGTGGGATCCTCCTAAGAACTGTGAGAAGCAGGTGCTATTGTCAGCCTCAATTTACAGATGGAAACCCGATGTGGAGTTTCTTTTCCACACCTTCACGTCATTCATTTATTTAACCAATACTTGTTGACGCCTATATGTGCCAGGCATGTGTGGTCCCCACGCTGGAGATAACAGCAAAGAGCAAAAGACCAAACCCTGAGTCTTCGCTCTTTCCTTCTGGCCTTATGTTCTTGCCTGGGGGTCGGGGAGACAGACACAAACCCAGAGACGATGAGGAATAACAAACAGCTCGACAGACATGGGTCTGTGAGGCTCAAAACCCCCTTTTTCATTAGCGACGGGGGCAGGTGATGGTTGGTGCTCCCTCTGTCTGTCCTTCTGCCCTTCCCTCCCTCTTTCCTGCCTCCTTCCCCCCTTTTATGCATCATCCACAAGCATCTATTTAGCATCTCTTTTGCAGGAGAACTGATGGAGAAGAGGCGGATGCGGGTGGGTCGGCGGCCCTCCTGCCTCCCGTCCATCCAGTGTGTTTGTTGAACAAATGTGCATTGAGCCTGGGCTCCCTGATATCCTCTGGGCCTGTGAGAGCCAGGTAGCGTTCATGAGCCTCATCAGTGCTCAGTAAACCTGTGTCCCTTCTTAGCCCTCGATTCTTCCTCTCAGAGCTGCACCTTGAGCTGAGTGGAGGGAGCAGAAGCCGTGGAGGCGAACAGGCCTGAGCTCCTGGTGGGCGGCTCAGCTGGACAAGAGCTTGGAGGCTGGCAGAGACCTGGTCTGTGCAGAGCTTGGTGGGGGGCCTCAGCCCTGTAGCAAAGGGCTCCAGCTGCAGAATCAAGCCCCATTCATTGCTTCCTGCTCCCTCTTCTCCTTCCTAAGAAGAAACTCACAGTGAAGTCAGAGCATTTCCAATGTTTGGGGCTGGGTTGTCCTGGGGGCAACGCCACTGAGGCTTCATGCTGGAGGCATCCCGGTTCCTGCTCGTGAGGGCTTCTGGCGGGGTGACACCACCCTTGCTGTCGGCTCCAGAGTCGTTCCTTACTCAGGCCGACATTCTGGCTCTTCTTTTTTTTTTTTTTTTTGAGACAGAGTCTGGCTCTTTTGCCCAGGCTGGAGTGCAGTGAGTGATCTCAGCTCACTGCAAGCTCCGCCTCCCGGGTTCGTGCCATTCTCCTGCCTCAGCCTCCCGAGTAGCTGGGACTGCAGGCGCCTGCCACCGCGCCCGGCTAATTTTTTGTATTTTTAGTAGAGATGGGGTTTCACCGTGTTAGCCAGGATGGTCTCGATCTGCTGACCTCGTGATCTGCCCGCCTCGGCCTCCCAAAGTGCTGGGATCACAGGCGTGAGCCACCACGCACGGCCCATTCTGGCTCTTGTCCCATTTCTACTTTAGTTTTTTTTTTTTTTTTTCTTGGAACACTATTTCTATGGAATACAATCCTGAGAAGGAGGGGTGCCCGGCCAGTGCTAAAAGTGGAGACATGGCGTGGCCCTCACCCATCCTCCCACATGGCGCTCAGCTCCCCTCTCCGTCGTCTGCTTCTTGCAGTGGCATAGCAGGTGGTGGACTAGGTTGGGGGATGCATTTATCAGGGAGAACGCTCATGGCTCTAAGGCCCCCCCAGCATCTCAGGGGCTTAGTGTGAGAGAAGCTGTTTTTGCTCATATGAATGGTCACAACTGGGGTTCAACTGGTGGCTTCCAAGGTGGTCCAATACCCTGGGCTCCGTCCACTCCCAGGTCTAGGGAGACCTTCTCGATGCCGCTTGGTGGAAGTGGAAGGGAGGGGTATGCAGAATCATTTGGAGGTGTCCCTGGGCTGGGCCCGGGCACGCCCATACTCTGCTGCCCAGAGCACAGTCCCCTCCCCGATCATCCCCCCAGATGCTGCCTCTGGCAACTCACTACATCCTCCAGTTCACTGGACAAACACTTATGGGTGCAAACACGGAGGGGTGAGGCTGGGGGCTATGCTGCTGAAACACAGTGAGGCAGAAGATCCTGTGTGCCTTGAGCAGGATGGCTGAGGAGTAGGACACATGTGGTGTCCCCCTGCCTGCAGTCACTCCCTTCCTCGACACACTCTTGGGCTTGCTGTGAGCTGGGGAGAGGCTAGTGGCAGGGTCCCGGTGCTCTGTTCCACCCTGTCCCCATCCCACGCTCCCTGAAAATGAGTATCCCCAGACAGCTGCATGTGGGCTTGGGAGCAGGTGCAGCGGTGGGCACTGGGGGCACAGACACCTAAGCCCGGGCTCCCCTCCAGAGCCCACAGTCGGCTGGCTGGCTCAGGGCACTGTGCTGGGGCAGTGGGCTCCGGGGTAGGCTTGTTGATGGTCCGAGGGTGGAGGGGGAGGGCGGCATCTGGAAGGAAGTCCAGAGTTCTGGCTTCTGGTGGGGGTGGGTGTGTAGCAGGATCAGGTCTGAAGGAGCCAGAACAGAGGAAGGGGATCAGAGAGGATGAGGGTGGCGGTGGCCCTGCTGTGTCTGAGGGTTTGCGGTGTGGCTGCTGCATTTTGTTCTGAGGATGGCTGTTGGAGCAGAGGGAGTTCAGAACAGAGGGGCTGGGTTGGGGGGTGTAAACTGTTGTCTAAGCGACACTCTAAGGAATATGGCTCTCAGGCCACTGAAGGGCGGTTCCCGTGGGGCTAGGCATGCCTGGGAATCGCCTTCAGTTCCCAAAGCTGGTCCTGGGGAAGGAGGGTGGGAAGTGCTCTGTGCTCTCCAGTTGCTGTCCAGAGGCTGGCAGGGGATCATTCCTGTGGACGGATCTCCATGCAGTGCACCGTGCAGAGTCGCCTGGAGGCTGGAGTGTGGCCCCGTCCCTGGAGGGGTGCAGGCACAAGTGGCAAGCAACACATGCTGCTTTTGGGGTCAGTGGGACGGCAGGCAGGCAGCGTTGTGGGCGACCCCCTAAAATGGGGCTGGAGGGCTGGACTGGGTGACATTTCCATGCAGAGCACCTAGAATTAGTTATTTGACAAAGAAGGGTCTCCCCTGCCGTGTGTCCCGGAGCTGATTCGGTGCCTGGGAGAGTCTGCAAGTCCACAGTGTGCAGCTCCCCAGGTTTCTCCAGACATCCAGTTCTCAAGGGGTCCTGCTGTGATTGGGAGAAACCGAGGCTGGGGAGAGACTAAAAGCTTCTGTGCCTGGATTAGAAGCCTGTGCTGGACAACCCTGAAGGCGACGCCAGCCTCATCGGCCCTCACATTCTCTTCCCCTCCCCTCTCCCCAGGCGACGTTCAGAGCCAGATAAAGGCACTGCTGTGCCCGGGAGGGATCGTTCACGGGTCCTGGGAGGGGATTCTGGAAGATTCCATGCATGACTCTCCTCTCCTTCACTTCTGAGCCACCTGGAAGTTCCTTTCGTAAATGATTCTTCCAGAAAAGAAGAAAAGCAGCCCCTTGGATGTGTACAGAGTCCTGTCCCTTTTCCTACCATTGCTGTGGTCCATCCAGGCCAGGGTCCACAGGGGAGGCTGTCCCTCATTTTACAGATGGGGAAACAGAGGCTCAGAGAGGAGGAGCAAATGCCTGCCCTGGCCGCTTGGGGGTGGGGAAGGGCAGCAGAGCCAGGCTGGGGCAGGTCAGGGCTCCGCCGCCATGCCTGTCGAGCTTGGCAGCAATTCCTTCCTTTTGGATTGAGGTCATCATTTCTGGCATTTGCCATCAGAGGGAAGCGGCTGAGGGTGGGTGCTGACAACTGTTCTGTAAGCACTGAGGGAGAACAGGGCTTCAATGGGGTCCACAGGGGCAGACTGAGAAGCTGTGAGTGGTGTGTTTGTTCATGAGTGTGTGTGCCCATGAGTTTGTGCATGAGTGTGTGTGTGCATGGTGTGTGTATGAGTGTGCATGCACAGGCCTGGTGTGTGCATGAGTGTGTGTGCTTGGTGTGTGTATGAGTGAGTGTATGTGCATGGGTTTGTGTATATGTCTGTGCATGAGTGTGTGTGCATGAGTGTGCATGCATGGGGTGGTATGTGTACACAGTGTGTGTCTGAGTGTGTGTGCGCAGGCCTGTGTGTGTGCACAGAGTGGGAGGTAGGCTCCTGCCCACTGTCTTTTTCTAGAGGCCATCTTTGGCTCCCTATGGACCCTCTGTTTGTGCTGCTGGCATAGTCAGGATGCCTGGAACCCTGTTCCAAGTCAGAGGTGTTGGGAGCCTCCAGCTGCTTTCATCCCTCTCCCTCTCAGGGGCACTTTCTTGACTCCACCCCAGGCCGAGTCCCTGCGTGAAACTCCTTTAGGGATCAGTGTTTTCCACTCCAGGATGGAGGTCAGTGCCCGGTGGGGCCTCAAGGCAGTAGGAGCACCCCCACCACCGCCTCCAACCCCCTGCCCCTTCTGCTGCTCCAGCCTGGCTGGCTACCTTGGGCTTTGTTGAGCAGCTTCTCCTCTGGTCACCTTTCCAGGGGGCAGCTGGGGACTTTTCTGGCCTGTGTGTTTGGGGTGGGGGTAGATGGGCTCCGTATTTGGGGTGGACACCTGCTCTTCTTCCGATGCCAGGTTGACCCTTACATGAAACCCATCCCCTTCCTGGGTTTCTAGAGCGGTGTCAGACTGGCCTGTTACACTGAGCACTGGTGGGTTTGGTAACTTGAATGAAGGGCGTGACCAGTTGGAGTTGATATTGCAGACATGCCAGCAACCTCAGGGCAGTTCCTAAAGGTGCCCACTGGCCACCCACAGCTCCTTGCCCACCCCACACATCTCTTCTTCACTCCCCCTCTTCCCACCAGCACCCTGTCCTCTCTCTCCAGCACCCTGTCCTCTCTCTCCAGCACCCTGTCGTCTCGCTCCAGCACCCTGTCCTCTCTCTCTAGCACCCTGTCTTCTCTCTCCAGCACCCTGTCTGTCCTCTTTCTGCTCTTCCTTGTGCCTCCCCAGGATAAAGCCACAGACCCTGCCCGTGCACAGCAGCAGCAGCAGAGACACACCTCTGGTGTGGCACCCTCCATGCCAAGACCTCCTGCTCTCTGGCCCTCTCCTACTGAGAAGAGTTCTGGGGCCCATGGTTCTGGTATTTTGGAGCTTTTCAGAGCCCTGGGCAGAATTCTCTCTCCTCTGCAACTTCCCATCCTGCCCTGCACACTGGACCGTGGTGCCTGGGTCTAGCACCAGGCGGGCTGGGAGCCCCTTGGTTGTCAGGGTTGTCAGCACTTGGAAAGGTCTAAATCACCGGGCGCACGCTGGCACTTCTGTGGCACCTCCCGTGCTGCAGGTGTTTTCTCTCCTGTGTGCAAGTGTGGAAGCTCCAGAGAGGTTAAGTGATTGGCCCTCGGTCGCCCAGTGAATCGGAGATGCCACTGGTGATGGAGCTCAGGCTTCCTGACTTCTGGTCTCGTTTCCTAGCAACGCAGGACTCAGGGACCCAGAGCTCTTTTTATGTACCTGTAAACCACACGGGAGCCTCAGCCCGTCTGGCAGCCAAATCTATCTTTAGCAAGTGTGAGAACGCTGAGGCCTTTCCCTTGAGGCAGGTCCCGATCAAAAGCTAGTTTGGACTTGAGCAGAGGGGCCTGGTTGACACCGGGCGACACAGACGATGGGCTCTTTGTCGGAAGCATTTGAAATGGAGGAGTGAGAACCTGCCCTCCACACAGGCATGTGGCTTTGGCTTGCTGCTGAAGATTTTTGAGGTATTTTCAGCTTTTTTAGTGCCTCTGAAATGGAGCTGCCAAGCAGTGGGAATGGAATTCGGTTTGAGGAGTGGTTACCATACACCTTCTTTCCTCGAGGCTCTGGGCTACCTGCTGGGGTCAAGCGTGGGCGGGGACGAGAGTTGGCCCAGCTGTGCCCTTGTGTAGCTGTGTCCAGGCTGGGGAGAGGGCCTGAGGCCCGCGTAACCCACCGGGAGAGGAGATACCCAGTGAGTGCTGTGGTCGCCAGGCCTTGGTAGGTGGCAGCTGGATGTTCTGCGAGCTTATGCCCTCTCCGGAGCAGCTCTGCAAGCCAGGGGTGTCACCCGCAGTAGGCAGGGCTCAGAATGGGGGTTCAAGGAGCAGGCGCTGGGAAATGGGGGGATTCAAACTCAAAGGCTATGAGTTTTCCATTCTGAAAGGCTTCTTAGAGAAGGGTAAGGAATGGGTGGATTTGGGGAATTTGGAACTGGGGAGAAAGAGCTCCCAGGAACAGGAGCAGCAGGGAAGACCCTGGGGGATGGAGAGCCAGCAGTCATGCTTGTGCGTGGAGAGCTGACGGCTCTGGAGTCCTGCCCTGGCTGGGCCTCCGCTGGGCAGCATAACTGTGTCATCACATTTAATCTCCTCCACAACTCATGGAGGTAGACACTATCATCACCCCCATTTTAGAAATGAGGAAACTCAGTCACAGAGAAGTTAAGACAGTTGTCCAAGGTTACACAGCCTTGAATGCGGGGAGTGACACCAGCAGGGCCAGAGGTGTGTGTTCCTCAGAGCAGCCTCCCTATCCACATTGACCGGCTTTAAAAATGGCATTTATTAAATACATTTTCATAATAATGAAGTACAACTTCGGTATACTTTGTGAATTGGCTTTTACAAAAGACCAACTCACGAAGTATACCGAAGTCATACTTGATTACAACTAAAAATGGTTTGTGAACCACCATACTAGTTGCCCCATGAGGCCCCCTCGGACAGGATCAAGTTCCACTTCCAGAAACGCTAAAACGCAGCCCGGAGATCTGCTCAGCCTGATGCACACACCCCAGGGCGGGGGCACAAGGCAGACGGGAGCTGGAGCTGAGTCTGCAGAGTCTTCCACGGTTCTGACCTTGGATTTGAGTTTGTCCCTGAAGATTCTAGGCTGCGAAGATAGAATTGTATCAGCAAATCTTGGCCAATCTGCAAAGAGAAAGATGTGAATGAAACTGCTCCCATGAGTCAGTAATGCAGGTCAGCGTATTTCAGAGCAAAGCACTCACCATCAGCTAGAACAACATACCAGCTTTCTGCAGGGTTTCAAAAGAACAGTTTTATTGAGGTATAATAGAGATATAATAAATCACGCAGATTCAAAGTGCACGATGTGCTGAATTTTGACGTGTGTTTATTTCTCTTGAAACTTTAGCCACAATAGGTAGGGGCCACATACATTACCCCTAAAAGTCTCCTCTTGCCCCTTGATTATCTCTGTCTTCCCTCCCTCCTTGGCCTCCTCCCAGACACCCACTGTCTCCTTCCCGCCACTATAGATCAGTTGGCCTTTCCTAGAATTTCGTCTCTGCAGTATCCTCCTCCTTGTCTGGCCTCCTCTACTCAGCATCGCTGTTTTCAGATTCAGACATGTTGTCACATCAGTCAATCAATTGTTCGTTCCCTTTTATTCCATCCTTTCTACAGACCACAATTTGCTTATCCATTTGCTTGTTGATGGCTGTCTGGGATGTTTCTAGGCTTTGGCTATAACAAATGAAGCTGCTGCCAACACTCCTATACGAGCTTTCGTGGAGACACCTGTCTTCATTTCTCTCGGGTAAATATCTGGGAGTGGAATGGCTGAATCATCTCCGGGATATGTTTAGGTTTTTCAAAGACTGCCAGACTTACCCTTTTATATCTCCACCAGCAATGAATGGGAGTCTCAATTCCTCTGTGTCCTCGTGAAGACTTTAGAGTCGTGTTTTTAGTTTTAGTCCCCCAGTAGGTGTGGAGTGGATCTCATTACGGTTTTGGTTTGCATTTCCGTGATGATGAATGATGTCGAGCTTCTTTATGGGGGCTTATTTCCCATCCATGTATATTCTTTGGTGAAATGTCTATTAGAATCCTTTGTCATTTTAAAAGAGTTTGCTTTTGTCATGGTTATAGTGTTTCGAGAATTTTGTATACATGCAGGATATGCGTCCTTTATCATGTATGTGATTTGCAAATATTTTCTCCCAGTTTGTGGCTTGTCTTTTTCATTCTTTTTTTAGTTTATTTTTATTTTTATTATTTTTATTTTGAGACGGAGCCTCACTCTGTTGCCAGGCTGGAGTGGAGTGGCACAATCTCAGCTCACTGCAATTGGCGCCTCCTGGGTTCAAGTGATTCTCCTACCTCAGCCTCCCAAGTAGCTGGGATTACAGGCACGCACCACCACAGCCAGCTAATGTTTTGTATTTTTAGTAGAGATGGAGTTTCACCATGTTGGCCAGGATGGTCTCTATATCTTGACCCTGTGATCCGCCCACCTTGGCCTCCCAAAGTGCTGGGATTATAGGCATGAGCCACCGCACCCAGCCGTCTTTTTCATTCTCTTAACGGTGGCTGCTGAAGAGCGTAAGTACTTCATTTGGTGAAGTATAATTTATCAGTGTTTTTGTCTGTGCATTGTGCATTTGGTGTTATAGCTAAGAAAGCTTCTCACACTCAAGCACCGATCAACCCTCAGCTGGACCCTGAGAAGCTCCCACTCCGGTCTATTGATCTTGTCCTGGCTCTGCACCCAAGCTGGGATGCCCCTCATGGGTTTTGCTCGGATCAGGGCACAATGACCCCTCTGATGCCTCTGCCCATTTCTCCCTTGGCCCCCTTTCTGTTCTGTTTCTCATCCTGGCTCCCCCTTCTCTAGTACCTACCTGTCTCTGGTGTTAGCAAGGCCTGGAGCTTCTTTCTGGGTCTCTCAGTTTCTAGCCTGGGTCAGCATCCTCTGCCCTCCCTCCTATGTCAAGCTTGCCCTCTGTTCTGTGCTGTGAGTGTGGACATTTGTGGAGCCAGGCTATGCAGAAAGGGCTCCTGTCCATTACCTTGGGGTTACCCTGCTGTGTGCCAGGTACGTTGCAGAGTGCCCGGGGACAAGACGGAGCAAATGTCACGCCCCTGCTTACAGAGGAGCTCTGGCTTCCACTGCAGTTCAGGAGGAGGTCCCCAGCCCTCTGAGCTGGCTGCTCTGCAGGTCAGGGGCCTTTTCTTTGCAACAAGTGTGATATTGGGTGTCATGGGACTTCTAGACCAGCAGAAGGGCCTGGTGGATCTCCAGGGCTCCCTGCAGAGCTGCAGCTGGCTGAGCAGCGACTGTCCTGATAGCTGGCTCCAGGGGACCTGCTGATCTTCCAAGGCCTCGGGAACAGCATGTGTAGCTGGGCAGAGGCCTGCGAGGACTGGGGGTCCTCTAGGACCCCTGAGAGTCAGCCTGTGTATATGGATTCCCTGCTGTGCTCATGGCCCAGACTGTGGGAGTACAACATGGTTAATTTCACCCAAGCAAATGAGCTACCTCAATGATGGATTCCATTTCCGATGCATTCATTGTGCACCAACGTGTAGGAAAGCAATGGGAATACAAATATGATGGATTTAGCTAAACGTGCGCTGTGGGCATGATCTGGTTTGGATGCTCATGCATCATTCATTCAGTTGTTAGAAAATCATGGAGTGCCTCCTGAGTGCTGGGCTCTGGGGACACACAGCAGGGAAGGCGCAGTCCTCCTCCTAAAGCCCTCACCGTCTGGGGGAAGACAGGCCCAGAAGAGGGGAATGCAAATGTCAGGCTGCTCTCTGGGTTGCGCAAGAGAAGAACGAGAGGGTAAAGGGAGGAGGAGCGGACATGCTGGGGTGGTCACTGGAGCGGAGGTCGGGGAGAGGGTGTTCCAGGCACGGGGAGGAAGGAGGGGCTGAGCCCGGGGACAGACAGAAAGACCTCTTTGGGCCATGCCAGGGATTGTGGAAGGGCCATAGATGAAACTGGCCTGGACAATGTCTCTTTTCCAGAAACTTGCCTGGCCTTGTCTGTTTTGGATGGCCGCACTGCCGGCTTCACTGCCTCTCGCCTCCCCTTGTCTCTGGTCTGACAGTAATGCTGTCCCGGAAGGATGTGTTCAGAGACGGGCTGGATGATGTCACCCCCCTGCTCAGAACCCTCCAGCAGCTCCCCTGTGCTGTGAGATCAAATCCCAGCCTCTGTGACTTGGTCCATCCTGTTTTCAGGGGCCCTATCTCTTCTGTTCCCTTAGCCTGGGAGGCCCTGTCCCATTGAGGGCAGGAGTGGTGGCATCTTCATCTGCTGCAGACCCCAGAGCCCACCATGCCACAGGTGCTCAGAGTACAGGAGTGACATTCGGGGACATGCCTGTGTGGCAGCTGGGATTTTGTCCAGGAAACTTCCAGAAACTTTCCCAGAGGCTGGAGCCCCCAGATCCCCAACCCGTGGTGCTTCCAGCAGCACATCTGCTTCTCTTTTTTGCCTGGAGTCGGGATCCTCCCTGCCTCTGTGCCGTGCGGTGAGGGGGTGCCAGCTGCCAAGCCAAGTGGGGTCGGAGGAGAGGCTGGGCAGGGGCCTTGCTCTCAAGCTCCACTCCTCAGTGGCACACGGAGAACGAGGCAGCGGGATGCGACATGCAGGGCTCCGCATTCACAGGGACTCTCCCCAGAGTTCCTAAGAAAATCATGGCCTTTTTTTTATTTTTTTTATTTTTTTTTATTTTTTGAGACGGAGTCTTGCTCAGTTGCCCAGGCTGGAGTGCAGTGGCGTGATCTTGACTCCCTGCAAGCGTCGTCTCCTGGGTTCACGCCATTCTCCTACCTCAGCCTCCCGAGTAGCTGGGACTACAGGCGCCCGCCACCACGCCCGGCTACATTTTTGTATTTTTAGTGGAGATGGGGTTTCACCGTGTTAGCCAGGATGTTCTCCATCTCCTGACCTTGTGATCCACCTGCCTCTGCCTCCCAAAGTGTTGGGATTACAGGCGTGAGCCACCGCACCCGGCCAATCATGGACTTTCTTAATACATCTGGATTAATTGATTAATTGTTAAGAAATGTGAAGTGGAGAGCAAGGAGGGACCAGGTCTTGTCACTTGGCTTTGCTGTGACCACGGGTGTGAAGACCCAGGGCATAGCCGGGCTCCCAGGAGCCTGCCCACTGTTCTGTTTTTTTTTTTTTTTTTTTTTTTTTTTTTATTGTTGTTGTTGTTTTTGTTGTTGTTTTTGAGATGGAGTTGCCCAGGTTGGAGTGCAGTGGTGCAATCTTGACTCACTGCAACCTCTGCCTCCAGGGTTCAAGCGATTCTCCTGCCTCAGCCTCCCAAGTAGCTGGAATTACAGGTGCTCGCCACCATGCCCAGTTAATTTTTTGTATTTTTAGTAGAGACAGGGTTTCATTATATTGGCCAGGCTGGTCTCGAACTCCTGACCTTAGGCCATCCACCGACCTCGGCCTCCCAAAGTGCTGGGATTACAGGCATGAGCCACTGCACCTGGCCTTGTCCGCTGTTCTTCTTGTAGCTCTCCCCTCCACTGTGGAGAGCCCTGAGCTTCGAGTGAGCCTCCCCAGGCTCCAAACCAGCCTCTGCAGCCCCTGGTTGGGTGATGATGGCCAGGTGGGCCTCCCTCTTTGTGAAATATCAAGTCTGACCATGATCGGCTGGTCACAAGGTTCCTGAGATCATGGTGTCAGTACTTGGTGTGTAGTAGGTGCTCAATACATGCTCATTCTCATTTCCATTCTTGCCACTCACATTCTTGGCTCTGGCCAATGGCCAGGCAGCATGGCCTGAATCAATCCAGGCAATGAACACTGACTGGCTGTCTGCTCTGGGGCAGGCCAGGGCTGGTGCGGTGGAGGAGAGGGACACCACTGGTCCTGGACCTGGAGTAGCCCAGGGTCTGGGGAGACACAGACCAGGAACGTGAGGACTTTGCTGTGGTGCGCCACCTCTCTCCCACCCTGTGATTTGCTCATGTCCTCTTTCCTCCCAGGAGGATCCTCCCTGCCCCTCCTATGGTGATTTTTGCAAGGACAGCCCAAATGTCACCTCTTCCATGAAGCCTTCCTTTCTCCCTGTGAGGACTCTCTCACCTCTGAAGGTCCTTGGCTGCTTCTGCCATCTGCTCTGGTTACTTATGTCCATAGCTTCTCTCCCCAGTGACTAGCTGTGGGCTCCATGTCTCTACCTCTTTGTCTTCCCCAGCAGTGTGGGGGAGTGGGGGAGGAAGAGGGGAGAAGCCTGGTACACATCACCCAACCTACCATTTCTGCCTCCATCTGTCACCATCCATTCATCCACCCATCCATCCTATCTTCCTTCCATCTACCCATCTATTTATCCATCCATCCATCCATTCATATATTCATCTATCCTTTCTATCCACCCATTCATCCATCCAACCATCCAGCTAGCTTTCCTTCCTTCCATCCATCTGTGCATCTGTCCATCCATCTATCCATCCATCCTTTTTTCCTTCTATCTACCATCCATTTATCTATTCATCCATCCATTCATCCATCCATCTATCCCTCCTATTCACCCATTCATCCATCCACCCATCCAGCTAGCTTTCCTTCCATCCATCCATCCATCCATCCATCCATCCATCCATCCATGCATCCATTCGTGCATCCATCCTTCCATTCATGTATCCATCCAAACAAACAAAAAAAATTTTTTTGGACATCTCTCATATCCCAGACACTGTGCTGTGTGTCTGGGATATAGGAAGAAACACAGAAAGGATTTCATTCCATGAACTTCCATTGACAATCTTCTATATGCCAGTTTAGCCTCAGCCCAAGCACAAAATGTTTGGGACAAGTAAGTGGATACAAACTAAGGACTCAGCATGGTACCCAGTATGTGCTCTGCAAGAGTTGGCTCTCATGTCGTCATTATTACTGGCATCACGACCCTGGACAAGTTATCTGACCTTCCCGTGCCTTTACACAGATTAAATGTGATAACGAATTTAAAGTGCTTGGCTTAGAAAATGTTAACTCTTATTATTAGCTATTAAGGATGACAAGGGTGAATTATGGAAGAGTGCTGAAATGTTCTGTTCATAGTAGAAATAAATGGGGACTGGAAGGCTGAGTTCTTGTACAGTTCGCAGCCATTCTGAATGTGTTACCAAAAGCACTAGCCCACACTCCCCCGTGGAGGAATCATAGCTGGCTAGAGGCATGTTGCCACCTCCTGAGGAAGAAGTGAGACCCCAGGGGCTGGTGACCACTCTCAAGCTCCTGAGTTTTTGAGTGAAGGGATTTGAGTCTCTTGTGGCTTCTGGTTTTGTTACCAGAACCATCTCCCCTGACAGCAGACAGACTTCCACAAGTTCTGAATGCAAGCGCCCGGGGTCAGAAGGTTGCATGGAGACCCTGTTACTCTCTCCAAGCAGCCATAGAGTCAGAGACTGTTGGGACACCAGAATAAAGCTTCAAGGTCCCCAGTGTCCAGAAGCGTCAATGTGTGCAGATCAAGAGCTTGCTCAGTCAACATTAATAAATGGCCATGGTGTGCCTGGTGTAGTGTTGAAGGATGGGAACCCTACAGTGACAAAGCTGCCGGTGACTATAGTGATCATACAGAGTGCTGGGGGCTATGGGAACCCAGATGAGGCACCTAGCCTGGGGGCATGGAGGGGGCTGTTAAACCAAGACCCAAAAGATGAATAAGGAGCTGACAGGGCCTGGGCCTATGTGTAAGGCTGGATGAGCCCTCAAGGGTACCTCTGCGTCAACGGAGGCATCCTCAGTGCAGACATGGGTCTTGTTCCATGCCTGGCACAGTGATTGGTGCGATGTTCCAGGCATGTCCAATCTGGGCCCCCTCTGGGCGGGCCTGCCACCGCCCTGTGCTTTTTGCTCCTGAGCCCAGGTGGCCACTTCTTCCTCCTCTATCACAGCCCCCGCCTCCCTCCAAGGAGCCCTTCCTCTTCCCCATGGGCCTGCGGCACCTCTGGCTCAGTCTGCCTTCCTGTCCCACTGGAGGAATCAATGTTTCTTCACCTCTGTTTTCCAGGGCTGAGGCTTAGGACTTGGGGGCCTAAGCCTCCCTTTGTCTTAAACCAGCTGTGAGGCAGTGACATGTGAATTTCACCCATATCACTTCCAGGCTCCCAGAAGTACCATCTGAAGGTGAGAAGGGGCTTCCGACAGTCACAGGCCACCTCCACCATTCAGCTGATTCTACAAATGTACAGAAACCCGAGAACCCGGTGAGGGCCACAGGAAGGCCCATTGAACGCTGAGCAGGCGCCCCTGCCCCCGGAATTTAAATGTTGAAGTCCGAACCCCTAGCACTTCAGAATGTGACAGAAACTTCCAGCAAACGTCTGGAGGCAGGAACCACGAGCACGTGTTCATACAACTGTCCAGCCTGTTTGATGTGAAGGACGCAGGGCAGACAGTCGCGTATCGTGCAAGGTGATACAGCAGCAGACATAACTGGAACCTCATTATTGAGTACCTACTATGTGCCACACTTTGGCGGCCATTTTGCATATATACTTGGTTTGGTCCTCTTGTGATCCTGTTGGTAGGTATCTGTACTTTACAGACAGGGAAACCAAGGCTCAGGGAGGTAAGTCCCTGAAGATTATCCAGCTAAGAGGTGGCAGAGCTAGGTGCTGCACCCTGGTCACCTGGTCCCGAGGTGCTAGTGCTCAAATGTGGTTCTAGCTGGGCAGGGCTGTTGGTGTGCCACTCCTTGCAAGGCGAATGCACCATACTGGATGCCAGATACTTGATAGGGAACCCCATCCTGCCCTCAGGGGCCCACAGACCTCACATTGCAAACCCTAGGGCCTGGTGTCATTTTATCCAGAGCACACACTGGGAGTCAGACACACCTGAGCAAACCTGGCTCTTCCACTTGCCTGTGCAACTCACTTTAACTCTTCGTGCCCAGTTTTGATGGTAAAATGTCTATCGCATCTATGCCTATGTTGGGAGAAAGATTAAACGAGCTAAGCCATTAGTTCAGTAACTGGTGCATGGCTAGTACTGTCTCAATCATCGCAGCTACTCAGCTGTTACCCACACAGCCCCTTATCCACAGCCTGACCATTCTTTTTTCCCTTCCAGGTTTATTGAGGTTGAATTTCCATACCAGAAAATGTGCCGTTTTAGGTGTACAGTACTATGAATTTTGACAAACTTATATAATCATATCAATACCATCACCATCAAGATATAGAATAATTTTATCACTCCCCAGAATCCCTTGCGTGCCTTAGTAGCCAGTCTTCTCCTGCCATCTTAATCTCTGACAACTACCGATCTGGTTTTGGTCTGTATAGTTTTGCCTTTTCCAGGACGCCAGGTAAGTGGAATCACATAGCATAGAGCCTTTTGGGTCTGGCATCTTCCACTTAGCATAATGCATTTGCAATTCATCCATGTTGTAGTGTGGGTCAGTAGTTTGTTCTTTTTTACTGAGGAGCAGTATTCCATTGTATGAATAAACCACAGTTTGTATTTTCATATTCAGCATTTAGGCTGTTTCCAGTTTTTGGTGATTATAAATGAGGTGTATTTTTTTTTAACATGTCTTGTAATTTTTGGTTGATTGTTGGACATTGTGTATAGAAGAGCTATAAATAATATTATGCCTGGAAATGGGCCGGCTTCCTCTTTCATCAGGCTCTGAGTGTGGCAAGTTCAGTCCTTCTAATCATGAATCGAGCTGGGTTTGGCTTTTGTTGCCTAAGGAACAAATTGGACCCTCCGACTTGTCTCGTCTGACTTACATGGCATTTTCCATCACATAAAAGCATGAGGCTGGGCATGGTGGCTCACACCTGTAATCCTAGCACTTGGGGAGGCCAAGGTGGGAAAATTGCTTGAGACCAGGAGTTTGAGACCAGTCTGGACAACATAGTGAGATCCTATCTCTACATTAAAAAAAGACAAAAAACAAAAAACTTAGGCATAGTGGTGCATGCTTGTGGTCCTAGCTACTCTGGAGGCTGAGGCAGGAGGATCCCTTGAGTCCAGAAGATTGAGGCTGCAGTGAACTATGATCATGCCACTGTACTCCAGTCTGGGCAACAAAGTAAGACCCCACCTCTAAAAAAACAAAAAACACATGACATTTAACCTAAAATCTGGAATGGCTTCTTTAAAAATATAGAAGTTTTGCTGTCACTGGTGGTTCTGTGTTACACATGTTAGCAGTTGGCTTTTATGGACAAGTGGCTGCCCACCTTGGCCGGGGCCTGTACTCTGCTTTTCTGCAGGCTCCTCTAATCCTTAATGATTCCCCCCACCCTGCCTCTTTCTTTTATGTTATTTTCCTTGTTCTTACAGATGGTTGAGTTGGTGGTGTGGAGATCCTGAATGATATTCAGTGTACTCTTTTTTAAAAAGACAGGAAGGGCCAGGCATGGTGGCCCATGCCTGTAATCCCAGCACTTTGGGAGGCCGAGGAGGGTGTATCCCTTGAGACAAGGAGTTCAACACCAGCCTGGGCAAAATAGCAAGACTTTGTCTCTACAAAAAAAATGAAAATAAGATTTTAAAAAGATACGGAAATATATGCATCACTTAAAAATATATTTCTACCTCAATGGTTAGAATTAAACTGATAATCAAAAAAATCAAACGCTGGGGAACACTACTTTTCATAAAAGTAAGCTCAGAGAAAGGCTTGCTTTTCTAGATAGTGTGAATAGCATAGGTGATTGTGTGCCTTCTACCATCCAGAGATGTGGTTTTAATGATGGACAATGGATCCCCACAGAGGAGAAGGCATTGTACTGATGTCTAGAAAGGATGAACATAGAAGAGGCCAGGTTTTCTTACATCCACCTGGAGAGTGATATTACCTGCTGGGAAGATTCACATTTGACATTTTACTTTGAGGACACAGCTTTCTGAGTCTGTTGCCAGATGGCTGGTGTGACAGCTGATGTCTGCCAGACGGCTGCAGGTGGGGGTTTAGAAACACAAACACAGCCACACGTCTGGATGGAGGCTGTTTCCCAGTGGAAGGCAGGGCCCCGTGACTCTTTGATGAGGTTGGCCAGAGTCATTCTGTACACCTTGGAGGTGGGGCCCTTCCTGTCACTCTCAGTTGTCCATGGAAGGCTGGGGAAAGGTCAAGGGTGAGATGGAAAGCGTGATTGGAGAGCCAGGATGCTCCTACTCCTTTGTCATTCACACTCGCTCAGTTCATGCATTCACTTAAAGAAGGTGATGGGACCCACCCTCCCTTCCTCCATTCCTCCCTTCCTCCCTTCCCCTCCCCTCCCTCCCTCCCTTCCTTCTTTCCTCTTTCTCCTTTCTTTTTCCTTATATATATAAAATTTCAATAGCTTTTGGGGGTATAAGTGGTTTTTGGTTACATGGATGAATTGTATAGTGGGGAAGTCTGAGATTTTATCAGCACCCCTCACCTGAGCAGTGGACATTGTATCCAATATGTAATTTTTTATCCCTCAAGCCCGTCACTCCTGTCTCCCTCCTGAGTCTTTAATGTCCATGATACTCCTGTGCGTGCCTTTGCCTACCCATAGCTTAGCTCCCATTTATAAGTGAGAACATAGAGTATTTGGTTTTCTGTTCCTAAGTTACTTCACTTAGAATAATGGCCTCAGGCTCCATCCAAGTTGCTGCAAAATACACAATTTTATTCCTTTTTATGGCTGAGTAGTATTCCATGGTGTATGTATACCATATTTTCTTTATTCACTCATTGGTTGATGGGCACTTAGGGTGGTTAGAAAACCTTAAGACTCCACCAAAAGACTCCTAGATTTGATAAATGAATTCAGTGAAGTCTCAGGTTATAAAACCAGTGTCCACAAATCAGTAGCACTGCTCTACACCAACAATGCCCAGGCTGAGAATCAAATCAAGAACTCAATCCCGGGACTCTTTCTGGCACTGGGAAGACACCGGTGGATGAAAGAAGATGCCTGCTCTCATGCAGCTGACATCTCACAGGGGGGCGGACAGTACCAAAGGAGACAGGCCAGAGAACAAGAGAATTCTGAGTGGGCACAAGACCAGGTGGGCTCCAGGCCTAAAGAGGGCTGGGCTGGGTGAGGAGGGTGATGGGCATGTGCTTTTGGATGGCGTGGTTGAGCCCCCTGGGGGAAGAACATTGTGGGCAGGGGACAGCTGGGGCATATCTCTGAGGTGGGAATGTGCTTTGTGGATTCAAGTGCCCCGTGAGGGGGCATGGAATGAGCCAGGGCCTGAGGATAGTTCCCACCCTCTGGGGCCCTGAGGGCTGGAAAGGTGTTCGATTTTACTTTACCTGCAAGGGGCAGCCATGGGGGAGTTGGCGTGGCTTGGTGTGCATTTAGCCCGGGTGGCTGTATTGACCGTGTTCCTTCCATAGCAGCTGGGGCTGGTTGACTTGGTCCTAGTGAGGCTCCTCCAAGAAACAGGCTTTTTCCTCCTGAGCCATGAGGCTCGTAGAGGGCCTCTGCCATCAGACAGGTGGGGTTTATAGCAGGCTGTCCGACGGTGTGCTCATTAGACCAGATGCTGCTTGACCAGAGGGGGCCGGGATGTGGGCCAAGCCCCACCCCCACATGGCCAGGGCCTGGAGACCCAGTGCTTGTCCTAGGGGCAGGGATGAAGTGGGTGCCCAGGCCTGAGAGTGGGAGCAGAGGGGGCGGTGAGGATGAAGGAGGAGCCTCGTGGTGGCCATGCCCCCTCTGTCCTGGGCCCTGGCATGCAGCTGCTGTCTCTGGACACAATGTGCTCCCTCTATCTGCCTCCTGGCCCAGCCCAGCTGCACTTGCTGAGCCTGCTCTCACTTTCCCGGGGCCTCATGCACTGGGGCCTAAGGTGTACCGCGTCCCGCTGCACGGGAAGGCCAGAGTTGGCCTCATCTCCGCTCTACCAGGGGCCTGGCAGGGCTGGCAAAGTAGATGGTGCCCAGGGGGTTCACTGGGTGAATACTGTTGATTGACTCACACAGAACAGAAGTCGGAAATGCAGGAGGAGGGGCGCAGACACCCTGAGAGGCCGGGACAGCCCAACCCCCTTGTCCAGCCGCTCAAGAGTCTCAGCCCCTAAGCCGTCCCTGGGCTGCACACACTCCGTGGACTACAAGCTTGGCAAAGAGATTTCCTTCTCGGGAGAGTTTGTGCTTTGGATTCAAATGGGGGAGGACCTATTCTGACTTTCAAATGAGGTGCTGAGAGGAGGGGCTGAAATTCCAGTGCCCTCTGCAGAGATGATTGGGGCCTCAAGAGCACTGACCAGCTGCGGCTCCTCAGCCCCTGCCTGCCTAGAGCCTGCCTCCCCACCCCCATCCAGACTGTTTCAGTTTCTGCTGAAATCTACTAGGGCCTTGAGGACGGCCCTGCCCGTTTTTTATCTTTTTCTGTATTCCAGTAGCTCTAGTTCCCAGTTCTGCCCTCAATGGGTGTTATCACACATAGGAAATGCCTTTATGAACTGTGCATTATTACATAAGTATCACTCAGCAATGGGGTCAAATATTATTTATGTATTAATAACCGCCAGTTTTGCAAATGGCCTTAGGTAGCTTACTTGTGTACTTACACTTCACTAAGATAACAAATAGTTGAGGGAATTAGCACAAAGAGCACATAATGATAGCAAAAGAACAAAACTGAATGTAAGATGAGGAGCATCCTAGCAGCCAAAGTGAAAAGGAGAACTGGATTGGTTACAGTAGTCCTGCGACCCAGAGATAAAGCAAGTTGGTTTCCCAGGAGAATCATGGCTTTCTGTGGATGCTGGGATCGAGTGAAATACAGCCCACGGGCCTCCTTAGTGGCTGGTGTAAAACTGCACAGTAATGCCCTGCTGGCCTAAGGAACCAAGAGGTAGACCTTGATCCTGAGGAGACCACGTTCAGACTCCCACACCCATGGCTCTGAGGGGGGTCAGAGCACCAGGAGGGCTGGGAGGATGTGGGGAGGCTCCTAGGAGGTAGCACCTGTGCCCTTGCCTACTCAGTCTGTGGGGGTTGAGGGCTGGGTTCCCACTCAGGAATCCCTTCAGTCACAGGCAGGCCCACTGCCACGTGGCTAGGGGTAGAGGGTGGCGTTCAGAGTCAGCCCCATCTTTCCCTGTCCCTCCTGGGGTCAGGTCCTGGTTTGCCACTATCACTCTACCCTGGATTCTCCCCATTTCCCAGTTTCCCCTCCACCCCCGAGAAATGGGAACAGAACCCCCATCTCCCAGGAATCCTGGGAGGGAGAACTTATTCCAAGCCCCTGGAGAGCTGGGCACGTCATTCCAGCTTCAGTTATTTGAAGGACTGCACTCTTGACACTGGTATACACCACACATCTCATGGGAGGGGACGGGGACTAACATTTGCAGAGACCCCACTGTATACCACATGGGCTACCTGGGTCCTAGGATCTGAGGCCCACACCATCCTTACGCGATGGGTCTCTCACAGGGATCTCCTGTTTCCCAGCCAGGGTCTTGCAGGCTTGGGGAGGAGGGTGCCCAGATCCCACAACCAGCAGGTGGCGGGGCTGGGATTCAAACCCAGGCAGTCTGGCTCTAAAGCCTATTCCCTTTCCACTAAGCCAGGCTGCCTCGGCAGCCTCCCTGACGAGATGGCTTTGGGTTTTGCTCTGCTTGTTCTCCCACCTGGGTGTCTTGCAATGGTGGCCTATCACGTAGCTGGTGGTGAGGCAGGTGGCTGCAGGGAGCTGAGACAGGGCTGCAGTTGGAGGAGGAATTTGGAGTGCCAGAGCCTCTTGGGGTGGATGCACAGGACTCCTAAATGCTGCCCACCTGGAATCTAACAGGTGCCCCTGCAGCTCCAACTGGGCAACAGGCCGGGGAAGGGACCGTCTGCCGGCGTCACCATCTCCGCCCAGCCCAGCTGTCATGAGAGGATGTGGGAACTGCGCGGGGTTAGTCCTTGACAGGTGGGACTGTGATTCACCCCTGCCGTGCTCACTCTCCCGGCACACTTTAATTACAGTGAAAAGCAGGGGAGAGACTGGTCCTGTGGCTCCTGGGCTTGTCCTAGCTGGCTGCAGCCTGGGCCACCAGGCCAGGCGATGGGCTTTTTGCCAGGAGACCTCCTCCACCCTGCAAAAAACAAAACAAAACAAAAAACTCCACCTTGAGTCCCATGTGCTTTTAAAAGCAGACGGAAAGTGTGGGTGTGAGGTGGGGAAGCCAGGGGTGAAAAAGACACAAAACCCATCACGTGTAAGTGGAGGTGCAAGAGCTGTCATTTTCCTTTCAAACCGAGGGCGGTTTTGTCACTTCCCCAGTCGATGCTGCTGGTGGCAGCGTGGGGTGCTGGTTGAGCCCACAGAAGCTGGCGGCAGCTCCTGGATTTGACTCTGGCTCTGCTGAGCGCCCTGGCCTGGAAGGAGTCTCTCAACCTCTCCGTGAGATGGGAGGGCAGAAGGCAGTGGGGATGTGGGTGGCGCACAGGACCTTGGGCTGCAGACGAGGCTGTCATCCTGCTGCTGAGTGCACGCACCAAGCTCATCTGCATCATCTCCCCAGGTCCCCAGGCCCCCTTGGGTGGGGCGGGTGTTGGCCCCATCTGCAGATGAGGAGGTGCAGGGCACTGGGGAGTAGGTGGGGGGCTTTTCATCTTGGCTCTTTCCCTCTGGACAAAGGCACTTCAGGTGTGGCTCCAACACCTGCCAGCCAGGCAGCGCGCTTCACCTCCATGAGCCTCAGTGTCTGCGTCTGTTAAGTGGGGGTGATTGCTTTGAGGTTTAAATTAAATGTTGGCAAAAACCTACCTCCCGTGGTGCCCAGCACATCACAGACCCCTAGGAAATAATGAATGAATGAATGAATGAAGCAGGCAAGAAGGAACAGCTGGAAAAGCTAACTGGTTATCTTTATTCCTGAAAGGAGAAATTTGGGGAAAACTGTTGGTCTCACACAGCTGCAGGGCACTCGGGGCTTTCACTGGGCACCCTAAGGGCCTAAATGGGGCTGGGGGCAGCTCCGTGGAACTCAATGGTTTTAACTCTATGGATCTGGACTGTACTTTGCTGCGAGGTAATGAGTTCACTATACCTTGGGGACATGCACGGCGCTCTGGAAGGCCCCTTGGCAGGGCTTTTCCAGGCCTGGCCCTTCTCAGATGAGGGAATCAAGTGACTATGAAATTTCCCTGCAGCCTGAGCTCTGGGACCTTCCCTCCCCCCACGCCCACCCTCCGGTCTTCTTGCTCTTCAGGCACAGAGACACCCGTTACCATCCTCTAAGCATCTGTTGAGCACCAGACATAGGCAGTGATAACCCAGCGGGATCCATGCACTGGCGGGCGGGGCGGAGTTGGGGGGTTGGTACGCGGTACAGGGGGAGCCAAGAGAGTGGGAACCTCAATGTCCCTGAGTGGAGGGCGTGGGAGTGAGCAGGGAGGGCTTCTCATGGGAAGGGTCTTTGATGTTTTGATGTTCCAGTGGATTTCAGGGAATGGGGCAGCAGGGAAGGGTGTCAGGATGGAGAGATCAGCATTTACAGAGGCTCAGAGGCAGGTGGTGAGGGGCTGTGTTCTGGGAGCTTCTGGATAGGGGTTTGACCACATCACAAGATAAATAGTGGGGATGGGAGGCTCCAGGGGAGTTAGGATCACTGAGGGCCTAAGACAGAGGGTTCTGTCCTGCTGGCAGGAGGGTGTGGGGGTGCTCAGCAGGGGTGTCAGGATCTGGTTTACAGAGTCCTTGAGTCCACAGGTCATAGTGTGACCCTGGCATCGGGTGGCTGCTTGCTTCTGTCTCCTCGTCTGTAAAGTGGGTACAGCAGTGCCCCCCTCTTGGTTGTGAGACTGCAGTGGTGATGCCACACCCGGCCTGGTGCCCACAGCCCTGCCGCCCCAGCCGTGGATCTGCCTTCCCCTCCCCAAGCCTAAGCGTGAAGCATGGGGCTGCCGGCATGGGAACCTTGCCGAGGTCTGTTTTCTTAGGCAGACTCATCACCTGAACTGAACATTGGGGAATCTCTTCGTCCAGGTCAATTTGGAGCTGGTGCCAAGCACCCAAGGGGTGTGGAGGCTCAGCAGGGACCCCGGCCTGGTGCTGGGTACACACCACAGTGATGACAGCCTCGCCGCCAGGGCATGATGTCCTTTTCACCCTCTTGTCACCCTCCCAAGCCTGGGACAGCGGAGAGGCTGGAGGCGCTGTGACCCAGGCCCTGGTCAGGGGCCAGCCAAGCTTCCGCAGGCCCAGTGTCCGGGGCAGGAAGCGCTGCCGGCCGGAGGTGGGACAGGGCAGCTCCAGGGCTGGGGAGAGGCTGGCACAAGGCCAGCACGCCCTTGCTGCTGAACAGCCCCATTGATGGGCAGGCAGCGGGCAGTCAGGGTGCAGTGGCCTCTCCTGTTGTCCCCTGGTCACCCGTGGCTGAGGGCCTCCGGGCCTCCACCCCTGCCCACAGCTGCTTGGCAAGTCCTCCCAGGCTGTGTCACTGTGACCTGGATCCAGCTCTCCCCTGTCCCTGTTCTGATCTGCTTCACGGGGGGCTGGCAGGCCTGCAGAGTTAGGTGCTGGATGAGCCTCCTGCAGCTGCCGCCGCAACGTTCCACCGAGCTGGGGGCGTCAAACAACAGAAATGCATCCTCTTCCTGTTCTGGAGGCAGAGGTCTATAATCAAGGGAGTTATTGGGCCACTGGGCCTCCCAGGAGTCAGGAGGCTTTGGGGGAGGATCCTCCTCACCTGTCCCACCTCCGGTGGCTCCTGGCGAGGCTCTGTGCTCCTCGGCTTGCACCACATCCCTCCGTCTGGCTCTGTCTTCACGTGGCCCCTCCCTGTGTGTCTCTGTGTCCAGACCTCCGCTCCTCTCTTGTCTAAAGACACAGGGACGGGATTAGTATGAGCTCATCTTTATGTGGTTACATCTGCAAAGACCCCATTTCCAAGTAAGGTCACGTTTTGGGTCCTGGATAGATGGCAGCTGCCACCCTGCACTCAGCCTCCTGACCAGAGTCCCTGCTGGTCTCCCGGCTGCGTGGCTGCTTCTGCCCCAGCGTGTGTCCCTGTCCCAGAACTGTCCTGTGCTCATGCTTTCTGGGTCCCTCCAGGCCTTTGCCCCTGCAGTGTCTCCCGGGACGTCTCTTGTCTCTTGTGCAGACCCGTCAGACCCTTTGGTGTCCTTCGAGGCCCAGCCTCTCTGTGGCTTCCCCAAGAAGCCTCTTTTCCCTTCCTGAGTGCATGAGGGCTTGGCTTGTGTGACCGCCCCCCCCAACCCCGCCCCCGGCAACGTTGCTTTGGCTGCTCTGGGGCTGCTGACCGTGCTGTCCTGGCCAGGGCATTTGATGCCTGTTCTTGTCCCCCTCCAGACCAAGGGCTCCTGAGGTTGCGGACTCTACTATGACACGTCTCAGGAACTTCCTTCTCTTCCTCATCATCAGAGTTTGAGGACCTACTGTGTGCTGAGCCTCGTGCTAGGCTTTTTTTTTTTTTTTTTTTTTTTTTGAGACCAAGTCTTGCTCTATCACCCAGGCTGGAGTGAAGTGGCATGATCTCAGCTCACTTCAACCTCTGCCTCACAGGTTCAAGTTATTCTCCCACCTCAGCCTCCGGAGTAGCTGGGATTACAGGCACCCACCACCATGCCTGGCTAATTTTTTTTTTTTTTTTCATTTTTAGTAGAGATGGGGTTTTACCATGTTGGCCAGGCTGGTCTTGAACTCCTGGCTTCAAGTGATCCACCCACCTTGGCCTCCCAAAGTGCTGGGTTTACAGGCATGAGCCACCGCACCCGGCCCGTGCTAGGCTTCTGATAGATGTTTGTCACTGAATCCTCAGGGCTCTTCTAGGAGGCAGGAGCTGTGACCATTTCCATTTGCAGGAGAGTAAACGGAGGCACCTAGATGTTAAATCGCTTGGCCAGGGCTTCAAAGCTGGGACTGAGGCACAGATCTGCACAGGTTTGTTTTAGTGAGGGCTCCTTGAGGGCTGCCCAGGTACAAGCCCCAGGTAGCCAGAGTGGAGTTCGTTCATTCATCCATCCATTGATTCATGCGAGAAGCGTTTCTGGAGCACCTTCTCGTGCTCTGCCTCAGGTACCTAGCTGCCCACCGACAGCCCTGCCCTGGCCTCACGGACTTGGGTATGTCAGAGAAGCAAGACAGATGCTTCCCTGCTCCTCACAGCTGCAAGGGGCCTTGGAGACAAGTCCTGGTCTTGCCACTCACCCAGTCTGTGGCCCCGACCAGGGGCTACCCTCAGCACTTGCTGGCAGAGTTGCCTCAGCCAGCCCATCTCTACCGTCCCTTCCGGCCTGAGGATGAGCATCCATGTCCAGCAGCCCCACTTGCCGGCACCCTTGGCAGTTAGCTCAGGGGAGGGACTGGGCTCCTGAGTCCCAAGCACCCTCCGCAGACCGCTCTTGGCTGACAACGGCTGGTCAGGTGAGGTGTGTGGCCCCCCGAGGCCAGGCCCATGCGGAGCCCTCATGCAGGAAGGCCATGTGTGAAGGCCACACGGAGGCGACCGTGGCTCTGAATCCCTGCCAAGCCTGTGCCCCAGCCCTGGGAAAGAATCCACAGGCATTCTCCAAGTCCGGTGACTCAGAGCTCCCAAGCCGAGAGCACAGGGCCAGCTTCCTCCACTCAGTAGGGGCTCCGAATGGCCCACAGAGCCCTGGCTTACAGGCGGGCCCGGGGCCTGGGAGGGCATGGTGTCAGTCTGCCTACGTGGACCCAGCAGCATTCACACTTGGCAAGAGGACAGCCACCAGGGTCTGGGTATGTGGGAGCCAGGAGGAGCTTCAGGCAGAGCAAACGTCGTAAAAGAAGACTCTTCCCACCCATGGAGGACACCTCCCGGGCCAGCCACCCTGAGCCACGGTGGCAATGGTTAGTGTCTGCGCTGATAGTCATGTGTGCCGCTGAGGGGGTCCCCTGAGATGCTGGACGTGGCCCCTACCCTGAACACACAGCAGCTGCAGGTAGCTCAGTCTGGGGGAGAGGCCTCTTCATGGCAGGTTTCTTTGGTGAAGACCTTCAGCCCAGTTCTCCTGCCAAACACATTGCAGGAGAGAAACACGAAGAAGCATATGTAAGTTTCCCACCGCTGCTGTAACAAATGCCCGCAAACTTACTGGCTTGAGACAGCACAAATGTACAGACAGCCCCCAACTTACAATGGCTCAACTTAACATGTTTTGACTTCACAACAGTGTGAAAGTGACATCCATCCTGCAGAAACTGTACTTTGAATACCCATACAACCTTTCCAGGTCAGCCAGGCTCAGCCACGGTGTTTGGTGGTTAGGGGGAGTAAATGCATTTTTGACTCAGGATATTTGCAATTATGTTGCATTTATCTGGATGTGGCCCCATCTTGGGTCGAGGAGCACCTGTTTGGTCTTACACTTTGAGAGGTCAGAAGTCTGAGATGAGTCTTAAGGGACTAAGCTCAAGGTGTTGGCAGGTGCGGTTCCTTCTGGAGGCTCTAGGGGAAAATCTGGTCCCTTGCCTCCCCCAGCTTCTTAGGGGCCACCCGCATTCCAACCCCTTCCCTCACATCACTCCAGCCTCCCGCTTCCATTGCCGCCTGTCCTGGCTCCTGCTTGGTCGTCCAATCTCCCTCTTCCTCCTGCTCTACAGGGACACGTGTGATTGCATTAGGGCCATCTGGATAATCCAGGATAATCTCCCCATCCCGAGAGCCTTCACCTAATCACATCTGCAAAAGCCCTTTGACCACGTGAGGCGACGTTCCCAGGTTTAGGGAATTAGGACATGGACACCTTTTAGGGGCTGTGATTCAGCGTATCACAAAGAGCTTCTCGGCAAATTTCAGGTCAGGGCAGCTGTGCCCAAAGGTGCCTGCGCCCTCTCTGGAGGATGAGTCTGGTTGAGCTGCGATTCCTACCATCCACCCCCACGCACACCCCTGACGTCCAAGTCCAATGCTGCCTGACTGATGGGGAAAGAGCGAGTCTGTGTCACCCTGGGGCTTGTGGCTGGGGCGAGTCCTCAGCTCTCCTGGCTCCTTCTGCTTGGCATGGCACCTCTGGAATTTAGAAATGAAATGGACATTTAGAAACAACGGCTAGAATTTAGAAGTGAAAGTCAATGCCCGCTGTGCTCTGCAGTGCAACTTACATCCATGCTCACCTTGGAACTTCGCACCTGCCCTCAGAGGCAGGATGTCTACCTTTGCTCAGGTGATCAAGGAAACGGAGACTTCCAGGGAAGGAACATTCCTGAGGTCTCTCAGTGAACGCTTGGCAAGCTAGGGTGCCCCCTAGGCACACCCCCAACACCTCTCCCACCACGTGTGTTCCACAGACGTGGACTCGCGGCCGCCATGGACAGGACGCTGTCCTCAGTGCTGGCACATCTGTGAACAAGGCTCGCTGCCACAGCCTGCAGGCGCTCACCCTCCTGCGAGGGAGAGGAATGTGGGTGCTGAGGCTGGGGGTGAGAAGATCCAGGGTGAGGGCTCCAGGCAGAAGGAATGGCAGAAGCAGAGGCCTGAGGGAGTCTGCGCTTGGTGTGCTCCAGGGCCAGGGAGGGCTAGGGGCGGCGAGAGGCTGGGGGTGGGGACAGGGTGGAGGAACTGGTGAGGAGGAGGCTGTGTCACATGGTGGGGGGGCTTCACCCCCATAGAGGAGTCTGGGTTTCATTTTCCGTGGGCTGGAGACTGCTGTGGGGCTCGGCATGCACCTCACGTGACCTGGGCCTGGGCTGGGGCAGGTTCTTGGGGCTGGGGTGGTTGGGGTGCAGGTCTTCACTCCTGGCAGGGTGATCCTTGGCTGAGACAGCTTGGAGTCACCCTACAGCAAGGCAGAAGTGGGGGTGGGTGATCGACCCTTGCTGCAGGTATGGACCCCACACTGTGTGTTTTCATGAAGCTGGGAGTGACAGTACCCACGCGGGAAGGAGGTACGGACTGCGGTCCCCTAAGAGACCCTGGTAGAGCTGATGCCTCAGTTCAGCCACAGGTGGGAGGAAAGGGCTTTAGAGTCAGAGCAAGTGAGGGATTGAGAAACCCAGTGGGGTGTGGGAGGGAAGGGCCTGTCTTTAAGATCCTCTACAGCAGCAGGTCTGAGACTCCTGTCCACCCACGCCCCCGGGGATCTTGTTAAAATGCACATTCTGATTCAGTGGGTCGGGGTGAAGCAGGAAAGTCTGTTTCTAACGAGCCCCCAGGTGGCTGACGAAGCGGGTCTGCAGAGCGCCTTGGAAGGCAGGGGTCAGTGGCTTCAGTCCTTTACCTCCTGTGAGCCCTGGACCCCTGCTGGGAGGATGGCAGGCGCCCCAAGTGACAGGTGGGGACACTGAGGCTGCAAGAGCGAAAGGAGCTGTCTGAGATGTCGCAGGCATTCCTACAGGGTATGACTGGGGCTGGAGCCTGGGTCTGTATCCAGCGTCCGCCCTCTGCCAGGCCGTCCTGAGAGCTGAAGACTCCCAGCTAAGGCTCTTTCTGGGGGTGAGATTAGGGGTACAGCTTGTTAATGGAGGAGCATCCACAGGCCAGTCATGGCTCAGAGGAGAGGGAGAGAACGCATGTTTAGTGAGCACCAACTGTGTGCCTGGCATTTCCTTTGTCCTTGCTACAGGAGAGCATCCTTATCTTTGCTCCTTCAGTGCCAGGAGCTCAGGAAGGGCCTGCTGCCCTGATGTGGGGGGCTCTCAGCCAGGCCAAGGTGACCGAGAAGTGCCAGCTGGGTGTGGGATGGTTTGCCACATGCAGGCAATCCCGGGGGCCCTGTCCGCAGGCTCTGTCCACGTCTCAGCTCCTCTGAGGCTGCTCTCCAAGAACAGGACCACAGAGGCACCCGCAGCCTCCTGCAGACAGTGGGTGTTCTCCAGATAGGAATGTGGTGGCCCACAGCCAGCTCCCATGATACAACTGCCTCTGCTTCTGTCCAGGGGAGGATGGAGGAGTCACACTGAGCCTGGAGAAATCAGCTTCCCCCGACCCACTGTGACCCCCGACCCTGGCCTAGGCAACACTCTCCGGGCTGGGCATGTTGACGGCAGACTTCAGCCCCATGAAGCAAAGCATCTAGAAGCATATGAGGGGTGCTCACCCTGAAGGACTCAAAACTCACCCAATCCACTGGGCCACCTGTCTAGAGGCAGATGGGGAAGTCACACCCTGTGCAGGGCTGGAGCCTCCAAATCCAAACAAACCCGAGTGAGCACAAGCCCCTCTTGGCTCCCAGCGCTGCCTGTGGATGACATGACCTCAGCCTCTGATGGGGACATGGTGGCCTGGCCACTGGGGATGGGGCAGAGTGTGGGTGAGGCAGGAGGAGGGCAGGATGTGGACTCTGCCACCCCCAGGCTTACGTCCCAGCTCAGCCTTTTACCAGATGTGGCCTTGGACCAGTCTCTGTTTCCACATCAGCAAAACAGGGAGAGCCATATTTACCCAGCGGAGTTTTGAGGAGGGTTAGAATAGGTGTTCCACGTGGAAGGCACCTGGCACGGAACAGGCTCCTGGGGGCTGGTCTTTATTCACAGAGTGTGTAGCTTGTTGGCTGTGGTCGTCACAGCAGGAGAGCAAGTGGATGGGACAAGGCGGTGTGGCCGTGCAGGCAGGAAGGCAGCCTGCCCCACCTCTGCCTCTGACCCCACCCCACTAGGGCATCCCATTTCTGACTGGCTGAGTTTCGGAGGAGCAGCCAAGGCAGAACCCTGGTGCCCACACCTGCCTCTTGCGTTGGGTGTTGCTTCCTCTGCCCCGGGGCTGGAGTGACTTCCTAGCTGAGTCCCCCTCTCACTTTCTGCCTAGCTGGCTGATGGGACCCACTGCAGTTACCCATGAAGCTGCTGAAGGTGTTAAACGTGTTCCCGTGTGTGATGTTGGCCGGTGCGGCAGCCCAGATGGGACATCCTCTTCTGCTCTGTTGTGGGGGTGTTTTGGTGGGACGTGCTCCCTAAACTGCACAGGGCCCAGCCTGCAGGAGGGGCTCACTCGGGGGACTTTCTGGCCCAGCCTCTGAGTTTCAAGATCGGGAGACTGATGTCCAGAGAGGGGCCACTGGGTGCCCAGGGCCCTCGTCGTCCACCTCCCTGCCTCACCTGGGGACTGGCCAGGCCCCTGACTGCGTGTGCCATTGCTTCCCCCAGACCCTGACTTAGCCCAAGCCCAGGGGCCCAGGTCTCCCCACAGGTTCCAAGCCTGTTATTTTCATCTGAAAGTTATAAGAAGGCAGCTGTGGGTGAGATACATTTAACATGAAGTTGTATCTTGTGGTCAGTGCTTTCTGTCAAAACATTTTGCCTCGCTGAGCTGGGCTGGGGAAAGGGGCCAGGGAAGCCGCATTTCTCCAGCTGGAACTCACAGTGGGAGCTGGCTGTTGACTAAGAAGGCAGGAAGAAGGCAGGGCTGGCCTCTGATCCCGCTTCTCCCATCTCTGCCCCTTGGGCCTAGCCTCCATACTCAGCTGGGGACAGCGTCCCCTGCTGCCAGAGCCGACTGGGACCTTGTCCAGCCTCACAGCTTCCTGAGGCTCCGCGTCAACTCTGGGGTGACAACCAAGCTCCTCCCCACCTTAGTCCCCCGGCCCCTCACCCTCCTCTCAAGAGCCCACGAGGGCGGCACAAGTGAAACGTCCAGGGTGCAGAGTTTAAGAAGGTGCCCACACAGGCATGTTGGGTGCAGGGCTGGGCCTGGCAGTGAGGCTCTCCCCAAACTTTGCGCACCCCGGGTCCTGGCCCTGCTCTCAGCCCCTTCCCGCAGCAGCCACCTTGGACCTCCTCCTTCCCCAGCCTGCCTTCCTTCCCCATCACCTGGCACCTGGCGCTCCCCTACACTCCTCCCTGTCCCCCTGGTCAGTCCTCTCACCCGCCCCTCCTTCCCCAGATTCCACAGCCCCCCAGGGGCTGGTCCCCCCTCCCATTCCTCCCGTTCCTTGTTGTGTCTGCCAACCCCAGACAGTGAGCTCTGAGGGCCAGGCCTAGCACAGAACCTGACACCTGGGGGGTGCTCAGTGAGCATGCTTGAGGGGTGGCAGCTGAACTTTTGTTTGTGGGTAATTAGGAGCAGACAGTAGGGTCACCTGGACCTTGTCAGTTCCTGCAGCAACAGGGATTCAGAGGCGGGGAGTGTGCACATGCGCTGAGGACACAGGGGAGGTGGACACGGTCACTGCCTTCCTGTGGTCACCGACCAACCCAAGGCAGCCCATAATGATCAGGTGGGGAGGTTGCCACGGACAAAGTGCCTGGGCCCAGAGAGGGGAGACCTGTCCTCCTGGCCGGCTTCATGGAAGAGGTGACGTGTGAGCAGGCCCTGTAGGATGATAGGAGTTGGCCTGTGGAGCTGGCAGGGTGGGAGTTCTTGGTGAGAACAGCGAGTGTCAGTATCAGGCATCTTCTGGGAGCGGAGGGAAGTGCTCTGAGGCTGAGGATTAGGAGACGGGTGTGGAGGGAGGGAGGGAAATAAAGCTAAAGGGATGGACTGAGATGCAGTCGGCTGGGCCATGGGCTTTGAACCTGATCTCAGTAGCAGTGGGGAGCCATGGAGAGTTTTACACAGAGGGCATCTGTGTCCCTTCAGCTCCCATTCTGCAGCACCCGGCCCAGAGCTGGGAATCTGTGCCGTGGTCAGATCCAAATTTGTGTTAGAAATTCTGAGTATCCTCGTCCGGGGCACACGCCTAGTTTTCCTCTCTACGTTCAAGTTTTCACCTGTTCAATTCCAACCACAGGGCAAGAGATGTCTTGTTTTTCATTGTCTTTGTACAAGTCTCCCCTTAGTCTGGGAAATCAGAAAAAAGAGAAAGTGTTTCTGTTCTGGGCCCTCCCTGGGGAGTGAAGGGAATTTTATGGGGAGGGGAGATGCTTTGATAACCCAAACATTTTGCAGAGAACCCAAACATGGGAGAGGAATTCCTCCAGGCCCGACAGACCCCACACGTGCTGAGCGCTGCCTTCCCAGGACGCCTTTTCTTTCTCTCTGGGCGGGCCTCACCCTGCCCCGCCTCTTGCTCCGGCCCGAGGCCTCATCTGTCGGGGCACCCGAGGACGGCCAGTTCAGGAGGCAGCTGCAGTCTTGCTGGAGGCGGGCTGGGGTGGTTTTCCAGGGCTGTTCACTGGCAGCTCCCATCCCTCCACGCACACAGCCCCTTCAGGCTTTCTGAGCTCACCCACTGCTCTCAAGAATGGCATTTGGCCCATTTTACCTTCCAGGAGGTTGAAGCTCAAGGAGGTTGAAAGACTTGCTCGGGCTCCCGGCTGGGGGGTGTGGCGTGGCGACTGGAACAGGCCCAAGTGGCTTAGATCCTCTGCTGCAAGGAGGGATGCCTGGCATGGAGTGCGGGTGCGGGGGTGAGGCCTGGAGACCCAAGCTGGCTTGGCAGGGCCTACCGGTGACCTGAGCTGCCAGGGTTAGGGCACAGACCCAGCTCGTGTCTCAGCTCTGCCCCCTCCTGGCCGGGGCTTGGCATGCGCCTGAGTCTGTCCTTTGTGACTTGGGGGATGATGGTAAGGTGACTTCCTGTCACCATAAGCGCTGTGTGCAGGGGCTCACTTGCCCTCCTGGAGTGTCAGGTGACAATTGCCAGCTTCCGCGTCCCCATGTGTGCTGTGATTCGAGGGTGCTGGAAGGAAGGAGGGCACTGATAGCTGAGGCCCCGCTGCCCCTGCCCTGCGTCCTGGTCGATTGCTCGTGGTGGAGATGGCCCCTACTCTCCCTCACTGGGGTTTCAGGGAGCCGTCTGCTCTGCTGAAGGGAGGAGAAGCATCCAGCGGGCAGCTTGGGGATGCTGCTGGCTTCTGGGTGGCGGTGTCTCCCAGTGGAGAGCTCTGAGACTGCGACTGCTGTCCTCCTTCCCAGAGACCCCCAACTCCCCGGAGGCCCTTGGCCCCGGCTGAGATCAATGCGAACAGATGGATGAAGGACTCTTGTCTCCAAGGATGGGGTTTCTAGGGTCCCAGGACCTCCTGTTCGCATCTTGGTGGAAGCGCCAGTAGCACCTTGGGTGAGCCGTGCCCAGAACAGATGGATGAAGGACTCTTGTCTCCAAAGATGGGGTTTCTAGGGTCCCAGGACCTCCTGTTCGCATCTTGGTGGAAGCGCCAGTAGCACCTTGGGTGAGCCGTGCCCAGAACAGATGGATGAAGGACTCTTGTCTCCAAGGATGGGGTTTCTAGGGTCCCAGGACCTCCTGTTCGCATCTTGGTGGAAGCGCCAGTAGCACCTTGGGTGAGCCGTGCCCAGACGCAATCCCTGAGCAGCTTGGGTGGCAGGCTCCAGAGGCTATTGGAGTTGGCACTTTGGGCTCGGGGCCCAGTTGGCAGAGGCTGTGTCCCCACGGAGCTGGGAACAGAAGGCCCTGGGTCTGAGTCCAGGTTCCGTGAGATCCTGGACTTGTCCCTGAGCCGCCCTGAGCCCCAAGTTCTCATCTGAGAGTGGGAGCCATGACTCTCCTTTCAGCGCGGTGGTGAGGATTGATTGAGCTGACTTACGTCAGAGTGCTGGGAATCACACACAATCGTGGCTGAGAAGAGAGAGGCTGGCTTTTTGTGCCGAGGTCCAGTTCTCCGTGTCAGAGTCCATGTCATGACCCACTCCCGTCTGGAGCCTCACCGAGGGCAGATGTTTAGTCTAGAATTGCAGAAGGTGGGGCTGGAAGGGATTTTAGAGTGAATCCATTCACTGATCCCTGCGTTCATTTACTCATGACGATTAGTCAAACACCTACTGTGTGCGGGGCCTTATGGGGAGACCTGACGGGGAGGGATGTGTCCCAGCCCACCTGCAACGTGCGGTCTGCTGGCCGAGAGAAGCACTCTGCAAATAATGGCATGGGTGGTTGTCAGGGGGCAGGAGTGGTCAGGCTTCATGCCGGGAGAAGGTGCCCGCACTGGATCAGGAGGCCTTCCTGAGCAGGCGACCTTCAGACTCATACTTGGTGGAAGTTCAGGCAGAGGTCGGGGAGAGTTCCAGGTAGCAGGGAGCGCAGGTGCACCGGCCCTGAGGGCAGCGGAGACCTGGCTTGTTGGAGGAGCTGGCAGGAGGTCAGGTGGCTGACAAGACAAGGCTGGTGGTAGTAGGCCATGTGGGCCTTGCAGCCACGGCCAGAGGGTTGGATGTTGAAGATGGTGGGAAGCCAGGGAGAGCTCTACACCCGCACGCTGGGGCAGCATTGCTCCCTGGCTGCAGAGTCTAATGGAAGACAAGGAATCCCAGCCGCCCTTAGCCAATGCGTGCAGTGAAGTTCTTACTCCCTACCAGGGTTTGTCTGGCCACCTGTGAGCCGGCCCTGTGCCTTCCACCTGCACCTTCCCCCTGCCACTCCCAGCTCCTGAGAGCTTCCAGAGCAAGCCTGCCACCCACACATGCTCCCACATGCTGCCCCCTTGCTGGAAACACCCAGCCCTGCCCTGCAAGCCCAGGGTTCCTCTGCGGACCTGCTGCCCTCTCTGTGGTCCCCACAGATGCCCTAACCCTACTGTTGCATCCCCATCACCTGGGCATTGCGTACCTGCTGGGTTTTGAGCTCTATAGTGACAGCATCAGGTCTGGCACCTAGAAGATGTTGGCTGGCTGGCTGGATGGATGTTGGATGGATGTTGGATGGATGGATGGATGGATGGATGTTGGTTGCATGGATGGATGTTGGTTGGATGGATGGATGGATGGATGTTGGATGTTGGATGGATGTTGGTTGGATGGATGGATGGATGGATGTCGGATGGAAGGATGGATGGATGGATGGATGGATGCATGGATGTCGGTTGGATGGAAGGATGGATGGATGGATGGATGGATGGATGTCGGTTGGATGGAAGGATGGCTGGCTGGATGGATGTCAGTTGGATGGATGGATGGATGGATGGATGTCGGTTGGATGGATGGATGGTTGGATGTCGGTTGGATGGAAGGATGGATGGATGGATGGATGGATGAATGGCCTGCCAGGCTGCCTACCCACCGCCGAACAGAGCCCATAGATGAAGAGGTCATCTGTCCCTGTCTCTCTGTATTGGTGGGCAAACTGAGGCCCAGAGGCACCCAGCAGGGCCAGCCAGGGTGGGGCTGGCTAAGGGGTTCTGGGACTCTTGATACAGTGCTCTTTCTGTTCAGTCTCCTGCCCTCTCCAGCTTTGCCCACACCCCTGTCCCCATCCCTCAGCTAGGGCATAAAATGTTAATGCTCTCATTTATTCTTTAAAAATTAATTTAAAAGTATTTTATGTGGTGCCTCCATCACAGTTGGAAACCATTTAATTAATCCCAAGTGGCAGGACACCAGACAGCTTCCATAATTGTTATAATTCCTCTGGCCCAGAGGCCTGTTTCAAAGCTGTTGCTCCTGGGCCTCCAAGGCTCTGTGGACGGCAGTACTGTGGAAGGCACGTGGTCGTGCTGGGGCCGTGAAGCCATACCCGCACCAGGGAGCTGTTGGTCTTTACAGTAAACCCCAGGATACCCAGCAACCCCCTGACACACTTCTGGCAGGGCAGAGCCTGCCAGGGGAACTGCACCTCTTGGCCAAGACGGGCTCTTCCATTCTGCCTGGAAATTCACACAGATGTGGTATCACCTGCCATTTCGCCGTGGCCTGGATGTGAACTGTGGCCCGTGAGGGTGGGGACAGGAGGGCTGCTTTCCTAATAGAGAAAACCAGCCCATGGAGCGCTGCCCTTTTTCTCACCCCTCCGTGTGCACAGCTACTCTTGGGTAGGAACCAAGGCTTTCTCTTTGAGAAATGGCCATCTGTGGGACAGGAGGCACCAGTATGAGTGACAAGACAGCTTGATCCAAGGATGTGCACAGGAAGGAGGACTCCTGACTGCAGTGCAACAGCTGGTGTAGGAAAGTTGTATGAGTCAGCCACAGCTGCGTAACAAAGTACCACGGGCAGTTCTGGAGGCCGGAAGCCTGAGATCGAGGTGCCTGCAAGGTTGGCTGGGTTCATCTGCAGCTGGGTGGGGGCAACTGTCCCAGGCTGCTCTGCAACTTCTGGGGGCTGCTGGCCATCCTTGGCGTGCATGGCCTGTAGATGCCCCACCCTGGTCTCTGCCTGCATCTTCACACGGTGTTCTCCCGGATAGCGTCTCTGTGGCCATTTTTGTCAGGACACCCAGTCATATTGGGCTCACCAAATGACCTCATTTTACCTTGATCCCTTCTGTAAAGGCCCTATCTCCAAATAAGGGCACATTCGTAGGTCCTGGGGGTTAGGACTTCAACATAGGAATTTTGGGGAGCACAGTTCAACCCATAAGAGGGAGAAAGCGAAGAACCAGCTCAGACGTGTTCATATTTGCAAATCCTGGGTTTGGGAAGTCCTGGGAGGAGTGTCTCCTAAAAGGGAGGGTCTCCAGGAAGATGTCAAGGGAGAAGGCCCCAACCCAGGCTCTGCCAAGCAGCAGCTGCCATGCATCAGGGCTGCTTTCCATGAGGACTTGCCACACTTTACAGACTAGGACCTTGAGGCGAGGAGAGGCTGGGGGCTTGTCCGGGGTCAGAGATGCTGATAATTAGGAGGCCACGTATGAAGGGCCTGTGGGGCACTGGCCCAGGTGCTGGGGCTGCCAGGCCGCATGTTCAGGACCCAGAAGGGCTCACAAGATGAGTGTCCTTACCTTCATTCTACACAGGTTGACAATGAGGCTGGGAGAAGTGGATTTGAAAGGCCCGAGGCCCCACAGTTAGTAAGAGGCTGAGCCAGCACCACAACCCAGGCCTGTACGACCCTCACACTCCGCTGACCATGGCCCTGCCCCATGTGATGGAGTGTGGCCATGCCATTGCACACAGTGGGGCAGGGAGACTGGGTAGGAGCTGGGACTGAGGGTGTCAGGATGTGAGATGTTTGCTGCTAAAACCAAGACAGTCCAGGCAGACAGGGATGGCTGGTCACCATAGCAGGGCAGAGCCTCTGCGTGTCCTGGCGTTTTGTGGAGGGCAGCCCGGATCCTGGCCAGCGCCTACCCTGGAAGGTGCCAGCTTCCTCTGGGAAAGGCGCCCCCCAGGTGGCTTCTGTGAATCAGCTCAGGCTGCGTGCCACAGTCTCCTCCAGGCCCGTCCCTCACTGCGGGGTCTGAAACAGCCTCTTTCTGAGGAAATGGCTTTGAATACTCCTCTGCACTCTTGCACGTGAGCACGCTTGCACACCTGTGGGTGGAAACTCCCTGAGCTCCAGCTGCAGGCCCCACTTGCAGCTAGAAGGCAAGACCGAGGAAAAGAGAAGCTGTCAGTCAAGGGGAAACATGGGGCCCCAGGGGGCATTTAGTGACGCCCCCTATTCCCATCCTGCGCTTGGGACCCATTGAGAAATAAGACGCACAAGCCAAACTTTAGAGATCAAAGGTCGGCTTTACTATTGGCAAGGGTGGCTCTAGGTCTGCAGCCAGGAGAAATTGCTCCTCCCTCATCCCTGAGCCCCATCATTGGCCAGGCTGGACAATTGCACCCATCCCTGCTGCATGGCCAGAGCAGCTGGAACAAACCCTGCCTGCAGGCCACAGCATGAGCAGCAAAGGAAGCGTGAGGAGTGAGCAGGAAGCATGCCACATCTCAGAAAGGAAAATACAGATGTGCATGGTGGGGAGGATGGTCTTGTTGACTGCAGCGTCTCAGTCCTTGGCTGTAGGTCTGGCCCGAGGTCTGCGTGCAGGAAATGTTGGCGGATGGAAGCATATCAGTGGTGTGGAGTAGACCCTGGGAGTATCTGTGGGGAGCTGGTGAACCTTCTGCTCACGCTGCTCTGTTCCAGCCCCTGGGCCTTTGCACATGCTGTTCTTTCTCTCTTGGGTGCCCTTCTGCCTTGGCCTGTTCAAGGCCCAGCTCTAAGCTCCTCCTCCAGAAAGCCTTCCTAGTCCTGCAAATGGAGCAATCCTCCCAGCCCTGAACCCTGCGGGGCTTTGTCCCTCTCCTCGTCTTGTGTTGGCTGTTTGTGGCCAGGTTTGGCCTTCCTGGCTGGATTCTGAGCTTTCTTTGCTCATTTTCTCTCTACTCTTCAGGCTGTAAGAGGCCTGGCAGCAGGAGGTGCCCATGCTGCCTGGATGAACAAGGGACCAGGAACTGTTTTCTGAAGTGTGAGGCCAGAGGGCTCTGTGATGACCCAGCCACCATTTCCTGAGGTTCCATGCAGGGCCAGGGACCACATGTGCATGACATCATTCAATCTCCCAGGCAGCTTTTCTTCTTTATTGACATGAAATTCACACAGCATACAATCGATCATTTTGAAGTGTGGCTTCAGTGGTATTCAGTGCATTCACAGTGTGTGCAGTCACCACCTCAGCCTGGTCTAAAGCATTTTCATCTCCCCAAAAGGAAACTCCAGACCCATTAGGCACTTCCCATTTCTCCTCCTTCTAGTCCCTGGCAGCCACCAAGCTGCTTTCTGTCTCTACGGGTTTGCCTGTTCTAGATATTTTATGTTGATAGAATCATATATGATGTGGTCTTTTGCTTCTGCCTTCCTTTACAAAGCACAATATTTTCAAGGTCCAGTCACGTCATACCATGTGTCAATACCCCATTCCTTTTTCATGGCTGAGTAATATTCCGTGGTGTGAATAGACCACATTTTGTGTATTCCTTCATTTGTTGATGAACAATTGTGTTGTCCATCTCGGGTATTTGGGAAAGGCCTCGCCCATTCAAGGACTGAGTGCCCACTGGGTGCCAGGCTATTCTAGTGCTGGGAACAAGGGGCTGCAGCTCCTAAGGGCCAGTGACAGTGATGTGGACATGGGTCTGCCTCCTCCCCTGAGCTACTCACTGTGTCCTGACACTGTCGGCGGAGGGCTGCCTCTGACGTTGCCCCGGGCCCTGTGCCTGGAAGAGCCTGTGCTGGGTTTGTTGCTGCTGCCGCCATCTTGCCCTTCTTAATCATTTCTGAATGATTCCATTCATTTCATTTGGCATTTAGCCTTGCAGATTCCACAGCCGGCCCTGGTGAATCCGAGGGGGAAGCATGCCCTCCTACCTTTCTTCTTTCTTTATTCAGGGCTGGAGGGGCCTCTGGGGGCTGTCTTGGGGGCCAAGATGTGTCCTTTCACCCTTGGAGGTGCGGCGTGAAAGGGAGGTGGAGGCGAACCTTGCAGGGACCTTGGGGCCCGGCCTGCTTGCACCCCCTAGCTAAACACAGGGAAGAAGCCCTGCAAAGCTTCCAGCAGCCCTCCCTTCAGGACTTCCGAGGCCAGGGTAATGGTGTGTCCCCTATAAAGTTTCATGTAAAATAATCTGCCTTAAAGAATGGCCTGAGAGGGGTAATTGGCCGCTGGCATGGGCGGTAATTATAACGGTTGTTAACCCGCAGAGCTGTGAGCAGGCAGATGGGACTAATTTGATCTCTTCCGTTGTAAATTTCAGTTGCCAAGGTGGAAGGAAGCAGTCATTACCTTGAAGGTGGTGATGCCTGCTTCCCTGGGTGCTGGCCAAGGTCTCTGTCCTGGCTGTGTGGCCTTCAGAGGTACATGGAACTGAGGGACATAGGGTGGCTGCAGACAGGCCTGGGAAAGGGAGGGTGGAAAAGGGGACAGAGCAACGTTGACGTAGTCCCCGACCCTGTGGGCCCCGAGTAGCTCGTGATCCTCTGCCTGTGTTCTTCCGGGCACGGCAACAGGAGCATTAGGAGGGCAGAGGTCCTGGTCCTCCTGTCTGCAACATTGGCAAACGTGCCAGTCGCCCTCAGACGTGAGGTGGGCTGGTTGGCAGCATGGGCCTCAGGGAGTCACAAGGGCCCATACCACATCGTTGCTGGGGCCTCCTGCATTTGGGTGTCATGCCAAAGTGAAGGCCTGGGACGTTGGAATCAGCTGGGTTTGGGTTCAGCTTCCTGCCTGACCACTCGCTCAGTGAGTGACACCGGGCAAAGCCGATGACATGTCTGAGCCTCAGCTTCTTCACATGTAAGGTCGGCGTCCCTGTCCCCACACTGGAACAGGGCAGGCTTGGTGCAGGTGACGTGCACAGCCCCGGGTTCAGCACGGGAAGGGCTTTGATGAGTGGATCTCCCCATCCTGGCACCTGCTCCCTCTGCACAGAGCCTTGACCTCCGTAAGTGCAGGCGGGAAGCTCAGCCACTGAGAGCTCAGGCTCTGGGGCAGATGCCTGGCTTCAGACCCAGTGCGGCTGTTTTCTACCTGGGTGACCCTGCCTGCCTCAGTTTCCCCATCTGGAAAATAGCCCTTAGGAGGTCAAGAGGAAGCACTGTGGCAGATGGGGCCGCCACTAGCACCCACCTAGTGTTGAGTGGGTTGGTACACGGCGTAGAATAAGTCCTCAAGATGGGGGCAGCTCTCCACACCCAAAGCACCTGACTTCCTTCTAGCTCTGCTCCACGAGGAAGGTTGACAGGCCCTGTTGGAGGGGAGCCCAAGGCTTCCAGTTTCTGTGAGTGGCCCGAGGCCCTGCAGCTGGGAGGTGGCAGTGCCGGGGGTGCTTCCTGTGCTCCCCTGTAAGGCGTGGCCATGATGTGTGGTTGGGAGGATTAGTTGGCTTCTAGGCCCTGGTACAGATCCAAGTTGCCCCAAGATGTTCTTTCTCCTTGGCCTGCAAGTGAATACTGACACGGGAGGTATGGGGTGGGTGCGGTGTGGACGTGGAACCTGACACCCTGCTCTGCCTACGCACCTAGAGGTGCACGTGTCTGCTGTCCTTTGACTTAACTAACTATCAGGCAGTGCCATTTGCCCCCGCCATGCCCCCAGTGCAGGGCCTGGGATGGAAGGTCTCAGTGGCTTCCTCATCTGCTGAGTCCCATGTCATGGAGCCTTCTTTGCAGATGCTGAGCAGTTGTCCAGATGAGGAGGGTCACAGGTCCCCAGGAGCCGGGGCTAGTTTATCCCATGGAGGCTTCCAGAAATGACAGGAAACCAGGCGCCCTGCCTAGCACTCAGGCCTTCACTGCTGGCTGGAAGGGAGATGGGTGGATGGAGGGCCGAGTCTATGTGCTGTTACCTTGCAGCCTCTGCTCTGCTCCTTCATCACCTGGGTCCACAGAACAGCCCTAGTGAGACCCACTGGAGGGCAATGTGCCCCCATCAGGGGCTGGGAATTCCAGAAGGGGAGTAGGGCAGTGGGGAGTTTCCTTGCATGGGAGAGGATAGGGCAGTTTGAGCAGAGAGTGGACACTGAGGTGAGGGGCAGAAACATGCCTGGGACCAGCCGAGTCCTCCCACACTGGGCCAGGAGGTGAAGAGGAAGCACCGTGCTGGACAGGAAGCCTGGTGAATGGGTTGGTTTTGGGGACTGAGGCCTAAATGGGAAAGCGAATAAACCCCATACTGCACCTCACCCCTGATTCCCCCGTGTACTGACTCACTGTTTATCCTTGAAAACAGCAGACTACACGGCTGGGAGTCTGCGTGAGGAGCACAGTGGATCGGAGGGGGAGTCTGGAAGCTTTTGGCTGTGCTGTGCAGCTCTGGGGGCCACCCAGACCCCAGTCTCATTCTCCAGGCCCCTCCAGTCTGCTTTTGACTCGCAGATGACCCCTGGGGAGCCTCGGCCTGTTGTCCCTCCTGCTGCTGGCTGGAAGGGTAGGCTGTTTGCCACAAGTTTCCTCCCAGGGACTTGGATGGATTAGAGGGGGAAGGATTTTACCTTGTGATGAAAATGTCACTCGTACTATGCTGGGCCCCAATTTTCAAAGCAAAACTTTGGAGCGGTAGAAGCTTGTTCCAGAGAGCAGAGGCTGTGCTGTTTACATCTTCTCAGTGTCTGCCATGAAATCTTAAAACTTCTTAATGTTGGGGCACAGGACAGACTGAGCAGTGCTGTACTCCTAAGACCAATATTAAGCATAGAAAGTGCACATTGGGTGTGACTTCAGGACAGCTGAAGGACCTTAACTTGTCTGTTTGTTTAGAATCCTTCATGCTGTTGTTGGAAGGGGCTGCAGGAGCTTTACAAATGGTTCCATCAGTTTACAAACGAGGTCATGGACCTCAGTGAGGGGCAGTAACTTGGGGGTCTCCTGGCTTCCTCTCCAGTGCTCTTCCAGGCTATTTTGCTGAAAATAGCTGAGTATGACTCCAGTAATGCTGCTGGCTAGCTGCATCACTCTAGACAAGTCCTAGGACCTCTCCATAGACAAGTCCTAGGACCTCTCCAAACCTCCGTTTCCCATCTGTGAGATGCAATGACCTTTAAAACCTTTGATCATAGTATCTCTTTTCTGCTTAAAATCTTCCAGTGATGGCTTAATGCTCTTGGGGTGGAATCCAAGCACATCAGCGAAGCTCAAAAGATCTTTGGTAACCCTTCTGCAGCAGACCCAGTCTTCCTTCCTGCCGCCCTCTCTCCCCAACTCCATGCTCCAGTTTCTGGAGTTCCTCTGTGTCCCCTGTCCTCTCTTTTCTCTGAGTTTTCCCTCCGGTGGGTACCTGCCCTTAGAACACTTTCTTCCTCATCTGCCATCTTGTCTCTGGCCAACTTCTTCTCTTCCTTCATGCTCAGTCTAGCCAAAAGGTCTACCATTTCTGTTGATTTTCTCAAAGAACCAACTCTTGGTTCCATTTATTTTTCTGTGTAGTTTTTCTGCCATCTGTTTCATTTATTTCTGCTCTGATCTTTGTTATTTCCTTTCTTCTACTTACTCCAGGCTTATTTTTCTTTTTCTAGCTTCTTGAGGTGGAGCTTAGATAATTGATGTTAGGGTTTTCTCCCTTTTTAATACCAGCGTTTAAAGCTATAAATTTCCCCCTTTGCACTGCTTTAGCTGCATTATGATATGTTGTGCTTCAGTTTTATTCAGTTTATTTTCTAATTTCCTTAGTGATTTCTTCTTTGAGCCATGGATTATTTGGAAATCTTTTGTTTATTTTTCAAATATTTGAGATTTTCCCAAATTTCTTTCTAATATTGATTTCCAATTTGGCTCCATTATGATCAGAGAACATACTTAGAATGATTCCAACCCTTTAATATTTACCGAGACTTGTTTTACAGCCTAGCATGTGATCTATCCAGGAGAATGTTTTATGTGCACTTGAAAATAATCTGTACTCAACTGTTATTGGGTGGAGTATTTTATAAATGTCAACTAGGTTAAGTCAGTTGATAATGTTGCTCAAGTCAAGAGCTACTGATCTTCCACCTACTTGCACTAATAATTATTGAGAGTAGGACACTGAAGTCTTCAACTGCAGATGTAGAATTGTCTTTTCCTTCTTTCAATTCTGTCAGTTTTGCTTCATGTACTTTAGGGCTATGTTGTTAGGTGCATATATATTTGTACTTGTTATATCTTCCTGAAGGATTGATCTTCCTTCTCTTTCTTCAGCCACACTTAAACCAATCTTCCCAGATGTCAGACAATGCTAGTTTCTTCTACCATGAGTTCCCAGGGTGTCTTAATGTCCATCATAACATTCATCAAACTGTACTATAATTGCTTGAAAATTTCATGAGATCAGGGAGCATGTCAAGCCTATTTAGCTCTTTATGGTCAGCACTTAACACAAAGACTATACATACATAGTAGTAGGTGCTCTGTAAATATTTGCTGATTGAATGAAGAATAAGGTCATATCTATGAATTATATTAATAATGATTATTTAAAAAATTTAGTGCTTGAGGATGGCTATGACCCAGCCCACTTAGGTATCATATCAGGATTTCTGAACATAATTGAGTTGGGACAATGCCTTTGCCCAAGGGAAGCTGTCAGGCAGCTCCTTCAAGCCTTTGTGTTTGGGACCACACGGGGTCACCTGTCTCAGGTGGGGCACCTGTGCCAGTCCTACTTTCTCTTTGGATTGGATCTGGCATTGGCTCATATGTTGTTATTGTCCACCTGTTTCTCTGCAAGCATTCTCCTTGGCAACCCTGAATCCATTTACGATAGAATTCCCATGGGCCACGCCTCGTGCCGGATGTCAAGGACATATCAGTGAATAAGAATAAAAAGCACCTATTGTGTGCCAGGCATTCTGCTGGGCCCTCTATATGCCTGTTTCAGCCTCGTGATGACCCAGTGAGGCATAGGGACTCCCATAGCTCCTTGCAGACAAAGAACTTGAGTGAGGCCCAGGGAGGTTAAGCAGTTTGTTCAAGATCACACAGCACTTACGTGGTAGAGCTGAAAAACTCACCTGAGTGGTTCCAAATCCCACGCCTATCTCCACTCCTCCCTTCTCCCCAGAGAGGTGAGGCATGCCATTCTGATCCTGTGGATTTGTGTGGACACTTTCCTCTGATATTAAACCACCATGTGTTTAAACCACAGTATCTCAAAGGAAAGGGGAAATTTTCTGTAGTTAGTACATTTTAAGGCAAATTAACCTTGATAACATCTTTAATGTCATGTATTAGACTATTTTCCCTTAGTAATGCATTACAACTGTCAGGCCCGATATGATCGCACAATTAATGAGATTACACATGATGTAAATTTCAATTCATTATTACAATGTCTGCACTAATAGACTTGCGATTAATACCCACAAACCATGCTAGTTCAAAAGGACAACTTTTCGTGAATCACATGAAATGAACAGGCACAGGCAACCACAATTTTGATGAACGGAAGTGAGAATGATTTCTGAGGATGATCTTGTCTAATGATTTACTAAGATTAGCAATAAAGATAGAGTTAATTAAGAGAGTCCCTCGTGTCAGGCCAAGGAGCCGGAGGAGCCGATGTGAGACAGGTCATCTTGTGAATTTCTCCCTGGGTCAGCCTTTTGGAATTCCTGGGGAAATTACTCACCATTAACTCTACGTCCTTCAGGCACTTCATTCTTCCAGCTTTCTCACAAGGATTATGAAATTAGAGTTCATTCAGAGAAAGCATATTGTGCGAGGAAACTGTTCTGTGAACTTGAAGAATAATAAAAACAACTCTGATTTCTTGAGGGCTTATGCTGTGTCGGACACCGCTCTTAGAGGCTCTTTCTTGTGGCATGCATTTGTTCACCTGCTTCCCCACAATGGCCCCACTACTGTCATCAGCCTCCACTTTATAGATGATGAAACTGAGGTTTGAGGATGCTAAGTGCCCTGGCGAAGACCATGTGGCTCATTAGGAACAAATTTCAATCTTGTGTTGTTGTTTTTTGTATTTTGAGATGGAGTTTCACTCTTGTTGCCCAGGCTGGAGTGCAGTGGCGCAATCTCGGCTCACTGCAACCTCTGCCTCCTGGGTTCAAGAGATTCTCCTGCCTCAGCCTCCAGAGTAGCTGGGTTTACAGGGGCGCACCACCATGTCTGGCTAATTTTTTGTATTTTTGGTAGAGATGGGGTTTCACCATGTTGGCCAGGCTGGTCTTGAACTCCTGACCTAAGGTGATCCACCCACGTCAGTCTCCCAAAGTGCAGGGATTACAGGCATGAGCCACTGCACCAGGCCGAATCTTGTGTTTTTAATGGCTGTGTTTTCTACTGTTTTGCTGTCGGAAAGCGACCCATCATGTGAGCGGCCTCACTTTGTTGGAAACACATTTGGAGCATGATAGCAGCATTCTCCTTCGTTATAGACAGAAAAGACAGAGACACCCCTTCCCCCCTCTGGCTTCCATACACTTATTTGACATTGATTGATGGCTACCAAGGGGGAATTCAACTTAATTGCACACCTACCTCTTATGCCAGTCACTGAGCTTGGTGCTTGCAGTATGTTAGCATACTTCATCATTGCGCAAGGTTTGGAGTGGGCGCTGTGTCTACGAGGAAGCTGGGGACCAGGGGCAGCATGGCTGGTGCTGGAACTCCAGTCTGTCTCATTGCAACACTCATGCCCTGTCCACCCCTGCCGTAGGGAGCAGAAGGCCCCTCTGCCCCAGTGATGATTCTGGACGGCTGCAGGTCAGTCCTGCAGGTGTCTCAGCATTCTCATTGTAAATATCTTGCTGAGTCAAGGTGTGGGGTCTTCTGCGGGCTGCCACTGGCCCCGTGCCGCTGGAGCACAGGGCCAGTGGGGTGGGTGTGGGCTGGGTGTCCTGCGCCAGGCTGCCTAGACTTTATCCCCAGGCCCTGGAGAGGCCCAGGAGGTCACCGGGTCATGGGGCAGGGGGCTGGGTGAGGTGGGGGCTGGGTGATGTGGTAGAAAGAGCAGTCAAGCAGGGTCAGGAGATGGGCTCCCCTGCCTACCGTGCTCTGGCATGTCCTTCGCCACCCAGTGAGGGCTTGGACAAAGTGAGCAGACCTCAAGCCAGATGGACGTGAGGCTCACCCAGTGGGTGGCTTTTGGGCCACACCAGTGCCCAGGTGCTGCGGAGGTCCAGGCCTGGCCTTTTGTTGGCATTCCTCACTGGGTTTCAGTGCATGGGCCGGAGAACTGTTGGACTGGACGCTCTGTTGTTTCTTTACAGCTCAGCTGTGAACTTCACTCTAACTGGACATAACGCCCCTAGAGCTGCATCTCCAAACAAGGGATGAAACAACTCTCCCAAGTGTTTGGTGTTCCGAGCAGACGCTGATCTGCTGTTCTCCTGTTTTTCCCACCACTGGACAATTTCAGTCCCCAGGAATCAGTTAGGATTCTGTTTTACCCCTGGCCCCAGTTGTCACCAAGAAATATCTGGGACATTCAAAAAAATAGCCATGAACGAAAAGTAGTGTCCAATGCTAGCCAAAGTCTGGCGAAAAGGGTATTTTCATGCATTTTTCTGCCAGTGTTGTAAATGGACACGACTCTTGTTTTAAAAAGCACAACCCACCCCATGGCTGCGGAACCCACTCTGTGCGAATTTCCCTGAAGGGAATCTGTCCTTCCAAACCAGGAAAGCACTCCCCACATGCAGGTGTTTGCAGCAATGTTATTTACAGCATCCACAATTAGGGGACAGTGTCAGCGTTCCAGAGTGGGGCTACAGTTCAGTTCAGTCAGGCCACCTCCCGTTATGAACCATGTTAAATCATCAGATATAATTTTGAAGACCAGTGTGGAACAGAACTTAGCAATACATAGACAGCTGGATCTAGGGAGGGCCTCGGGTGCCCTGCTTAGGAATTTTGACCTTTGATGTCCAAAATCCTGCTAGATGGGACACTCCCAAAGGGCAGCGTGGCTGGGCCTGCAGCTCCTGGCACCTAGCATGCTGATGGGGTGTGCTGGCTGCTGGGGGGACCCAGTGGATTGGCAGGCATGACCCTGAAGGCCAGGACTCCCGGCAGGCGGCAGGTCCAGGCAGTCAAGGTGGGAGATGTGCACCTGGGCAGTGACCAGGCCCGTGGGAGGCCTGAGATTTTCACCGATGCCACTTGGCAGTCCTTCTCTTGGGCTTTATTAATTAACATGCTGTTGGTCACACTGCTTTTTTCATTGCCTAGGAGTTCACTGCTATTGATTGCTGATGCCAGCTCCAGCCTCCTTGGAGAGTCTGGCTCACTTTGGAGCACACCAGGGCGGGTCCCCTTCATCTGTGTCCACTCTTCGTGGCTGCTTGGGACAGGGGCCCACCCAACTTCATCTTCTCTTCCCTGTGCTACTGTCTAGGGTTAGGGCAAGGGAAGGAATGCGCTCCCTGGGGCACACGTGGTCGGGGTGGGGCTGTCGAAAGCTGGTGTTTACAAACCAGGCTGCCCATATTGTCCCACTGTGCTCACGGATACCATGCTTGCTCCGCTCCACGGACCAGGCTGCAAGGGTGACCAACACACGCTACACGCCCCCCCACTTAGCCCCTCAGCCCCTTGCCCATTGGCTGGTGGAAGCCCCTGGCCCTCTGCTGCCTGAGTCACTGTCACCGCAGTGTAATTGTGAGCGCAGGGACTTCACATCTGCTGTTTACTGGCACATATTCATAAAGCGGCAGAACAGAGACCTGCTCACAACGGAACCTTGTCACAGCGGGTGTTATAGCTCCCTTTGTGTTCATCACGACCCCTGCCACAGCCTTTCTCCCTCCTCTCCCCATCCCCGTGGCTGGCACTTGCCTGTTCTCTGCTCTCCTTCCAGCTCTGCTCTGTCTGCCTGACAGGGTCTTCTCCACACTGTCTTCTTCTGTCTGTTCTCATCACATCCTTCTCTCCTTTCTTTCTGTCCTTGGCTTATCTCTGTCCATCTGTCTCTTGTTAAATGGCTTCTGGACAACAGTTCTCTGGGTCAGGCCCTTGCTGACTGAGTGAGCTTTTATAGGGACACCGAAGAGGGGACAGTTCATGCTCCTCTGAAAAATCAGAGGCCCTTGTCCCTCCTCCTATCCCTTCCTCTCCCTTCCTCTCCCTCTCTTCCATCCGTCCATCCATCCATCCATCCATCCATCCTTCTACCCATCCATCTTCCCATCTATTCCTCTCTCTCTCCCCAATCCATGCACTCATCCACCCACCCATTTATCATCCATCCATCTATCCATCACCCATCCATTCATCCATCATCTACCCATTCACCCATCTACCCCACCCATCAATCCATTCATCCCCCATCCATTCACCCACTTGTCCACCCAACTGTCTACTGTCCATCTACCTACTCAGCCACTCATCTATCCATTCAATCACCCATCTATTTGCCTACTCCCTCGCCTGTCCATCTATCATCCATCCACCACTTACCCATCCACCCCTTAATCCATTAATCCATTTATCTACCCGTCCACCCACCCAATACTTGCTCTGTATATGTGCTGGGATGCAGTGATGGACAAGTCAGGTGGGGTTAGTTGCTTCTTCTGGGCTCACAGAAGCCTCTGTGTATCCATCTTTCAGAATTTTCATCCCTCTAAATTGTGAAGTGTTCTCTGCAGCTCTGCCTCCCTCATGGGATTGTGAAAGCTTCCAGAGCTTGGGCTGTGTCTTCTTTATCTCTCAGTGCTAAGAACTGAGGTGCCTGGCGTATTGTAGGTTTCCAACACATTCAAGTTTGAATGAATGAGTGAATGAGGCAATGACCTAGTCCAGTCATTCAGTTTTACAATGAGGACATGAGCTCAGAGGTGTGTGGGCCAGTGCTACACGGTGGCTTTGGGCAGTGCTGGGACTCACCCCAATCTCCTGGATGCCATTTTGGAGCTTACCCCTGCATCTTGCTGTCTCTCAAATTGTGAGCTGGGGTTGGGTGTGTGTTGCAGGAGGTCTTTCTTGGGCTTAGTCCTGTTAGAGAAAGCCAGTGGGCTGAGCTCTTAGCAGATGTCTAGTGGGCTCTCGAGCTGGGAGTGGAAGGCAGCGTTGGGCACATCTGCTTGGGCTCCAGGCTCTGCGTCACATGCTCACTTAGTGAGCTCACTTGGCAGTGCATCCTCAGAGGACACCTCACAGCCTCACACCTGCTGCAGCTGGAACGGCAGGAAGGTGGGGAGTCTTTGAAGCTGTCAACAGGGAGGGAGAGGCTGCATGTCTTTATGGGCCAGGGACTGTGTGTTTCAGAAAGAAAACTTTGGTGAAGTCACGGCCTTTGTCATCCTGGGGTGCGTATAACTCTGACCCCCATGTAGGTGGCTGAATCTTATAACCACGGTTCCTTGGAACCTCCTAACACCCTGCACAAGGGCAGGGAGAAATCATGATGTACTCTCCTTTCCAGATTAGGAAACAGGCTCAGAGAGATGAGGGTTCTTGTTCAACCTGAGGTTGTGTCTGAGGCCCTGTCTCCCTGGTTCTAGAGGTCATCACCCAGCTCTGTGACACAGGGACTGTGCCTGGCAATGGTTCTCACTGGGAGGGGGTAGAGGAGGATGGAGTCAGCCACCAGAGGTGGGGACCAAAATCTAGGGGCCCAGAGAGTGAACTGCCAGCGAGGGCAGGGCCATCCCTGCAGAGGTGGTGTTGGAGGTGCCAGTAAGCACTGGCTAAGGCAAAAAAGTGGGGGTGTCTCATGGCAGGTCCCCAGGATGCTGGGACCCAAGTGGGCTGGCAGGGATTCTCCCAGGGCCCAGAGGGAAGTCCACTTCCAGCCTTGGTGCCAAGTGGGACCTGTAGTCAGCTACTAGGAGCTCCTGGTTCCACACTGAACCTAGGATTAGAAGGAGACAGGCACCCAGAGGTGGGAGGTTCAGCCTGATATGCGGGTTCCTGTGTGAAGGGTCTGCAGGGCCTGGTGGTGGGGCTCTGTGATGACAGTCCATGGCCCAGCATGAGGCCTGGCACTTAGTAGATGCTCAGTAAATCACTGTGGACTCTGGAGCAGAAGATGGGTGTGAGTGTGTACCTCCAATCTGTTCCCTGGGCCTCCTGCCCTGAGCGTGCTCTCTTTGCTCCGGTGGCACAGGTGAAACGATGGCCCCCGATGGCTTTGGGAAGGCAGCCCTGACTGCTTTATGGCTTTTCTGGGTCGTGTTTGTCAGGGAGCCCAGGGGCTGGCTGGCTAGGGGTGGGGTTGCTGGAACTAGACAGGGGTTTGAGCAGTTTAAGTCCGACCCTTATGATATTTTAGCAGGACTTTCAGTAATGAATTTTTCATTAGCAGGGAAGCTCAGCACCGGTGAAGGTCTCCTTGGGAAAGCATAATGGTTTCATCAGATAAATATTTAAAACTCAAGGATGCCAATCACAGCTTCCCGGCAAGAAGCCCCTCCCTGTTCCCTACTGGCAGCCCAAGAAGTAAGTGTGCACCCCATTACCTGCACCACCTTTACCCGCACCACTTCTCTCTCTCTGAAATATAAGAACAGTTCTCGGCACTGGCTTTGTGCCATGTTGCGAGCATGAGTTGAGATCTCTTTCTTCTGTTTTGTTCTCTGCACGGACCCCACCCTGTGGCATTGTAATGACCTTGGAAAGAGTCCCTGGTTTCTGCTTAGCCTGTCCTGGTCCAGCATCTCTCGGGGAAAGGCCAGGGCAGTAGAGAGGGTCAGTAGGAGGACAGGACACACTCACCTCAATGTGAGCTCTGACCTTGGACGTATCCCCCCATGGTAAGGCAAGAGGACCTACCCAGCGCTGCCTTCCGGCTCCCAGGTCCAGAGCCTGCCAGGTACCCGCTGGGGGCTCAGCCCCCTGGCTTTCTCCCCCAAGAAAGACCCCCCACCACCAAATACAGCCAGCCCCAGCTCCCAGTGAAAGAGAGACAACAAGGTGCAGGGGTAAGCATCAGCGTAGGATTCAGGAGATTGGGGCGAGTCCCAGCCCTACTCAGAGGCTACCGTGCAGCCCCGGCTAAGGCCCACACGTCTCTGAGCTCGTGTCCTCTTTTGGGGTTTCTCTTCATGTCACCTCTGCAAAAGCACCAGAGGCCATCTGGGAGCTTCTGCACACCAAATCGGGGAAGGGCACTAATTAAGTAAGAGAGCTCTGCTAGCGTGGGGTGGAAAAGTGAGAGAGAGAAAGAGAGAGAGAGGAGGGCAGCACAGGGAGCATCTCTGAAACTGGGGGCCTGGTCCCCACAGCACGAGGAGCCCTGGGGCTCTGCACTGAAAATCCGAACCCCAGAGTAAGTGAAACCCAGACTTGACATAATTTCTTGGCCACCCCATGGGTGGACTCTTTTACATGATAAGGAAGGTTTATCCATGGTGATATTTAGCACTTCTTATATTTCATAGAATATTAGGTGGCTTTTATCAATATTTTATTTATCCCAATCTCATCTTTTGTTTCCAAACAGTATCAAGTGATAGAAAAGCACATACATACACAGAAAAAAAAACACCCCACATTTTACTGACAACACCCAATCTGTTCTGTATGTTGGTCCAGCTAATGATGTGTTGTTCATTTGTTTGCATAATTCTGGATTTGTGGAAGGAACCCTGGGCTCGCTGGGAGGAAACTGGGCCTGAATCACCACTCTGTCCTCACGAGCTGGAGCCCAGGCACCAGCACCAGAGAGAGGGTCCCCTTCACTCTCCCTTCTCCTTCTCTGTCTGATTTTAGCCTAACCCCTCTGTGCCCTTCCGGGTTTATGGCATCCCACCCCGCCCCACCATCGCACAGATCTCTCTGGCTTGAGACAATCTTAGAACCTCTTTGGACAAATACTTCTGATACACAACCTATATTTGTCAGAAGAGGCTAACTGCTACAACAAAAATCCCCCCAAAGTTAATGGCTTATGCTATAAATATTTATTTTTTTTGTTAACGCGGTCAGTCAGAGTGGAGGGTCCAGGTGGGTGGATCTCCTGCAGGTGGTGACGCAGGGCCCCAGGTGCCTTCACCGCGTGGCTCTGCCGTCCCCAGGGGCCTCAGAGTCCTTCACTTCTCCTGTGTGGGTCCGAGGGAGAGAGCACGGAGGGCTGAGGAGGTTTGCAACAAGGAAGTGAAAGATTGAGTTGATGGCAGCTTTGGAGCCTAGGGTCTGGGCCCCCAGAGCGCATGAAACCTTGGGTAAATGAGGAAAATATGAACTTGACTTCAGCGGCGCTGGGAAACGCCCTCTCGCTGTGAGCCCGAGGAACAGGAAGTGCCTCTGTGGAACGCACAGGATTTCTTTGCTTCCAAATGTGCTGTGCTGCTTTTCTGAGTGAGATCCAGGAATCAAGGGCCATGGGGCTTCCTGGGTGATGGCAGGCCCACTGGCAGGAGGCAAAGCTTCCTTGGCTGGGATCCTGCAATGCTCCACCTGCCCTCTGCCCTCCCTTCCTTCCACTCTTCCCTGGGTTTCTCGGCTGCAGCCACTCTGGCCCTCTTTCTGTCCTTTGAGATGTCCACGCTTGTTGCTGCCCCAGGGCCTTTGCACCAGCTGTTTGGAGCATTGTTCCCCATCTTCACATGGCTGGCTCCTCCCTGCAGGTCTCAATGATCATCTGTCAGAGAGGCTCTTTCTCCTGCCCCCTGGCCCTCAGGGCCACTCACCCAGGACAGGTCCCCCTTCTTAGCTGTATTTGTCCCTGTGGCTTCTCACCACCAGATACAGTATGCATTTTGCTGCCTTATTCGGTTTGTTTTCTGTCTTGGCCCCTGCGTTAGTTTGCCTGGGCTGCTGTAACAGAATATCACAGACTGAGGGCTTCAACAACAGACATATGTTTGGGGGCTGGGAAGTCCAAGGTCAAGGCTCTGGCTGAGTTTCTGGTTTCTGGTGAGGGCTCTTTTCCTGGCTTGCCGATGGCTATCTTCCCACCATATCCTCACATGGCGTTGGCTCAGTGTGTGAGCATGGAGAGAGATGGAGAGAGATGGAGAGAGAGAGAGAGAGATCAATCTCTTCCTCCACTTATGAGGGCACAGATCCACTGTGAGGCCCCCACCCTCGTGACTACTTCTGCACCCACTCACCCCACAAAGCCCTCACCTCCAAATACCGTTACACTGGGAATTAGGATTTCAACATGTGGATTTGGGTCGGGGGATGCAGACATCCAGTCTGCAGCAGCCCCTCTCTGTGCTGTAACATAGGCTTCATAAGTGCAGGCCTGGCTGTCCTGTTCAAAGCCATGTCTTCAGAGCCTTACAGGGCACCTGGCACCTAGTGACTCTTTGTTGAATGAATGAACACGTTGATGAATGAATGATCCCTGGATCTCTGGAGAGGGCTCCGGGCCTGGCCTGCTGGCTGGGGCCAGGCTTGTCCTGGGGCGACCAGCCAGCCACTTGCTCTGCAGAAACAATGTGCTGAGTGCTTGGCCAGACCTTTTATCTCCCCTTTTCTCATCTCATCCTTCCCAATGAGCAGAGCAGAGGAGCCTCACTGTAGAGCTGGGGACGGTGGGCTGCAGGGAGGGGCTGGAGCTGGACTTGCACCCTGTCTCCTTCCCTGCTCACTACGGCCTGGGGTCCGGCTGGAGCTCTTGCTGGGCCCAGGTGGTGCAGCCACACTTCCTCCTCCACCCGTGACCTTGAGTGTACAGCTGGGGTGTCTCCAGCCACGTGTCTCTGATGCCTGCCCCGGGGACTCGGGAGGGACCAGCTCAACTCTGCCTCCAGCGCTTGACCTTTGTTCCTTTACTTGAAAAAAATCCAATAAAAAATATGAAATATGACCAGATCGACATGACCAGTGGTTCCTAATCCCAGATGTGAGAATTTGGATTTTTCTAATGAAGGGAGAGAGCAGATGACAGACTCGTAGGCACTGGCAGCTTGTCTGAGACTGGGAACGTTGGCCTACAGGTTCCCATGTTGGCAGAGAAGCCTGGCTGCTGGAGCTCTGGAGATGGAGGCGTCTGCTAATGGACTAAGTTTCCGGAGGCGTTGATTACGCACTTCACGCGGAAATAATTGCTAATCTTCAACAGTGCTAATTGAGTGATAATTCTGCCCTTTCAAGGTGATTTAACCTGTCAGAGGCCCAGGCTTTTAGGAAGATTACGTGAGATAATACAAGCTCTACTGGGGGAAATGGAGAGAAGTCAAATACCTTTCTTGGTTGAGAGGAGAGATTTCATTTTGGTGTGATGCCTGCCATACACTCACCCACTCGGGGCCTGGCTGGGGAATGAATGCTGGGGTGGGGGGAGGTTTCTCATTTCAATCCCTGAGGGCCTCGGGCCTTCTCCCCATCCTGCCTTGTGTTTGGCGTGGGTGGGGGCTTCTGTGCACACTCCAGTCTGAAAGCAGCAGATTCTGTCTGTCTAAACACGGTTCAAATGAAAAGGAGCAGAAGACCATGGTTCCTTTGGTTTGAGGCCATTTGCAGGTGGGCCTCTGGGGTCTGCACCTCTGTGCATGCTTCCTCCTGAAAATATTTGTGTACCCCCCATTCCCAAGGAGAGGAGTGCGCTGGCTCAAGTTTCTAAGAGTGGCTGGAGAGAAAATAATACATCTGGTCTCATGGATGCGGAATCTGTTTTCACAGGAAAGGGCACAGAGAATGAATTTTTCCTAACAGCAGTGTAATTTCAGAGCTGCTCAGAGTACATGCCCATAGTGTGGGTGAACAGGCCAGCTGGTTTCACCTGGTTAAGAAGAGGGGCCGTTGATGGCCATTTGCGGGGCACCTGCTGCATGCCAGGCACTTGCTTACATGATCACCGATTCTAACAGTAGCCTCCTAGGCTGCTGTCAGTGATCCCATTAACCTTATTTTATTGATGCAGGAATTGAGGCTCAGAGAGGTTAGCGTTAGTTCCCAAAGTCACACTCCTGAGAGGCTGGCATTCTTGTTATGATGATGATAATTATTCCATTTCACAGAAGAAGAGATTGGGATGCCAGAGTACTGAGCTTGCCAGGCCCACGTGCCAGTGAGCTCCTGTAGCTGGATGCATTCCCGTCCCAGATGGTGACTCACAGTCTAACTTTCAACTCTTGAAGTATTGCGCCTTTGACCCACCATGCATGACTCGTGTCCTCTAAGTAGCGTTTCTATTTGTTAAGTCACAGATGCGGATCTCAATCTGACCATCTGCTGAGTGTGGGGATCAGCATGAAAATAGAGAAATTAATTTTCCTAAATACAGTTTTTGGAATGTGTTGAGATTTTCTTCATGAGCGATTTTGGGGGAATGTCCCATGGGCAATAGAAAAGATGGTTTATTTTGCTTTAAGTTATAGGTTACCACTATGTTTTTATTTTTTATCTTTATTTCTTTTAGAGACAGGGTTTCACTCTGTCACCCAGGCTGGAGTATAGTGATGTGATCACAGCTCACTGCAGTCTCAAACTCCTGGGCTCAAGTGATCCTTCTACCCAAACCTACTGAATAGCTGGAACTACAGGTGCATACCACAACACTCGGCTAATCAAAAAAATTTTGTGGCCAGGTGCAGTGGCTGTAATCCTAGTACTTCGGGAGGCCGAGGCAGGGGGATCATCTGAGGTTAGGAGTTCAAGACCAGCCTGGCCAACATGGCGAAATCCTGCCTCTACTAAAAATACAAAAATTAGCCAAGTGTGATGGTGCATGCCTGTAGTCCCAGCTACTCAGGAGGCTGAGGCAGGAGAATTGCTTGAACCCAGGAGGTGGAGGTTGCAGTGAGCCAAGATGGCGCCACTGCATTCCAGCCTGGGCAACAGAGCGAGACTCTGTTAAGCAAACAAGCAAATAAACAAAAAAAACAAAGACTTACTTTGTCACCCAGGCTGGTCTCAGACTCCTGACCTCAAGTGATCCTCCCATCTGGGCCTCCCAAAGTGCTGAAACTACAGGCATGAGCCAACGTGCCTGGCCCAAGTAATTTATTTTCAGGAAAAGGCATTCAGGAAATGTGCTCAGGGGAGCTGCTGTTTGTTTAATTGACTTTGTGTAAGCAGAAGCCATGGCGGGATCTAAAAATCCCTGGGCCGACGTCCTTGTCTGCACCCCGCATCCAGAGGCCCCGTGGAGGTTCCAACGATTCGCTCCCAAGATCCCGGCAGCTGGCAGCCAATGCATTCTGTCTTTGACCTTTGCCTGCTGCTGTTAGAGCATCATTCAGTGAGAGTGAATTTATTTTTCTACTGAATGTATTCCATTCCGTGGCTGTAGGCATTAATGTAGCTGGGATTAAAATCAGGTCAACAGGATTGAAAGTAAATAGCACTTTAACCTGAAGAATACATATGGGCCACTAAGAGGCAGCCCTTCAGATCTCAAGAGGGTGATCTCAAGCAACTGGCACTGCAGGAAGTGGCCCAGGGACAAGTGAGGAGGGCAGCCTGGGGCAAGGGAGGGTTTGCTGCTGCTCTTCACGGGGAAAGGAACCCAACAGTAATAATAATCACAGCAGAGTAGTAGAGGTCACAGTCGCTGTCATTCTGAGAGCTTGCCCGGTAGCAGCCATGCCCTAAAACAATTACATGCATTATTTTAATGAATCCTTATAGTATTTTATTGTTTTAACGAAGGCCCCTGAGGCAGATAATTATCTTTTTAATGTTGCCAACGTTGATTGAATATTAAGCATCATTGATCCGCCTACTCTGTGCCCCACAGAATACCGGGCAGGTTTTCTTTCTGCATTCACTTATACAGTCTTCGGAATCATATCATGTTATTGTCGAAGAGGCATTCTTTCCATTTTGCAGATAAAGAAACTGAGACTCAGAGAGGTGAGGTGACATGCCCCAAATTTCACAGCAGGACGGTGGCAGGGAAGGGGTCCCAACCCTGCCTGACACGAAACACTGCTGTTCCTTCTGGGAGGTCCTTTGCCACACCCCAGCAGGTCCTACCTCCCATGACCGGAGCTTAGGCCCCTGTGAGCCATTCCATCCTGGGATGGCTCTCCCTGAGGCTGTGGCTCTTGCTGCTGCCCCTCTGAGTCCCAGTCCAGGCTCTGTGGCATCCTGCACTGTGCTGCTTCCCTAAATACCCTCCCAGTCCCTTCTTTTTTTTTTTTTTTTTTTTTTTTTGAGACAGGGTCTCACTCTGTCTCCCAGGCTGGAGTGCAGTGGTATGATTATGGCTCACTGTTGCTTCGACCTCCCAGGCTCAAGCGATCGATCCTTCCACCTCAGCCTCCCGAGTAGCTGGGACTATAGGCACACACCACCACACTTGGCTAATTTTTGTATTTTTTTTATAGAGACGGGGTTTCACCATGTTGCCAAGCCTGGTCTCGAACTCCTGAGCTCAAGCGATGCTCCTGCCTCTGCCTCCTAAAGTGCTGGGATTACAGCCACTGCCCGGCCCGCCCAGTCCCTTCTTCATGCATCTTTTTACTCCTCTTTGGAGGCAGGAGCACAAGTCTTGGCCATGCTGGGTTCGCCCCTGCCTCCTCCCCTGTGGCTCTTGCATCAGGCTTCTCCATCCCCTTGCAACTGGAAGCTCCCTGGAGCTTCTGTGACAGCTATGCAGCTTTGAGGAACCTGTTCTGTTCCTTAGCGTTTTTGTCAAGCTCTGCCCGGCAGCCTCCTCCTCCACCACTTCCCTGTCTTCCTCACATAGGCCCTGTCAGTAGCTTCGTTATTTAGTGAACAAAATACATAATTTGGAGGTAACTTCGTTATGCCTAATTGTGCCACATAGATGCCAAGTGGATTTTTCAATGATGATTGTGTATGAGACTCCTCGTGGAAATATTGTCAAGGCAATGACTTTGAAAATGAGCCTGTGTCCCTGACGCTGCTTCCCCCATTAATGTCACCCCTTGACAAGAAGGAGAGGGGCAAGGCAGCGAGATCTGATTTGGTGACAGCGCACTCCTTGGGAAGTGAACGCCTACAGCTGTTGCCCAAATTAGCAGCTCCTCCTTGGGAGCACGACTTGGCAGCCCTGGCCTCAGTGCAGCCGGGAGAGAGAGGATCTGGGCTTCTCACGCTGGGCCGCCTGACATGGGCTGGACACCATAATAGCAGCTGCAGGCCCCCTGCCTCTGTTATCATAATCCCTGGGAGTCAGTGATGGTGAATAACACTCTGTTATAATGGGAAAAAAGAGAGTCTGCTTGCCTGACTCCAACAGTCCAGCAGGAGACACGCCCACAGTGAGAGAAGGGGTGTGGGGGCCCGGGGAAGGGCTGGGGACCCCACTGCAGGCAGCTGTAAGGCTTTTATTAAACTGACCTTCACACAGTGGCTAAGAAAAAAAAAAACACAACGAACGCAGGTGGAATGCTAATGCCGGGCAAGGCTAAAGCAGCCTCCAGGGTCTCCAGGTGCTCAGAGAAGCTTCTGAGTGTGGCCCCGGACAGGCACAGAGCACAGTGAGAAGCGGTGGGGGGGAGGACGCGGGGAGGGCGGTGGGGTAGTCCTACCCCAGGAGGGGGCATGCTCACTTCTCTTGGTTTTATGACAGTCTATTCTCATGTTTGAGAGGTGGAGTAAAGTGGTGGGGACAAAGGACAGCAAACTTGGGTCCAGGAAGCGTGGATTTGTCCTTGCCTCTGGGATGGGCTCTGTGATCTTGGTCCAGAGAGACAGAGCATGGAAGGGCCTAGGGAACAGCCTGTGCAAAGGCAGGGGGCTGTGAGAGAACAAGATGGCAAGATGGGATTTGAGGTGGGACAAACTTGTATTCCAAATATCCATAGCCGCCAGTCGTCCTCTGAATGCCTAAGCCAGGTGACATAAGGATCCCTGGTGTTTTCATAGACGAGCTTCAAGGCTTGCTAAGAAGTGGGCATCCCTACATACTAGAGTCCTTCCACGCCGCATCCTACCTCACCCTCATACCTCTTCCAGGCAGATAATTTTATCTACCTAGTGGAGAATCTCAGGCCCTGATCTCAAGCCCTGGAAAAGTTGTTGCCAGCATTTTCTGCTGTATTTGGTTTTTCAAGACGAATCCATTGCTAGGCACTCACTGAGCTGGTAGTATGTGCTCAACACCCATCTGGCCATTGGACCAGTGCCCAGGCTACTGGACAAATGTGTTGGTGCTGAAGGCCTAGACCCCAGGAAGAGGGCTCTGCCCCTGGAAAGCTGCGGTTCCAGGGGGAACCTGACCAGGGAGGCTGACTTTGCCTGTGGCAGGGTGAGGGCAGTGCTACCATGACTGCCATCACCATCTCCACCATCACTACCACCATCATTACCACCAGCACTATCACCATCATCACCACTAACATCACCACCTCCACCGTCATTACTACCAGGACTATTACCATCATGCCATCACCATCATTACCACCAACACCACCATCATTACTACCATCATCATTATCACCATCATCACCACCACCATCACCAACCACCTCTACCATCATTCCTACCAGCACTATTACTATCATCATCACCATCACCATCATTACTACCAACATCACCATCACCACCATCATTACTGCAATCATCACCATCATTACCACCACTGCCATCCTACTGCTATCATCATCACCATCACCATAACCATCATTAACATCATCACCACCACCACCATCACTACCGTCATACATCATCATCATCATCACCATCACCACTACCATCACCATCATAACCATCACCGTCACCATAACCATCACCATCAACACTGCCACCACCACTACCACCATTACTACCCTCATCACCACCTTCACCGTCACCACCACCACCACCACCATTACTACCATCATCACCACCATCACCATCATCACCATCATTACTACCATTACCATGATCATTATCATCATTACCACCACTACCTTCACTGCCATCATTACTACCATCACCATCAATACTATCACCACCACCACCATCATTACTATCACCACTATCACCACCGTCATTGCTACCAACACCATCACTGTCACCATAACTGTGCATCACCATTATCATCACCATCACCACCATTGTGGTGTATCACCATTACCATCACCGTCACCATAACCATGCCTCACCATCATCATCACCATCACCACCATTGTGGTGTATCACCATTACCATCACCGTCACCATAACCATGCCTCACCATCATCATCACCATCACCACCATTGTGGTGTATCACCATTACCATCACCGTCACCATAACCATGCCTCACCATCATCATCACCATCACCACCATTGTGGTGTATCACCATTACCATCACCGTCACCATAACCATGCCTCACCATCATCATCACCATCACCACCATTGTGGTGTATCACCATTACCATCACCGTCACCATAACCATGCCTCACCATCATCATCACCATCACCACCATTGTGGTGTATCACCATTACCATCACCGTCACCATAACCATGCCTCACCATCATCATCACCATCACCACCATTGTGGTGTATCACCATTACCATCACCGTCACCATAACCATGCCTCACCATCATCATCACCATCACCACCATTGTGGTGTATCACCATTACCATCACCGTCACCATAACCATGCCTCACCATCATCATCACCATCACCACCATTGTGGTGTATCACCATTACCATCACCGTCACCATAACCATGCCTCACCATCATCATCACCATCACCACCATTGTTACTACCATCATCATTGTCACCATCACCACCACCACCACCACATCATCATCATCATTATTGTCATCATCTGTACAATTTGTGAAGCCATATGCACAGGCTGGGGATTAGAATCCAGGTCCAGCCCAGGTCTTGTTGGCAGTAGGTACCCAACCCACCCTGGATAGTCTGAAGTGAACTGAATCCACTCTCAGGCAGCTTTCTTTCCAAGTGGGGAGGTTCTGAGTTGTCTTTGGACAGGGAAATGCACCTGTCTTTTCGGTGACATCTTGCTCTTGTTTCTCTCAATGTGATAGAAAGCAATGTGACTGACATTTTCTCTCTGGGCTGGATCCAGAGTTCTTGCAAATATGACTTGTCAGCAAGGCTGCTATGGGGGTGGCAGTGGGCAGCTGTGGGCTTCGGGGGCTTCAATGGGGTGTACTCCTGAAGGAGGCCTGTTTCTGGGCAGTCTCCTCCTTCCTTGGGGCAATGCTCATGGGTCAGGATGAGGTAAAGGGTCTTGAGGGTGGCACTGTCTCCCTTTGAGAATGATTTTTGTTCATTTCCCTCCACAAAACAGAATGCAAGTCAGGGAGCAAGCTAACATTGGCTTGAGCACTTGGCAGGTGCTAGGAGCTGTTGTGAGGACCTCATGTCACATGAAGTCCAAAGCTATGGGTGTTATCTCCATGTCACAGAAGAGAAAACTTCAGTTCCCAGAGCCCAGTAGTAACCTTGCCTGACATCACAGAGTGCACGGATGACAGAGCCTGTGTTCAAAAAGCATTCATAACGGGGGCACTTGAGCTCTTGCATGTGGCTCAAGGAGCTAGCCTACCGGGGTTCAGGACCTGGCTCTGCCACATCCCAGCTGGGAGCTTCATAACCCTTTGTGTCTCCAGGATCTCATCTGTGGAGTGTAGGTAAGGCTGGCCCCTGCCTCATAGAGTTGCTGTCAGGCCCAAATGAGTGGATTCATGTCCAGCGCTGAGCACTGTGGCCAGCCCATCACAAGGGTTCTTAGCGTTAGCTATGATTTGTATTGTTAGAGAGCTGAGTGGGTCCAGGCAGTTGGGGCTTTGCCAGCTGTGCTACCAGCAGTGAGAGGCCACGGAGGTGAGCTGATAGGACTGGTATTTTGAAAACATGGCCCTGGCTGCAGCATGGAGGATGGAGGAAGGAGAGGTGGCTGGATTGCTGTCAGCAGAGCTGGAGGGCAGTGCAGGGTGTGTGGGGAGTTCAGGAGGGCGCAAGGTTTGGGGGTCACTTAGGCATGCATGTGGGTGGGGAAGGGGTGTGTGGCGAGGAGGACCCCTAGGATTTTGTTTGGGGCACCAGGAGGGTTGGGGTGCAGGCTGAGATGGGGAGCTGGGACAAGAGCCTGGTCTGGGGTGTCCACCAGAGCTGTCGAGAGTTCAGTTTTGTATGTGGGGGTTGTTGCTTTCAAATGTTTTTACAATCCAGAACAATTTTTCAAGAAAGGATCATCAGACAGCACGCTGATGTGTAAAACAGAGACACGTGGGGTCCCTGCCATCAGTGTGGAATAAGAGACACCGCCCGCCTGCCCGCCCAACAGCTGCTGACACTCAGGGTTGGTGCAGACAATGGGCACCCCGGCGTGCAGGCTTTGTGCCTGTCGAACCTGGCACACCTGCAATTTATGGTCACTCTTTTTGCCAGGGCTGCGCTAATGATAATAAACAACACGTGTGTCATTTTGCTGAGCCTCCTTGAGAGAGCGAGCCAGGCACCTTCTTTGCAAAGTGTCAGATAAACTCACAGCCACCGCCATCTGTCTTACTTGGCAGGGACCAAGGGTGTCATTGCCAGGACTGGGCTGTCCCTGCCCCCTGTGAAAACAAAACAGCACCCAGCAAAACGAGCCCGGGAAGACAGTCAGTATGGGGAGTCCTTGCCAGCTGCAACAAGCGGGATCTCTGTCCCCTGTTTTTATTTGTCACAGTGACATCCGTCAGCGCAGGCACCTCAGTTCTGTGCCAGAGGCAAATGCAGGAGGAGTGCCGGGGGGTGGGGGGTGGTGGCACAGGCTCCCCGCACATCCCTGCCACCCTCCTCCTCCTTGGCAGGCCCCGTCATCTCGAAGGTGAGGAAGGAGAGGCTGGGATCCTTCCTTCCTCCCTCTCTTCCCTTTCCTCCCTTCCGTCCTTCCCTTCCTCTCTCTCTCTCAGTCCTGCCCCTGCCCTCTTTTTTAAACCTGTGTGGACAGTAGTGGCTCCACCTGGCCTTGCGGTGAGTGCGTGGTGGCTGGAGCTGCAGCAGGGTCGAGTTCCCTGCTCCCGGGCAGCCTGCGGGGGGATCCTGCTCCCCTGGCTCAGCACAGGAGGCGTTTCCATCCCATAGGTCAGTCCTCACGGTGGATGCCCCCTTTAGCGTGCCCCTCCCCCCCTCTCTCCCCCAACACTCCTCCAGGCTTCCCCTCCTCCCTCCCTTCCCTTCCCTCCAGCCTCACCCCCTCCTCCATCCTCATCAGCCTTGCTAGTTTCTGTCTTTGCACTGGCAGTTCCATCTGCCTGGAACCTCCTCCTCCAGCCTCCCATGCAGCTGCTCCAAGGTCTCAGCTCCTTGTCACCACTTCTGGGAGACCTTCCATGTCCCCTGCCCCGGCACCTCCATGATGTTTGTCACCATCAGATGGCCTGTGTGCTCACCACATGTGTTTCATGTCTACCCCCCCAACCCCCAACAGCTTCACAGGGCCAGGGACCTGCCCACTTCCTCCTCAAGTGTGTCCCTGGCTCACAGCTAGGTGCATGGCAGGTTCTCAGGAAGTCCTTGTTGAATGAAGGCATTCCTTTGCTCCTTTGTTCATTTATTCTGTCAGGTGTACTGAGTGCCTACGCCTGAGAGGCCAGGTCGGAAGGACTTAAATTCAGAGGAGCAATCTTATCAGATGGATATAGGCTAGTGCAGTGAGCTTCCCAAGCCGGCTGCCCCAGAGGAAGACACCAAGCAGTGGTGGATGTTAAAATAGCCTCTGGGTCTCCTCGGAGTACAAGATCCCCAAAGGGGAGCCCCGTGATGTGGCCCCAGCAATGACATTATCACCTTGGCTGCATTAACAGAAGTATAGGGTCTGTGGCAAGGGAGGTGGTAGTCTCGTACTTGGCAATGACTTGGCCATCCTTGGAACACCGTTCAGGTGAGGTCACACTACTTCACAAGCAGCAGCAACAAACTTGAGTGTGTCCAGAGAATGGTGACCCGGCAAATTCACGTCAAACAGAGTGGGGAAGCACAGGCCATTTGGACCCTCACAGCCTGGGCTTGAGTTTCTCCTCTGCCATTTGCTAGCTGTGTGACCGTGGGTAAGTCATGTAATGTCTCTGAGTCTCCAGTTCCTCCTCTGTAAAGTGGGAATGTGAGCCTGTCGGTGCTGCAGGGTGGTTGTGGGAGCATTAAACAGATGACCTCAGTCAAGGCGGTTCACACAGCAACGGCGCCCGGGATGCAAGAGCTAGAGCTATGGTTGCCAGGGTGCCGGCTCTTCTCGCTCAGGGCTGGGCTGTTCAGGCTGAGCTCTGCATCAGTAGGATTTGCCCCCATGGGGAAGCCCCTGCCAGGCCTGACGCTTGCATACTCAGGAGCCCGTGTTGGCTCCGACTCTCCCTAGGAAATTGCTTATTATGGGTCTGTGAAAGCGTGCATTGAATTCACGCAGTTTATTTTTAAATAAACTCGGGGAAGTGGGCAAACAAAAAGAGACAACTTAAAAGGAATGTTCTCCGAGTGTAAAGAAGACTTTGGCAGAGGCCCAAAATCTGACCCCAAATCCCAGCTCAGGAGCACAGGCGGAGACAGCCCCCAGCCCTCCTGCCACCCGGGCCAGTCCAGTGCTGTGTGTCAGCCTGGGGTTTCAGCTCTCCCTCTGAGTGCTTGGGCTTCCCATGCACCTAAGTCCTCAGCGCTGGGCTTCATGGAGACTTAGGGGATTGGAGCACTGTTTAAATACCATAAGCTCCTTTTTTTACAGAGGACTTACCACCCTCACTCCACCCACCCCTGTTCACGTGTGGTGGTGAGGCGGGTGGTGGTGCTGGGTTGATGAATGTGCCGGAATCCTGTTCCAAAACCGGGTGGCCATGAAGAGTGGACACAGATGAAGGGGAACCGCCCTGGTGTGCTCTAAAGTGAGCCAGACTCTCCAGGGAGGCTGGAGCTGGCATCAGCAATCCATAGCAGTGAATTCCTAGGCAGTGAAAAAAGCAATGTGGCCAAAAGCATGTTAACTAATAAAGCCGGAGAGAAGGGCTGCCAAGTGGCATTGGTGAAAACCTCTCAAGCCCACCCTCCCACGGGCCTGGTCACTGCCCAGGTGCACATCTTCCACCTTGACTGCCCGGACCTGCTGCCTGCCGGGAGTCCTGGCCTTCAGGGTCACGCCTGCCAATCCACTGGGTCCCCCCAGCAGCCAGCGCACCCCATCACCATGCTGGGTGCCAGGAGCTGCAGGCCCAGCCACGCCTCTCTTTAGGGGCTGGTCCTGGTCACAACCCCAGGTGTAACTCCTAGAGAGGCCTGCCCCCATGGAGGGGACCACCTCCCTGGTTCATGGGAGGGGCCAAGACATGTTCCCTGAGTGGCTCAGTCCCTGGAAGCAGTTTTAAGTTTGAAGTTGGCCAAGAGGATCATGAAAACGAATGCATAAGTGATGTGGTTTGGCTGTGTCCCCACCCAAATCTCATCTTGAATGGGAACTTCCACAATTCCCAGGTGTCCTGGGAGAAACCCGGTGGGAGGTGATTGAATTATGGGGGCAGGTCTTTCCTGCATTGTTCTCTTGATAGTGAGAGTCTCACGAGATCTGATGGTTTTAAAAACTGGAGTTTCCCTTGCACGTGCTCTTCTCTGTGTGCATCATGTGAGCTTTCCGCCATCATGGTGAGGCCTCCCCAGCCATGTGGAATTGTGAGTCCATTAAACCTCTTTCTTAGGCTGGTGTGGTGGCTCACACCTATAATCTCAGTACTTTGGGAGGTCAAGGCGGGTGGATCACTTGAGGTCAGGAGTTCAAGACCAGCCTGGCTAACATGGTGAAACCCTGTCTCCACTAAAAAATACAAAAAAAATTAGCTGGAAGTGGTGGCGTGCACCTGTAATCCCAGCTAGTCGGGAAGCTGAGGCAGGAGAATTGCTTGAACCTGGGAGGTGGAGGTTGCAGTGATCCAAGATCACACTGCTGCACTCCAGCCTGAGCAACAGAGCCAGACTCTGTCTGAAAACCAAACCAAACCAAAACACCAAAAACCTCTTTCTTTTATAGATTGCTCAGTCTCGGGTATGTCTTTATCAGCAGCATGAAAATGGATGAATACAATAAGTAAGTGCCCACTATGAGCTGGTCTCTCCTAAGTACATATCAATTCCCTGCAGCAGCCCCATTGCATGGATGAGGAAACTGAGGCACAGAGCCGTATTTGCTAAGCCACACAGGCTCCAGAGGCTTGACTTGGGGGCGTGTCTACCCCGGAGACCCTGTTTGGAATTTCTGAGATAGAGAGTTCAGTTTGGAGTGCTCAGTCTGGGAAGCTGACACAGCAGGACTCGGGGAGTGGCCTGGCCCCAGCTTTGCTGAGTGCTCTCCCAGTGCATTAGTCCTGGAGGTCCTGGCCAGCCCCTCGCACATGCCTCTGGTCGGCTTTGCAGGTTCTCCCTCCCCGTGGAGCAGATCCACCCGTGGATTTCGTCAGCGCATCTTCAGCCTCCCCACCATGGGCACGTGGCAGGGCAGCCTCCCTACCCCGATGCTCACACACATCAGCTCTCACCCACTTCCGGAGCTTTCGCACACAGTGTCTTCTCCAGCTCCCCCTCCCCATGTTCCTGCCCCCTTCCCTTCTGGAAGGCAGGAAATAGGAGCTGTGTGACCTTGGGTAGGTTATTCTCCCTCTCTGAGCCTCAGTTTCCTCCTCGATAAAATAGAGATAAGAAGAAGCAGCCACGTGAGTGCTGGGATCATGTAGGAATGGCCTCAGTGCCCCCCCAGCTTAGCTGTTTGCGGCTCTGCTCCTGGGTGGGGTGTGTGCAGGGGACCCAGGAGAGGCCCTTTTTTTTGCTCAATCCCTGGGCTCTTCCTGGGGGAGACTGTGCCCAGAGAGGGCATAACCACCAGGCTGGGCAAGGCGCTTGGGCTCCCTGACCTCCAGCCCAGGCTCTGCTCACAGCACCAAAAGGGCTGAGAGCTGCTCAGGACTTTCCTTCTGTTTGGTTGTCTGAGCCCGGACGGGGGCAGAGGCAGAGGAGATCTGGGCCCCTGGGCTACCTGCTCTGAGCGTGCGGCTCGGCTCTGCAGAGAAGCAGGAACAGGAGGAGAAGTTTGTATTCAGAGGACAGCCTGGTCCATCTGGGATCGTCATCATTATAGTTCTTCATAATTAGTTGCAGCAAAGCTGAGTAGAGAATTAACAACTCAACTAAGACTTTATTTAAAAATAAGGTCCTTGGCAGCTTGGCTGACTAATATTTTATTGAAAAATTACACATCAACACGCTCAATGATCTTCCAAAGAGAAATAACGTTGCCCATCATCCTTGTGGGGCTCTTCCCCTGGCGCGGCCCCTGCCTGCCGGTGGCGGGGTGCTATCCCGAGCTGGTGTCCCCACGAGGCTCCACAGCCCTGACAATGCCCTCCTGTGCCTTGATCCTGTGTGACATTTCTCTGGGTGGAGGGACTGGGCCCCCTTTACTGGTCCTCTCTGGCTGGTCCCTGCCTTTGCACACAGGGGCCTGTGGCTTCCATGCTTACCGGCTTTTGCTTTGCTCTCTTATCCCCAGCTGCCTGCCTAGCACGTCCCCTCAATCCCCTAGGCAGCTGCTGCTGATTCTTGAAGACTTGCCTGTGGGGTCCCCCTGTCTAGGAGCCTGCCCTGGACCCCAGTCTAATGTGGGTCCCTGCTGGGCCCCACAGCACGGGGTACGATCTTGCCTTTCTCCCCGGCTCTCAGGGCCCCTGGATGGCAGAGCTGAGGTCTCTTCAGTGCCACATCGGGAGCAGGTCTCTGTAGAGTGAAGGGAGCACTTCACATGGAGAGTTGGGGCACAGGATGTTTGTCCAGAGGTGGAAACGTGGGTGCAGGTGTCCCCCTCAACCTGCTGCATTCCTGCGAAGGTCTATGGGGATCGTGCCCACGTGTGTACCCGCTGCAGGTCTGAGAGCATCGGGCCCGTCCCGCAGCTGCCTGCGCCCTGTGTGGTGGTGGATCGGCCTCTGCTTCTAACCTGGAGCACATCTGAAGTGACGCTGCCGGGCCCTTCTTGAGAACCTTGCCGCACTCCCCTGGTTTCCATGGCGATGTCCGTTTCCCATTCTGAATGCTCTTCAGAGGGATTATAAATTCATTATTTCATACTTAGGCCTCACGCTCCGCCTTGCTCTGCTTCCACATTTCGTTGTGTTGGTAGGACATTCTTCATATATTATCTGATACAGAAAAAAATGAGTGAGTCAGAGCCTAGGTTGTTTCTTTTTCCCGGAGCCCAAGGATTGCTGTGTCCACAGAGGAGCCAGCACACTGTGACATGCCGGCATCGTGATCTGGAATTCCCTGTGGTACACGTGGGTTCTGGAGCTGTAGGTTTTAATTACTTGTGGATGAACTGAGCTGCCGCATAGCCACCTACACACTGACCCCGGGAGCCACGTGGAGGCGGGTGTGTGTCGGGAGCTGAGCTTTGGTGTCAGCTCGCTGTGGGTCCCTCAGTAGCTGCACGCCCAGGCCTCTGACGGAGGCGCTGTGTTGGATTTCACTTCGAGCCTTGGTTTCCACCAGCTGTGATGGCCACAGCTGAGATAAAGAGGACGCCTGCATGCTGGTGGCCTCTAGAAGGGCTGTGTTGGCTCTGGCAGGAAGCTCGTGGGGCCGGTGGGGGAGTGAGGGAAGATGCCTATCCTGGCAGCTGGGCAGAGTGGAGAGGAAAGGACGAGAGCAGTATGGGCGACTTGTGTGGACAGGGTGAACAAGTGGGTCTTGGGATATTCAGTCTAGAAACAGGCAGGACATGGGTTCCTTTCATTGCGGCCCTTGCTGATATGGGTCAGTTGGCTTTGGATCTGGGCACCCCAGAAGCCAGAAGGTGTGTGGATGATGCGTGTGAATCTGGTGTTTATAAGTTGGGTGTTTGTAAGTCAGTGGTTGAATGCAGTAATAATGATTAAGTTTTCTTTAAAGTTAGGTTTATGGAGGTATAAATTACATGTAGTAAAATTCACTTTTTTTTTGTTTGTTTGTTTGAGACAGAGTTTCACTCTTGTTGCCCAGGCTGGAGGGCAGTGGCGGGATCTCAGCTCACTGCAACCTCCGTCCCCTGGGTTTAAGGGATTCTCCTGCCTCAGCCTCCCAAGTAGCTGGGATTACAGGCACCTGCTACCACGCCTGGCTAATTTTTTGTATTTTCAGTAGAGACGGGGTTTCACCATGTTGGCCAGGCTGATCTTGAACTCCTGACCTCGGGTGATCCATCCACCTGGGCCTCCCAAAGTGCTGGAATTACAGGCGTGAGCCACTGCGCCCAGCCTGAAATTCACTTTTTAAAGCATATTTCTCAGTAAGTTTCGATAAATGCATACACTCATGGACGCAACACCACAGTTGAGATAAAGAACATTTCCCTCACCCCCCAGAAGTTCCCCTGTGCCCTTTGTGGTCAACGCCCCCACCCCCAAGCCCTGGACCCCCTGAGTCTGTTTTCCGCCTGTCCGGAGTGCCGTATACATGGAATCACACAGCATCTGTGACCTTCCGGGCCTGGCTGCTTTCACTCCCGCAGTCCTGTTGTGATTTGTTGGTGCTGGCATGTCTGTTCGTGACGTCAGGAGTTCGTGCCTCTTTGGTGCAACGCAGTCTTCCATCGTGTGAATGAGGCACAGTTTGCTGCTGATCCGTCGCCAGCTGCAGGACATCTTGGTGGTTTCTGTTTTTTTTTTTTTTTTCCCCTATCATGCATAAAGTGCTCTGAATGTTTGTGTGCAGGTCTTGGTGTGGATGTATGCTTCATTGCTCTTAAATACGTAGCCGTGACATGGCTGGATATGATAAATATATGTTTAACTTTATAAGAGACTGCCAAGTTGTTTCCGAAGAAGCTGTGTCCTTTTGCATTCCCAACACCAAGGTATGAGAGTTCTGGTTGCTCCACGTCCTCTTCAGCACTTTTTTCAACTTCTAAATTTTAGTCATTCTAATAAGTGTGTAGTGACATTGCATTGTGATTTAATTTGCATTTCCCTAATAAGAAATGATACTGAGCATCTTTTCATATGCTTATTTGCCACCCATCTGTTTTCTTTGGTAAAGCAAATATTCAAATTTGGGGGTCATTTTATAGTACGTTGTTTGTCTTTGTTGTATTGAATTGTGAGAAACTTTTATATATATATATATATATATTTTTTTTTTTTTTTTTTTTTTTTTTTTGAGTCGGGGTCTCGCTCTGTCACCCTGGAATGCCGGAATGCAGTGTCATGATCTCTGTTTACTGCAACCTCCACCTCCCAGGTTCAAGTGATTCTCCTGCCTCAGCCTCCCAAGTAGCTGGGATTACAGGCCACACTACCATGTCCAATTAATTTTTGTATTTTTAGTAGAGATGGGGTTTCACCATGTTGGCCAGGCTGGTCTCGAACTCCTGACCTCAAGTGATCCACCCGCCTCGGCCTCCCAAAGTGCTGGGATTACAGGTGTAAGCCACCACACCTGGCCCCTTTATATATTCTGACTGCAAATCCATTGCTGGATGTGTACTTTGCAAAAATTTCCTCCCAGTCTGTGGCTTTTCCATTTCTTAGCATCCTTAGAACTTAAGTTTTAAATGTTGATGAATTCCGTTTATCTATAGATTAATATTTTTTATGATTCCTGCTTTTATGCCTTATCTAAGATTCTTTGACTAATCCAAAGGCACAAAGATTTCTTCCCCCTTGTTTTCTTCTAGAAGTTTTACAGTTTCAGAGTCTACATTTAGGTCTAGGATCCCTTTTAAGTTGATTTTTGTCTGTGGTGCAAGGTTAGGATTGAGATTCTTTCTTTCTTTCTTTCCCTCTTTCTTTCTTTCTTTCTTTCTTTCTTTCTTTCTTTCTTTCTTTCTTTCTTTCTTTCTTTCTTTCTTTTTTGCAGAGAGACGTTCAATTGATCAGCACCATTTGTGGGAACCACTATAATGACTAAGGTATTGGAAAGAGAGATGTGGGATAATTTCTTGGGAGAGGGACTGAGTTGGCCCAGCAAGGCTTGTGGGGAAATGCTCCTCCCCCATGTGAGAGAGGGAGAAGGGCAGTGCAAAGCTGAGCTCGTACCAGCCCGGGTCTGAAAGTGGCGTGCTCACATCATGAGCAAGGTGGATTTCTCCCGTTGCAATGAAAATCGGGTGCCACGCTGGCAGCATTGGCAGCAGCCCTGGGACGTTCCCCAGACATTGTCTGCGTGTTGCTTTTCCGGGTGCAGTGGCTTGGCCTGCCCACTTCTACTCGATTCACACCATCTAGCCAAACTCACCTTTGTCTGTGCCACGTCCAGGCCTTGCCCCCATCCTTCCCGAAGCCAAGGTTGCTTTCTCAGTAACGACCAAGAGCTGGGGTCCCCGATCGCTGAACAGCCCACACATTTGCAGGAACTAGTCAGAGGTGGCTTGTACAGTGTCTCGGTCACCTCCCTGGCAGGCTCAGGCTTAGAGTCCCACAGCGTCACCTGGCCCCACAGCCATCTTGTGCTCCCTCCAGCCTCTCTGCCTGGGTAGACCGCGGGTGGGGGGAGGCTTTTTTGCTGCAGGTGACCCTGTGCTGGGTGTGTGGTCTGCATGGGCTTGCGGGCAAGGCCTGGAGCTGGGCTGGAGCTCACCTTTACAGTGGACACTTTGCTGTTGGGGTTGGGATTTTGTTTCAGGCAAATTGACATTTGTATCCTCAGAGGGCAATGTCTGAGCAAATCCACTGATCACTGGGGTCCCTGGCATAGTGACGAGGGTGTGGAATGTGCAGGGTAAGTCATGGTGATTCGATGAGAAAGGGACTTGGAGGCTGCCTTGTCTAACTCTGGCTTCTGGGACTCTCCCCTGCATCACCCTCTCTGGGTCATCCCCATGAAGTGGAGCTCCCTACTCTGATCAGAGGGAAAGTCCGCCTCTGACAGAACCTCTGTGTCCTTTCCTAGTCCCTTGAGTCAGGCATGGGGATACAGAATCATTGAATAAGGGTGTTGGACATTTATATCAGTGTCTCATTCAGATGATAAATGGAAATTCTAGAATCATCAAGGCAGCTCCATGCGCCTCTGTCTCTGGGCATGGAAACTCTCATGCTACATCCCGTGTTGGGTGAGAGATCTCAGTTCCCTGGGCCTTGCAGCGTTGCGGGGCCATCAGCAGGATACCGCGGTGGGATTTCTGAAGCAAGATCTGGTATGGCTGGGCCCAGCCAGTGAGAAGCCTTTTCTCACGCATGTCCAGTCATGGGAGCGATGCCCGTGTGCATGGATGAGATGCCAGATTGCACTTCCTCGATTGCATGGAGGAACATCTGAGTTCAGGCTTGGCTGCCCAGAACCAGCCTGAGCCAGCTTTGTGTCACTGGTAATAGCAGCTGAAAGCAGTTAAAAAAGAGAAACCAAAACAAAAATGCATGTGCAATACTGCAATACACATCCACCCCAAAGCCTATTAGAAGTGACTGTGAGGATTATTGGCTGCCGGCACTGTGTGTCCACAGAGGAGTGGACAAGGACAAATGTCTGGGGTTTGTGTCGAGTGCAAGTGGCTTCTTCCTGTGTCTCATTCAAGTCACTTTCCCTACCATCGGCCGCTTGTTATTCGTGCGCAGGTTACTTGCCTCTCTGGGCCTCAGTGGCAAATGAGGATAGTAATACCTAATCAGAGGTTGTTATGGAGATTAAATGAGGTGAATGCTTATAGCTTAGAAAGTTCTAGGTAAATGCTTGTGATACAAACACATAAGCTAGGTGACTGTGAGAATCCAATGCAGGCAGGTCTGGAAGCAGTCCTTGGCACATGGTAGGAGTGCAGTTGGTGACAATTGACCTCTGCATCTCCATTCACGCTGAAGCCTGCCTGGGCAGGACTCTGCTTCTGTGTGCCATGGGAGCAAACAGGATCTCTTTTGTAGTACAATTTTTCCCTGGTTGTAAATATAAAGCATGCTTATTATAGAAAAGCTGGAAAATATGCAAAGAGTAAAAAAAAAAAAAAAATACTGGCTGGGCACGGTGGCTCATGCCTGTAATCCCAGCACTTTGGGAAGCCAAGGCTGGTGGATCATTTGAGGTCAGGACTTTGAGAGCAGCCTGGCCAACAGGGTGAAACCCCGTCTTTACGAAAAATACAAAAATTAGCCGGGTGTGGTGGTGGGCGCCTATAATCCCAGCTACTCCGGAGGCTGAGGCAGGAGAATCGCTTGAACCCAGGAGGTGGAGGTTGCAATGAGCCAAGATTGCGCCACTTTACTCCAGCCTGGGTGACAAAGCAAGACTCTGTCTCAAAACAAAAATAAAAACAAACAAAACCAATTCACTAATACCCAGAGGTCATTATTTTCTCACTCAGGCATATTTTTTTCTGGTTCATTTTCTGCGCATGTCTATGTGTCCATACATATGCATGTCTTTGTGGGTTTATACATAGGTATGCCTGAATAAACTTTTTACGACTTACAAAGAAGGGATCGTGACCAACACTCCAATTGAGTTAAACAGGTATTTGCTGCTCATATAGTGTCTAGAATTTCCCAAAACAGCAGGCATTTCTAATCTCAAGCCTCCCCAGATGTCCTCTGGAAGGGGCAGGGTCATTCCTGACCCCCACCCCCACCCAGCCCACGGATGTTCCAGCCCCAGTGCACAAACCCTGGCCTGCAGTCACGTGCAGCCTGAAGACCGGCTCTGCACTGGGATTCGGGCTGTGAAAGTGGTTTGTGCCTGCAAAGAGTTTATAGTCTCATGGAGGAAAGAGGCATATAAGCATGTGTTTTCTGTATGCGTGTGGAAGTATAGGGAGGACATGTTGTGTCTGTAATTTCAAATATTTGTTCATGTCACATTGTACCATGGGTATTTTCTCATAACATTGTTTGTCTTTTTTTTTCCTCCGGATTTGTATCGTTGATTGAATGAAATGGTTATGCTATGGTTTATGGAACCATTCCCCAGTAGGGGTTGTTTCTGGCTTGTTATAAAGAAATGCTGCTGACGAGCACCTAGATACAGCTTCGAATGTTGACAAGCAGATGTGTTTGCCCAGTTCCAGAACTGGGGCTGTGACGGGGGGGACAGATCGGACCTTCTGCCAAGGGTCTGATTCCGGTGGAAGGGAACACCGCATGAAGCCACATGCCACGTTCCCAGCAGGCGCTCAACAGACATTCATCACTTCAGCTTCCCCTCTGAAAGCCGAGACCACATCCTGATGCATGTTTAAATAGTTCTGCCAAATTTGTTCCATCATTAACTTTCAATCACTGTTAATTTTAGACAGGGCTCTTAATTCAAGTTTTTTGTCTTTGTCAAGTTGATGGAGATGGCTCTGTTTTTAGCCCTGATGTGATGGCGGCAGGGCTCTCCTTCACCCAGGATGGCAGAATGCCCTCCGCCACAGCTGGTAATGAAATGCCAGGCGTGTGATTTAGCTCAATCAGCTCAGGAAGTTTACATGGGGAGCCTGATTTGACAGGTCTGTTTTATAACAAGTCGGGCCAGTGAAGGGAGCCTTCTATTTGATATACTTAAGGCAGAATTCAGCCATATGTTTGGGTCCCAGCAGAATCGTTCCCGTCCTCGTCCTTCCGTGGAAGATACATTGAGTTCACCCTGGGGAGATCTTTTAAATTAGATTTCAGAAATGAAGATCTTGTTTTTTGTGTCCAGAAACTTAACCCTTCCATGATTTTCTTCTCTCCAAATAAGTCACAATATACCCCGATTTTCATGAAGAAGGATATATGGTTTTTTTCTTCTGCTTTTAGTTATAATTAGACTAGCTGAACTACATGGAGAAGCTAAAGCTGCATTTATTTGTTACAGGCATATTTATATCAAATACAGATGGGGTGGGTAGGCTTGTGACTCTTCATGGCCATGAAAATGAAATGAATTTGGTGTCTGAAAGTAACCTCGGGTGAGACTAACATCTCTGTTGAAATTGACTCCATTGCTTCTCTTCAGGCTAATGTGTATCATCGGAGGGGTCCATTCAGATAATTTAAGGCACCTTTTTGGGGCTCTGTATTAGTCTGTTCTCACACTGCTATGAAGAAATACCCGAGACTGGGTAATTTATAAAGAAAAGAGGGATGATACAGTTCCACATGGCTGGGGAGGCCTCAGGAAACTTATAATCATGGTGGAAGAGGAAGCAAACACGTCCTTCTTCACATGGCATCAGGAGAGAGAAGTGCCAAGCGAAGGGGGAAGCCCTTTATAAAACCCTCAGATCTCATGGGAACTCACTCACTATCACCTATCACGAGAATGGCATGGGGGAATCCACCCCCGTGATTCAATTATCTCCACCTGGTCCCGCCCTTGACACGTGGAGATTATTGCAATTCAAGGTGAGATTTAGGTGGGGACACAGAGCCCAACCATAGCAGGTTCCTCCCCCCCACACTGCTACCAGAACACCTGTGTGCCAGGCTTTGCATGTGTCATCCCTGAGGCATTGCTCCCCATCTCCACCCTGCCCACCTCCCTCAGACCACCGTGGGCAGCTGAGAGTTATCCCAAGTCTGCCCGCATCAGGTCCAGGCCCATTCTGTGACCCTGAATGAGAGGAAAGACCACATTTCCTCTTCTTGCCCTATTGGCCACCATGGACACGGATGCATTCTTGGCCTTTTTAATTGACCCTGGCTGAGTGGGATGGACAGCAAAAGACAGCCTCTCCCTAGATGCACCTTCATTCTCGGGTAATATGCATACCCCGGCCTTTGTTTTATGCGTGTGATTTACACGCTGATCACGCACATCTAAAGCAGATGTCCTGGGTTATTGTGAGATTCTGTTGCCTCCTAGATCCTGTGCTTGGGATGTGGCTAAGGATGCCAGGTTGGAGGGAGGCACATCCGAGTATGGGCCAGCTCTCCGTGTGGGCCTGCCTTTAAAAGGAGGATCCTTTCAGAAATCGCACCTGTGCTGCAGTTGACTCCCCAGGGTGCAGCAGGTTCAGCAAGAGTTGGGGCATCCTGAGCCTTGGGAGGGCAGGAGGGAGGGCAGGATCACCACTGGGCATCTGCAGGGCTGCCTTGGGGAGCAAACACAGCCTGCGAGGTTGCACCAGGCAGAGCTGGGGTGGATGGGTGGAAGCACGAGAGGCGTATTCAGATAAGCGTGAGGAGGGCCTTCGGGAGTGGGGGCGCCCCATCGTGTGAGTTGTGCACATGGAAAGGCTGTTGGCTGGGCTGCTGCAATTACAGTGATGTATGGCTGAGGCTTTCCCGTTCACAAATGAGTTTCTTGTGTTATCAGTTCCCCCACTAAACACCCTTCACAATAGACACGCGGATACTATGGGTGTCCATTTTGCAGATGGTATGATTGCAGAGGGATGGGTAACCTGCCCAAAGCCACATAGCCCAAATGAAGGAGAACCTTCCAGACCCTGTGGCTTTTTAGATTCGTTCTCTAAGCAGAGGCAAGGGACTCACTGGGAAATATGTTGCTTTGTTTGTCAGATTTATTCCAAGACCTCTATGAAGGGCCTGTATTCCTTCAGGCTGTGGCATGCCTAGAAAACACGCTGAAGGCAGCTGCAGAAACTTGCTTTTTAGACATCACCAAATGCTATTTTTAAAATACTTTTCTTAAAATACTTCAGCTCAGACATTCAGTGCGTGAGTGTGATGATTTGTCTCCTCCTGGTCCCTGGCTCCCCATCCCCAGTCTGCCGGTTCCGTTCTGCTTTCCTGATGCCCAGAGCCTGGCTGAGGACAGGCTTGGAAGAGCCACGGGTCACCAAAGGTTGCTCAACAATGGCCATTTCTTCAAAATGGGCTGGGTTATGGTTGCTCATGCCTCAGAAAGCCCGGAGATGGGTAGACAGAAGCCATGGGGTGCTGCTGTCAGAGACGTGCTCAGCCCCAGCCTGGGGTTTGGGGGCTTACCTGGAGCCTCCACAGGAGCCTGGTTCTGAGATCTCTGCTGTCTGAGCATAGGGAGCTTGTCTGGGGGCCCCAAGAGGTGTCTGGCTTTAAACAAGTAACATTCACAGGGGACAGGCTTTTGTGGTTTCATAGAGAAGCTGAAGGTGCTGAGTCCTGCCAACAGTCTCACAGCTGTTTCCTGCCATGTTGGAATTGCACTGGACAGGTAGCGAGCTCCCCGTCACCGGACTCCTGGGCTATTACTGGGGACTGGTGAGGAAGCTGGTGTTGGAGATTCTGAATTCAAATTCAAGAGAAACTGAGTGTTTTCCAAAGTGAGGTAGTTCTGTTGCTGAGGAGGGGCTGGAGTAGAGCATCTGATGGCTTTAAAGCCCAGGGCAAGGACGTCAATGTGGTTTCCGTCATCCTCTGCTGACCCGTGGCTAGACTGCCTGTGGCAGCCCCCTCGTTCCTCCTTAATAAAGTCAGGGCGGGGCGTAGGCCTCAAGCTTGTCTTCTGCAAGCTATTGCTGTTTATTTTTGTAGTTACCTTCTATGGATGACAAGTAATGTTTGTTTTCTATTTATGGCCGTGATGTGAAATTTGCTTACTTGTGTTAAAGAAGTGGGTTAATTAGGTGCGGTGGCTCACGCCTGTAATCCCAACACTTTGGGAGGCCAAGGCGGGCAGATCACGATGTTGAGATCAAGGCCAGCCTGGCCAACACGGTGAAACCCCGTCTCTACTAAAAATACAAAAATTAGCTGGGTGTGGTGGCAGGTGCCTGTAGTCCCAGCTACTCGGGAGGCTGAGGCAGGAGAATCGCTTGAACCCGGGAGGCAGAGGTTTCAGTGAGCTGAGATTGCGCCACTGCACTCCAGCCTGGGTGATAGAGCAAGACTCTGTCTCCAAAAAAAAAAAAAAAAGGAGTGGGTTAATTAACAATGACAGCTTCATGATGTATCCTCCTGGTGGGTGATTCTGGTGCAGATGTTTGAAGATAGTCCCTGAATGATCAGATATTGGGTTTCTTGAGCTGTTTGGTCGATGACATGACAGTGACTCCTGGCTCTCTTTGGAGGGGATGGCCGCTTTGACTCGCAGGTCCAGCTGAGAGAGCATTCCAGCACAGGGCTGCCAGTGAGACACACGGAGCACAGAGCTGGAGGGCGGAGCACAGAGCTGGAGGGTGCTTCCCCAGAAGAAGAGCACACTGTGTCCAAAGCCACGCAGTGTTAGAGGCCAGCCTTCCCCGAAGCTGACATCAGAGGCTGCCCTGTGGGGGCTGCCCCTGAAAGGGTCCCTCCCTGCAGGAAGCCCAGTTTCCCAAAGGCTCTTCCTCCTCCTCCCTGGTGAAGGCTGTCCCCCGTGAGTGTGGTGTCCCTGGCGGAGGGAGGGTGGCTGTGCAGGTGTGGATGGATAAGAGGAACCCCTCAGGCAGCCAACTCTCTTACTCACAGAATGATGTAAACCTTCTCTTTGAAACAATTTCCCAGAAGAGCAGGCTCTTCTAATCCCAAGCCTCCCCAGATGTCCTCTGGAAGGGACAGGGTCATTCCTGACTCCCGCCCCCACCCAGCCCACTGACATTCCAGCCCCAGTGCACAAACCCTGGACTGCAGCCATGTGCAGCCTGAAGGCCACCATGTGCCAGGAGCCAGGGCCAGAGAGCCTTAGGCTCCAGGATGGGCAGTACAGTGGGGCAGGCCACAGCCTTCAACCAGCAGAGCAGGCAGACAGCAGAATGACCAGGCACCAAGCTCTCCATTCCACTAGCCTCTCTGGGCCAGGCCTGTGGAGTCTCCAGAGGAAACAGGCAGGTGAACAGGACCAGGGACACAAGGAAGGAAGGGAGTCGGGTCAAAGATGGGACCTCGTTCGGGAAAGGCCCAGGCATGAGGGGCTCCAAGGCCTCCAGAAGGACCTTGAAGGGTGGGTGGTGCTGCTGGTGGAGCGGGGAGGCATTTTGGGTTGGGTGTGGGGTGAGCCAGCCCTCAGAGCAGGGCAAAGCTGATGGTGCCTGGAGCTGAGCGGGGAGCAATGGGGGTCTTGGTCTCCAAAGGTCTTGACCACAGGGATGGGGTTTGAACTTTAGCATCTGGGCAGTGGGAGACCCTGATCATGTTTGAGCCTGGGAGTGACATTGCCATCATCCTCACTGGTATTTATATAACATCCCTGGTTGTACAGTGAGTTCCCAAGTGACATCTCCGGCTGCCCCAGGGTTAATGCCCCTGTAAGGTGCAGAGAACAGGCCCCTCCTGAGACAGCCCCAGGGCTGCACCAGATCCCCGAGTTGAGTTTGAAGCTGATTGCCAGTCCTCCCTGCCAGGGAGCCGGGAAGGCCTTATTGACTCCATAGATTGGGTCCCAGACTGGACTGCAAATCCTGAAAGGGGGTAGAAAATGATGCTGACATGCCTGTATGTTTAGTACTTTCCCGAAATTCTTAACAGGGTCCACAGCTGGAGAAAATGACAAAACTCCTGCCCTGGGTAAGGGGAGGGGCATCATGATCCTTTTCAATTTGAGAATCAGCGTACGGGGGCTGGAGGGGATGGTCTGCAGGTCTGGGGGGCAGGGCTGGGGCTGTCCAGTGGCCCAGGGAGAGAAGAAGGGGCCAGAACTGGGGACGGTGGGTGTAAACAGCTGCGGGGCCCACGCCTCCTGCTGGCACAGGGCTCCGTGCCAGGGTCCGCACAACATCAACGGACCCACACACATGCTTTAATTTCCTTTAAGATCAGAAGAAGAAAAAATGAACTTTTAGGTGGAGAAAATGTTTTGATCTATAATATGAAGATATGCTATTTTTTAAATACCAACACAGCCATAAAATACACCTTCTGATATTTTTTAATGGAGGAAAAGGCCATGAAGACTCCAGCGCTTCGATCCCACGGAGTCCTCATGCCCCGCGGGGCTGCTGAGGGGCGGATTTCAAAACAGGGCCTCGTGTCATGGATGCTTCTCCCAGCAGCTTTCTTGAGAAGATAATTTGGTACGGAGCTCAAGAGGGCTCTGTGTGGCTTCTTCCCAAGTTGGCATCAGAACCTCCAACCTCTACCTTCCTGACAATTCTGAGGGGTAGGCCTTTAGAGGTCCACAGCCTGCTTGGGTTCCCTAAGGCCAAGGGACATTGTTCAGAGGCTGCTGTGCCCAAATCTGGGTCTTTGCAGTTGGATGCAGACAGTGACTTCTTCCACCCGCCCCTCCTCCCCCTGCAAGAGGCAGCGCTTCCTTTGTGCCTGGCACCTCTGTTCAGACATGACAGCGTTGTTTCTAAAGAGAAATTCTTGGAGGTAATGAACATATGGTTGTCTGGCTGGGCACCAGCAGGGAGGGGGAGAGCATTGGAGCCTGGGGAGGGATTTCTGCTTTAAAAACAGGATCAGCAATTTCCACCCACCTCCCGGAGATACCCGGGCACTTTTTATGTCGAAAGACGCTCAGCACTAACAACATCACAGCTTATCCGATTACCTTTTATTGCCATAAATAGACCTGAGCAATGCCAACCCTTCCAGGTAGAAGCACATTTTGAATAGCAACGACAAAAAACAAAACAAAAAAACCAAAACAGCAGCTTGTAATTTCATTAATAATTTTACTTACAGTGACTATTAAAAAGGAGTGACGGGTGAAATTAAAATTCAATCAGGTTATGAGAAATGGAGAGTAAATAATATTTTCAAAGGACAGCTGAGGTGGAAAAGTCTACCAAGACCCACCTATTAAAATATACATTATCCCTTAAACAGATTTAATGTAAAAATGCAATTTTCCACAGATCAGCAGCACCCGTCCATTTATTTGCTGCTGACTGATTTTGATTTATGAGGCCCTTTCTTAGCTTCGTTCTTAGCTCTCTTTATTTCAGACACTGGGTTTCGTGCCTGTGAAGGTGTCCAATGCCTGTGCATGAAGGGCCTTCTTCCTCCCACAGTCCCTGCAGAGGCCCTTGGTGGAGGCCCAAGGGCTGCATGGTGGAGTCTGAGGCCAAAGCTGCCATCCAGCCCTCCTTGCGTGAGTGGCAAGACTTGGGGCAGGTAATGCCTCTCGGTGCCTCAACTTCCCCCAAATGGGGACAACATGGTTCCCAGGGACAAGGCCTGTGGGGGGACTGAAAGAGATAACGTCCATAGAGTGCTCAGCATGCGGCTCAGGACAGAGGAAGTCATTTATTTTAATGAGACGGTGACGAGAAGTGGCAGGTTTTCTGGTCCAGGCATCTTGGGTGAGGCATCCTGCCTGCCCACAGTGCACCTCCACTGCAGGTCAGACCTCGGGGGACTGGGGCTGGCTGTGGGAAGGAGACGGGGTTAAGGTGCGTACACGGGGCCCTGCAAATGTCTCTGCCTCAACCGCGCTGGGTAACAGGTGTCAGTGAGGTGGCTTAAGGCAAACCACCCGTGTCCACACCACAGGGCTGGAGGACATCTCTCAACCCAGCTGAACGTCCGGCTCCACCCAAGACCCTTCTTGGGAGACAGTGTGTTCTGGGTTCCCACCTCCTTCCTGGCTGACCCTCACACTGTGCCGGTTGCTCCCTCTGGACACACTGCACGGCCAACTCCCTGCATCCTCGCTTCAGCTCTGTGAGGCTCAGTGGCTTGCCCAGGACTGCACAGCAGGCACGGGCACGTAGAAGGGCCAGGACTCAGAGGAGAGCCCTTTGCGGAGATGCCTGAGGGCAGGGGGCGCGGACACTGCATTCGAGGAGGAATCAGGCAGGTGGAGGTCCAGGCTCGCCGGCTCAGCTTCAGCAGAAGATTCTTAGAGGGAAAGGCCTGTACTCACTGCAGCTCTGATGGCTCCACTTTGGAGGGAGAGCCTTCAGGGATGCTCTGCGGGCATTTGTGGATCCCAAGCTTGGAGAATCCAGGAGGGCTCTGTGGAGCAGGGGCCAGGGTGGGTGGCACTCAGGGGTGTATGGGTAGGACTGAGCCAAAGCCCTAGGGTCTGCAGGGTGGGCAGCGGCATTGGCAGCAGTGTTGAGTGAGGCCGCATCCCTTGGAGAGCCAGCACCTCCTGTGGCTTTTTGAGCCTAATGTGATACCCACCCCTCCCCTCAGGGGTCTTTAGTAGAAAGAAACGATATTCCTCTCCCTGGTAAATAAATGCAGGATCAGTGTCTTTGAAATGGAATTGATTTCTTCATAGAGGATGAGGGTGCAATGGGGATGCCCAGCACTGAGCCAGCTGGCTTCCTCAGGGACCACAGGATGGGCCAGCCCAGCCAGCACTGTTGAAGGGAAGGGGCCAGCAGGAAGTCCTCTCTTTCATGCGGGCTGGAGAGAGCTTCCGAGCCTGTTGTCCTAGCTCCCTGGGGGCTGGTCTTGGCCTCAGGCTGATGTGGTTTGAGTCCATCACAGCTGGGGCTTGAAGAGTGCCACTCTGCACTCGGGAGGAAGGCCTGTGCTCTTCCATGGGGTCTGACGCCCTGCCCCACATTGGGAAGCAAAGCTGGGCCTGGGTGAGGGTGACCCTCCTGAGAGGTGGGCAGCTTGAGCCACCACCGTTCCCATGTGGTGAGGGACAGACGCCAGCTCCAGGCTCCTGCCTCGGGGGTATAACACTGATCCAACCTTTGTTCAGTACCACCTGAAGGGGCAGGGCACTGCCAAGCCAGCCTTGGCCACCTGCCTCGATTGGGACCAGATGTCTGAAGTGGCCCTTGCTGGGGGAGAAAGGAAATGCACACTTATTGAGCACTGACCGAATGCTTCCACCAGCATCTAGTCTTCCCCTTTGCTGTGTGTACCAGCCCCACTGGCATGAAAATGAGCATCTTCCTCATGTTTTGGAGGCCAGAAAGGAGGGAGGCTGTGGCCAGACTGGGGTACATCCACTTTGCCAAGTGGAGCAGCCACACTTTGGAGTGGCTCTGTTGCCTGCGCATACACATACACATATGCACACATGCACACACACATGGACATACACATATGTACACACGCACACATGCACACACATACAGGTACACAGAGATACACATGCGCACGCACACACATGCACACACATACACATTTGCACACACGCACACACATGCCCACCATACACATGCACACGTGCACACACATACAGGTACACAGAGATACACACGCACATGCACACACATGCACACACATACACATTTGCACACACGCACACATATGCCCACCATACACATGAACACATGCACACACAGATACACAGAAATACATGCACACACACATGGACATACACATATGTACACACGCACACATGCACACACATACAGGTACACAGAGATACACATGTGCACGCACACACATGCACACACATACACATTTGCACACACGCACACACATGCCCACCATACACATGCACACATGCACACACATACAGGTACACAGAGATACACACGCACATGCACACACATGCACACACATACACATTTGCACACACGCACACATATGCCCACCATACACATGAACACATGCACACACAGATACACAGAAATACATGCACACACACATAGGTACATGCATGCACACATGCACACACAGATACAGAGATACACATGCACATACATACACATATGCACACACATACAGGTACACAGAGATACACACATATGCACACATGCACACACACATGCCCACCATACACATGCACACATGCACACACAGATACACAGAAATACACACATGCACACACACATAGGTACATGCATGCACACATGCACACACAGATACAGAGATACACATGCACATACATACACATATGCACACACATACAGGTACACAGAGATACACACATATGCACACATGCACACACACATGCACACACATGCCCACCATACACATGCACACATGCACACACAGATACACAGAAATACACACATGCACACACACATAGGTACATGCATGCACACATGCACACACAGATACAGAGATACACATGCACATACATACACATATGCACACACATACAGGTACACAGAGATACACACATATGCACACATGCACACACACATGCCCACCATACACATGCACACATGCACACACAGATACACAGAAATACACACATGCACACACACATAGGTACATGCATGCACACATGCACACACAGATACAGAGATACACATGCACATACATACACATATGCACACACATACAGGTACACAGAGATACACACATATGCACACATGCACACACACATGCACACACATGCCCACCATACACATGCACACATGCACACACAGATACACAGAAATACACACATGCACACACACATAGGTACATGCATGCACACATGCACACACAGATACAGAGATACACATGCACATACATACACATGCACACAAATACAGGTACACAGAGATACATATGCACACATGCACACACATGCACATACACATATGTACACACGCACACATGCACACACATACAGGTACACAGAGAAACGCACATGCACACACATACACATTTGCACACACGCACACACATGCCCACCATACACATGCACACATGCACACACATACAGGTACACAGAGATACACACGCACATGCACACACATGCACACACATACACATTTGCACACATGCACACACAGATACACAGAAATACACACATGCACACACACATAGGTACATGCATGCTCACATGCACACACAGATACAGAGATACACATGCACATACATACACATGCACACACATACAGGTACACAGAGATACACACAGATGCACACACAGGCACACAGAGATATACACACATGCACACACCCACATGCACACACCGATACACATACACACATGCACACACACACAGATACACAGAGATACACATGCACACATGCACACACATGCACATGCATACAGATACACAGATACGCACACATGCACACACACATGCACACACATACAGTTACACAGAGATACACACACACATGCACACACATGCATGCACAGACACATGCACACACATGTGCACACAGATGCACACATGCGCACAGATGCCCCCACACCTGAAGCTGGGAGACAGGTAGACGGCCTGCAGAAGTCGGCTCCGTGTTGGCCTGGCTCCTGCTCCTAACTAGAGCAGCTGCAGTGACTGGGAGGACAAACAAAACCCCAATGACAGACTCAGCCTGAATCCCCTCTGGCTGCTCTTGGTAGAATCTTAACCAGCAGAGAGCTGGTCCTGGGTGGTTTTGGCCAGATGAGAAAAGCCACCTGTGTTCTGGGACCCGCCCGATGGGGGAGGGGAAATGGAGGCTTTGAAAGGAGGAGTCTTCTTTATTTTATTTGAAAAATGTTTTTGAAATAGGTAATACAGCCAAATGGTTCCAAATGTCATGACTACTAAAGGGTCTCTAGTTGAAATCTCCCAGTCTCCCTCCTGTTATCCCTCCCCGCTTCCCCACCCACAGGTGTCCACCTGATCACATTTCCTGTGTTTCCTTCCAGCATTTCACCATGTTTCTTCAAGCAGAGGTGAATACAGATTGTTTTTAAATTGAGATAAAATTCATGTCACACGAAACTCACCTCTTTAGCCATTTTGAAGTGCCCTTGACCTCTCCCGCTTGTGAACGTAAGAGTGGGCACGGGAGATCTCCCTGCATCGGCTCCGACACATCCTTTTTCGTCCTTCCCATCCACACAGGTGCCCGGGGCTGCCTTGAGTGGTGAGCACCCCCGGCGATCCCCCCAGGCCCTGCTGGTGGATGCGTGGGTTATTTCTGGTCTCTGGTTGTTGTGGTGTTGTGGTGTTGTGGTGTTGTGGTGAAGGACTTTAGGCATCCCTCATTTCCCATGCACAGCACTTCGATGGAATAGCTTCCCTGAAATGGGATCTCCAGGCCAAAAGGCACATGGGCTCGTGCTTAACTTGGCGGTTCTGCCCGTGCCCCACTGCGGGTGGATCATTCCTGCCCCCACGGGCAGTGCGTGTGGAGGTCTTGGAAAGCGGCTTGTTGGTGAACAAATTCTGTTCCTGCCCATCCTGCCTGCGCTCTTTCCCTCAGTCCCTGGCAGTGGAGCTTGTCTGGCTGGAGGTCTTCGTCCATGTTGGCTGGCGGGTGAGGTGGTCTCCAGACCAGTGTAACTCTTTAAGAACAGCTCCAGTTGGTGAGTGTGGAGTTACTGATGTGGAGTGAATTTGGCCAAATCCTGTGTGATCCCGGGACAGGCGAGGGTCTGAGTTGGGCCTGAGTGACGTGACCCGTACCAGCGAGGCATGTCTGAGACTCAGGCCGGCCACTGCCCGTGGGCCCCACTGATGGGACTTCTTACAGATTCCAGGGTCCATGTCCACACCTGGACGAGTACACAGATGGGGCGGGGGTGAGGAAAGACCTCACCAGGAGTGGGTCTTGGCTTTTCTGAGTCAGCCTGCTGCTGATGAATTCACTCAGCAATGATCATTCTGACACTCCCTGTGTGCCGGCCCTGGTGAGGCTCAGGAGATGGAGGTGTCTGAGGCTGACGCAGTTCCTCCCCTCCTGGGGTGCACAGGGTGGTCAGGGAAGGCTTCTAGGAGGTGGTGGCCTTGAGAATGAGCAGGAGGGAGGCAGTGGAGAAGTGAGAAAGGGGAGAGCATAGCGATCCAAGTATGCAAATGCCTGCGGGGTGGGTGACAGAGTCAAGGCCGGAGCTCATGGCCAAGGGGGTGTGTTTGGAGTGCAGTCCGCGGTAGTGAGAGTGGAGGGAACCAGACTGCTGAGGGATGGGAGGAGCCCCGGCTTCCTGATGAGGCTGAAGGACAGTGAGCAGGGGTGCGGGCCTCCCTCCTGGGGATGCCTTGCCAGGGTAGCCCCTCAAATGTGAGCGACGAAATGAAGCTTCTGCAGGCCTGGGGTGGGGCTGCCTGTGGGTCTGCATTTCCAGGAGCTCCCGGGAAGCTGCATGGCCAGTCCCCACTGTGAGGGGGAGGCCCACGGCTGTGCAGCTTAGCCAGGGAGACCTCAGTGACACTGCGGGCTTTCAGGGGCCTTGGACACTGACCTTAAGTTCTCCCTTTTTCAATGGGGTATTGATTTTGGAGTTGGCAATCAACACTAAGTTCTTGCAGTCTTTTAGTAGTAGTATTTGGTGCTTTATGTGTATTGATTGACAACTGAATTGGGCCTGAGTCTGTCTGTCTTTTTGATGATTCTTGAGCCTCCGAAAGGCAGCCATGTGTCAGGCTGCTTCACAATCATTTCCCACTGGCTGTGTGGAAGACTCAGTGTCCTAAGTTGGAGGTGCTCAGAACGTTTCTTGCTTCTTGTCTTAAGAGGGGCACATTTGAAGAGGCGATGCCGAGTGCTCCTGAAGAGCAAACCTGGTAAAGACGAAGCTTGGGGGAACTGGGCGCTCATGCAGGGCCAGGGTTCAGGCTGGCTCAGAAAACCTCAGTGTGTGTCTCTCCAAAGGGATTATTGCGCGTCTCTCCGTAAGGAGCTTGTACCCGGGGCCATTGCCGTGCTGCTGAATCAGGCCCCACTGCACAAGAGCAGAGGGAAGTGGCCCAGGGTCTCAGAGGAGGCACCGTGAACTTCCCTTGGATGGTGAATGGTGAACCTGACCCCCGGATTATGGAACAGCTGACCTCGTTCCTGGTGGATGCTGGTTACATTGGGGAAAGGATTTGGTGGAGCAGTTTATGAAAATGGTCTTTTAGAAACTCCCAGGGCATGTTATTAGGTTTGGAATTGAACAGATTTCATGATGTTTGGGGGTTCTAAAGGCATCGATCGGCTCTAGTTTTTGGAAGGGAGCAACTCCTCCAATTGACAGGTGGAGAAACCGCGAACTCTGCGAACTCAGAAACGTGCCAGTGACCACTCAGGGAGGAGGGGCTGAGCCTTGGGCGTCTATGTTCTGATTTCTGGTCTAAGTTTGTGTGGATGGACACAAAGACATGGGGAGACCCTCCCGCAGTCTCCAAGTTAGCACCATTTCTCAGATCAGGAAACCGAGGCTCAGTGAGCCTGGCCACCCTGCATCACACCCTCTTTGTTTTATTTTAATCCATCTGAGAAGTGCCCACTCTGCCAGGGCCACCTGGTAAGGACAGCATTGACCTCCCAGTTCATGCTGTTCACAGGTGAAGACGCTGACGACTTTGCTGCTGGCCCATCAGCCCTGGAGCTGAGACTTCCTCTGAGCCAGCCCCCTTTCCCCAGAGCAGCAGAAAGTCCTGTTAATGCCGTTGTGGGTCCGAGGCTGGTTAGCCTCGGCTCCCTCCCACTGCCGGAGCTTTGAGACGTAGCCCAGGCCCCTCATCTCCAGGCAAGTTGGACGGCTCAGCACAGAGCAGAGGACCCTCCTATGAGCCCAGCACAGGGCTTGGCACTGAGTTGTGTGGTGGAGGTGGGGCCGGCTGTGGTGATCAGGGGGTGGGGCTCCATGGCCGGCCTAGGGTCTCTCCAGGAACTGAGTGTGGACTTCAGGGTTCTTTTCCTTCTGGGGAAGGGTACCCTCAGTCCCTCTGAGGGAGCGAGCAGGCCCTTCCCTGGAATAAAGCGAGAGTCAGTGGACGTGGGGGCTGGGCTGTGGATGTGGATCTACCAGGACCAGGGTCTGTCCCCGCCAAACCCTTTCTTTTCTCTGAACCTCAGTTTCCTTATTTCTAAAATGAAGCAGTGGTGATGGCATCCTGAGTTCCTGTGAGCTCTGTTGTTGAATCTGACACACCTCCTTCCAGCCCCTCACCCAGATCCGCCCTCACTTGCAAGGGAGGTGGGTGCACAATGGGTGAATAAAATCGGGGTGCCCTGCAGACACACAGTCCCTAACCATTAGCAGGGCTGGAGGAGCGTTGAAACTCGCAGAAGCTAGAGGAGTGGCAGCTGCTGCCGGACCGGCCCTGTTATTTACAGGGTTCAGCACAAAGTGAAAACACAAAGCCCTCGTTCAGACATTCTCAAGAATTTCAAGACAGCAACAGCAGAGCATGAAACCAAGCTCAGGGGCTTCGTGGCTGCGCAGGTTGCAGACCTGGCCCTGGTCCTGGCTATCTGGAACACTCCACGCTGTGGAACTCCTCGTGTGGGCTCTCACTGGGCTAAGGAAGGTGAAGCCTTGTGTCTCCCAGGGTTCTGGAGCCCGTCCCCTGAGGGTTAGGATGGGCATTGCTGTGAAGGAGCCCTGGGCCTCCAGGACAGGGCATGTTCCCCACCCTTAGGTGTCAGGAGGAGCGGGTGATGGGCTCTGCGGGGAGCCCCCGGACATCAGGGGCTTTGGGGTTGGCTGGGACTGGGCCTGAAGGACAGGTTCTCCCTCCTGTCTGCATCAGCTGCTGTATGGATGCTCATTCATGTCCTCATGGACTCACCCACTCATTGATTTACTCAAGGAAAGACTGATGGATTTTTCCGCTCTGTGCTGGGCTCACGGGGGTTTAGGGGTGGGTGAGTCCCCACTGTCATGGAGCTTACTGCCTGGCAGCCTCAGGGGCGGGCAGGTTCGGGAATTCCAAAGAAGCTGAGGTCTCCGCCTGGGGTCCCGGGTTGACCTTTCAGGGTGCAGGGCTGCTGGGCTGGTCCTGGGTGGTAGTGCATCGGAGGAGCCCTGGGCATCTGCTTGTCCCGTGCTTAGGAGGCAGGCATCACAGAGGGGGGAGGGCAGCAATGAAGTGCAAACCCATAAAAGCCCTGGGCCTGGGCACAAGAGCTCCTGGCTCTGCTGTGTGCGATGCCACAGGTCACTGGGCGGTTCTGTGCCTCAGTTTCCTCAGCCGTAATGTGAGAACAGTAATATGGGCCCCTCCCAGTCGGGGGGGGGGGGGTGCTGCGAGAGAGTGGATGAGTCGATGCTTGTCACAGGCTGAGCTGGCATAGATTTGGAACCCAGCACCCTGGCTCCCTGGCCCATTTGGTGACATGGCTTTGGGAGAATAGGAACAGATTCGTGCACTGCCTTCCCCACGGCCGGGAGGACGGGAGGCAAGAGGATGAGACGTGGGGTGATGCGTGCATCCTGACGAGCCTTTGAAGTGATGAGTGGCAGCCGCGGCCGACCTCTTGTGGACAGCAGTAGCTCTTCTTTCCTCGTCTGTTGCTTGGACATTCCTGGCCGTCTGGGAAAGATCCCTGTGGGCTGCGGGCTCAGGCAGCCTCTGGATGGGAGGAGACCCTTGGCAATGGCCGGAGCTGTGTGGCCCTGACTCACATTCCCGATTTTTCTCCCACCCAGATCAAAGAGCCCCAAGGCTAACACGTCAGCCACTGAAAAAAACTGTCCCGGGGATATTTCATTTCCAAAGCTGTTAGCTGAGGGCCCCAGAAGGGCATGTCGTAAGTGTTGGTTCTTTGAAACTACTTTTAATGGAAGTTTCTTCTGAAAACACAGGCTTTCAGTGTGGCAGTGAAGAGCCCAAGCTTGACGTCGAATTGCCTGGGATCAAATTCTAGCTCTGCCGCTTGCTGAGTGTGTAGTTTTTGGCAAAATATTGAAGCGCTCTCTGCTTTAGTTCCTTCATCTGTAAAACAGGGATAATAACATGTGGCTCCTGGGGGCATGGGGGCAGCACCTCTTCGGTATCCCTGGGGCATTGCGGGGGTTGCTGTAACTGTGGGGCTCGTCGGTGGCAGGGCTGAAACCAGTGGTTATTAGCTATCATTATTCTGAATGACGACGGCTCCTATGGCTTATGGGTCATTTCACGTTTGCTACTGAATATTTAATCGTCACCGTGGCATCATCATGGACTGGAAAACTGAGCTGTGTTGAGGTCGACGGTCTGCTAGTGCAGAGCCAAGCGTGGAACCCGGGTGGTCTGACCTCACTTCAGGGTCCTTCTCCTTGATGACTGCCGAGTCAGGTCCTTCTCCTTGATGACTGCCGAGTCAGGGCGTGGTGGGGCTGCCTTGCTGTCTGGCTTCTCCAGCACTGGCCCTTCCTGGGCGACCTCCTTGTTTCAGCCCTGGGCAAAGCCAACGCCGCAGGAACCCAAAGTCCCATTTGGCTTGGTCGGTTGAAGCCAGTAGAACGATTCTGTCCCCAAGACAGAGTGGAAGGGGGTCCTCTTGATGGAAGGAGTGCGGTGGTGGTGGGGAGGTGGGCACTGGCCTCTGCCCGACTTCACTGCATAAACGATCCTTCCTTTGGGTAAAGTCACCTGTATTTCTTTCAGTGAGTGGTGTGAGTGCTTGTTATATGGCAGGTGCTGTGCCCCGCACTGGGGAGATAAATAAGGTCCCCACCCTTAACAGTTTATCCCTCAGCAGTAGAAGCAGACCCTGTGAGCTGTGTGGGGTTGCAGGGAGGTCCGGCAGGGTTGGAGGGGGGGTGTATGGAGGGGGCATTGAGCCCAGTGTCGGGGGCCTTCCTGGGGGTGGTGTGAGTCAGGCTGAGATCTGAAGGTTCAGCAGGAATTCACCGAGGAAATAGGGCTGGGGGATTTGGGGAAGAGCATCCCAGGGTGAGGAACGCCTTGTGCAAAGGCCCCAAATGCTGGGGTTTAGAATGAGGGGGTGGACTGGTGGGGACTCTCCCCTCGAGGGAGGGGGAGGAGGAAGCAGTCTTGCTGGGTGATTGGGTGACTGTCCACAGTGGCAGAGCTGGAAGGTACAGGCAGGAGTGACGGGGATGTGAAGCCAGCCTCACAGCAGGGTGCGCCCCAAACCCAGCAGTCTGCAGAAAGGCAGGGTGCCCTCCAGAGCCGAGCTCCACCCCCCGAGGCCAGGGCAGAGCCTGGATCTCACTGCTCCAAGATCAGATTGGGAGGGGGCAGGGATTTCCTCCTGGATGGGGCCGGATCAAACAGACTTTGAGGTCCCTTCCAGCTGCCACTCTAGGCTGTACAAAATCCCCTCTGGGAACAGCGTGACTATATCAAATATGAATCAATGGGTTAAAGTCCACACCCTGTCAGCTCCCCACTCCTCGGAGGGACCTGGCTCTGACGGCAGGCTGTGAGCTGACAAGAGAAAATCGCTTTGTTCCTGAGCATGGCATAGCCAATCTGGCCTTGATTGACAAGGCCTCGCTTTTTTAAATCATCGCCGCCTGTAAGATGCACACTGTCCCATCTCGGGCAACAGCCCCTCCTCATGTCCTCCCTGCTCAAATCACCAGGGAAAGAAAGATACTAGGTCAGCCCAGCTGCCATCTGTGGAAACGGCACCTTAGGACCGAGCGCAGGGAGCTCTGCTTCCACGGAGGAGCCCGACCGTTGGGGATGACCAGGGTGGTGACCCCAAATAACGAGGCTAACAGCTGCTCCAAAACCCAAAGCTGTTCCCATCTTACCTCCCGGGGGCTACCCTAGCCATGGGAGTGTTAGGAACAGCTAACAGGGACTGGCAGTGAGTGAAATGAAATTTGATGTACATGAAAACGCAGTGGCTGGTGCAGTAATTGGGAAAATCTTTTTCCCATCAGGGCCGGTGCATCCTTATTCCCCACCCCCCAACTTTTTTTGTTTACACAGTTATTTCAAAAGACAGTTAGGTGCTCCTAAACACTTTTATTTTCATTTTTATAAATAGTTGCATTTTCTGCACAGGCCTGAAATGCAAACAGCGTGGTCAGGTGGGCCCCGTGTGTGATGAATGAATGAATGAATGAATGGTCTCAACAACAAGAAAAACGTGTGTGCGCCACAGAGGACTCCTGGGCCCCCAAGCATCTTGGCTGTGCCTCCCCAGGCACCACTCCAGGACAAGTAATGACAGACGGACCACAGGGACCTGCTCTGGTCTTGGGTGGCAGCCCCAGCAGCTGTTTCCAGCAGGCTTAGGGGATCCTCTAACGCGCTGGTGGAGACAGAGCCCTGTCTCCAGAAGCCTTGCCAAATGCGCTCCATCCTCACATAGGGACCACTGCCCTGGCACTCCCTTTGCCACAGTTTGGGATTGTCCAGGGCTGGGTTTGAATTATTTCCAACAAATGGCAGCTACTGTGTGGATGTCACTGGATTCAGATGTTCCCAGAGTCATTCTGCAGAGCACAAGCAAGTCCTCAGAGCAGAAATAAGCCCACGTCTAAGGGCTCTCATGTAGGGTGGCCCAGAGCCTCTCAGGGATACTGACTAAGAGAGGCCCCTGGGCGGCTGTTATTTAGAGACCCCAAATTCTGGCACGGAGTGGTGTCACTGTACCTCTCTTTGAGAACCTTGGCACCCACTGATTTCTGCCTTTTACTTTCTGTTAACACCACAGGTGATCTTGATCCTGACGAAGTACTACCACGCAGACATGGGGAAGGTTCTGGAAAGTTCTCTGTGGCGGTAAGTCAGCCCGATGGCAGGCCTTTCTCTTATGCACCTGCGTGCCATCTTCCCAGGCTCTCAGCTGAGGACCGAGATCCAAACACCTCACTGTGGCAGCCCCTGTGAGTCAGTGGCCTCGCAACTTTTCTTTGGCTAGAAAATGCATAAAGGAAAAGTTGAAAGTAGCTTAACAGTTTGGGCAGTGGGTATAAACTGCACTGCAGAATAGACAACTGTTCAGAAAGCGTCTTGGCTTTCTTTTCTTTCTGTTTTTCTCCCCGCTTCCTTTTTTTCCTCCCCGGAGGAGGAGGGTTTGCATTGTGAATTCAGGTCAGTGCACAATTTCCCTTCACTTGTGCTCAGAACTTCACACGCAGCTCCTGGAGCCCACCAAAGGCTCTGATTATCCTCATTGTTTGGGCGTTTTTCTTTCTTCCAGGCTTAGCCAAAGAGCTTGGTAAATAAATAAGCCACTGGCGATGGGGGATATCTCTTTATGTGTGAAATGTGAATTCAGTCCAGGAACATTAGATTGCCCCTTTGATGTTTTAAATGAGATGAGAAAGAAGGAGGATTTGAGAACCCATTTTGGTTATCATCCTCCTCAATATTTACATCCACTCACCCAGGAAGGGTACAGATGGTCCCCAGCCTCTGGGCTGTGGTTTCAAAGCTTTTCTCCTGCAAAAGATTCTCTTTCTTCCATGTACCGATTACCACCTCCATGTTCTCTGGGTGTGAAACCATTTTGGTTTCCAACATATGTTTCTCAAGTAATAATTAATTCATTTTTTCTATTTGAAATCCATAAAAAGATGCCTCTACCTGCTGATCAGGACCTCGAGTTGGTTTATTTTCCATTTTTGGCTTTGCTTTTAGCTAAGGGGTTTGGTGATTCATTCTGTTGGTTCTTACGGAGGGATTTCTGCAATGCTCTGGGAAGTTGTTGAAACATGTCTGGAGTTGGGTTCTTTCTTTGTGGTAGAAGGAATGGCATCACCTGGAGCCCACAGGCCTGGTCATCTGTGCTGCTAAATGAGGCCAAGCTCAGGGTTTAAGACACTCACAGTCCCCCGAGTAGTCCTCAGCCGCTCCCAGCAAAAACGCTTTTCCTAGAAGCTCTTCTCGGTGTGGATTCACTCCCCAGACCCACTGGTCTCTTCTAATTCCGTCGTCACCACCAGAAAACGGGGGGTGAGTGATGGGTCGTATCCCTGTGTAGAGGACAGATGTTCCCTGCCACGGCCCCCCGTTGCTTTGTGTGCTGGTGGGGTTGCTTTAAAAATGTCTCGTTCCTCCGGTGCTGGGCTCAGCAGTGTTCACTACTTCGAGACGAGAGCAGAAAAGTGTAAGCTCCGTGGGCCCTGTGAAATGTCATTGCTGCTCTTTGAAAATGTATGTTCCAAGGCAGGTTTTGGAGGCAACACTCCTGGACAGGGCAGGCCCAGGGAGGGCGCCTTCACTGCTGGGCAGAGGGTCTCAGGGTGGGTTCCTCGGTGACAAAGCGGACGGAGATGGTCAAGTCTTCTTCCAGCAAAGGCCCTCAGTTAGCTGATTTGCCCCAACTCCAGTATGTCTGTCAAGTGCTGGGCTGCAGTCCTCCTTGGCATGGAGGGATCTGCCTGGGGATACCCGCCTCACAAGTTTCCAGAGTACCCGCTTCCCTCCCCTCACTGCAGCCTCTCAGCATGGCTGGATGTGGAGGCAATGAGACTGTGTGAAGTGTCTTCTGAACAGGGAACGATCTTTTCTTTCCCGGTGTGATCTGCACTTATACGACGGAGTTGCCGGCTTAGTTTACGTTTGCTGGAGTCCTTGTGCGGTGGGGGTGGGGTGGGACTGACTGTGTCTGGCCCCCTGGCATGGGGCCCAAAACCACTTACAGGCTCCAGACAGGATTCCTCAGAAGCAGGTGGCAGCAGAGAGGCCAAACCACCCACTCACAGCTGCTCCAAGGGTGGGGTGGTGGGGACTTCCTTCTGCTCCAGAGAGCCTCCGTCTCCATGTCTGTTAAATGGGGATAAGATGCCCCTGAGGGGAAGTTGTGAGAACTGAATGAGGAAATGTGTGAAATGTCCCTAGAACAGTACGTGATCTAAATTCAGTTTTTCTCCAAAGCAAATTGACAGATTTTAATTTTCCGTGTTCCCTTCTCATCACTGTCTCTATACCCAGATGTTTCTTCGCCTTTATTAAAAATGCTTGCAGAGACATTAGTCATCTCACCAAAGTTCACCCACATCCCTACCCATCGGAGCAATTACTTTCTTTGTTTATATTATCTTTTCTGATGCTAACATATTTATATAGGTAGAGACACAGAATGCAGTTTTATATTCTTTTTATCATTTTTAAAATATGTTTCTAGTTTTTCCATGTAGTGACAGGGTCTGCGTCATCATTTCTTTTATGGCTGTTACGAGCCCCTGGAGTTGGTTCACTCTAATACTTAGCTGTCCCCTTATTGATGCTGCCATAAAAAATTTAAGCAGGTAGTTTTCATTTTCATTTTGTTCCCTGGAATGAATCAGTTACATGACTGAGCCAGGGAGTGTGAATGGATTTACAGCTGGTGCGCAGTGGCATTCAATTCTTCCTCAAGACGAATGTGCATTCCCACCTGGGCAGTGCCCTGCATCCTGCTGGCGACTTTTCTAACTCCTGCTCATTTGACAGGAGGAGCTGAGGGCAGGAAGGGGACGGCATCATTGCTTTAATTTGCTTTTTTTTTGTTGTTTGTTTCCTAGTAAGGAGGAACAGTTTTCTGTTTTAATTACTACTCACATTTTCTCCTTTGCACATTACCTGCTCCTGTCCTCACCCTCTGTTTTGGGACTCACGCCGGAAGATGGTGCTAAGAGTTGAGAGCTTGCCATCACTCTCTCTTCAAGATGCTGCTTCCTCCCACCCCCACCCTCTGTCTGCATTTGAGGCCCCTGTGGATGGAAGGCTGGCGGTGCCCTCGTCTGGAGAGCACATATTAAATAGGGCTATTAAAGACACAATTAATGAATGTGCACTGAGTCTCCTAAGAATCCTTCTGTGTAATTGCAATAAATACACTTTTAATGACAAGTATGGTCTTTTCATTCTGAAAGTGGCTCGAAGCTGAATGTGTTTTTAATTGTCCTGCATTTGACGGGCCGCATGTCAGCGGCACCCCCTCCTGGCTTCCCTGATGATCCAGTGCTCTGCCCCTTTCTTCTTGTGGTGGTGATGGGGGTCTCCTGCTCAATCTCAGGCCCCCTTGAATCGGTGCAAAAGGCTGGGGGTGAGGAGGGAAGCACCATTCTTCCCTGGAAAGCCCCTGGTTGGCATCAGGGTTTGAAGTGTGCAGGGCGTGCTCCTCCACGTGGTCTTGCCCTCACAAGCCACAGAAGCCACAGAGGGTTGAGCAAAGCCCAATGTGTAGACTGCGGGGTCTCACCAGAGGCACAAGAAAGTCACTTAGAAAAGCCCTTATAAAGTGCTGCAGTTTGGGCCAGCCAGGGAAGGCGTGAGTTCAAGGTAGGTCCTCCCAGAGGTTTTCCCCGGGAGAGGATCTGGTACAGCACTTCTCAGACTCCACGGGCACTCGAATCTCCTGGGATCTTCCTGCAAGGGACACATGGTCAGATTCCACCGGTCTAGGGTCTGGAGGGCAACCCAAGACTTTGCATTTCTAACAAGCTCCCGAGTGCTGCCCATGCTGCTGGTCTGGGGACCACACTTCAAGTAGCCAGAGGTTGGGCTGGTTAGGACCGAGGTTTAAAATCCTTCCAGGGTACTTGAAATAACATACAAGCCATACCCCCTGCAAAAACCCCACCCCCGGCTCCTACCCCATCCCCAGTCTCAGCTCCTCCCACTCTACCTCTTACTGTTCAGTGTCCAGTGACAGTAGCCTCTTGGCTGACCCTGGACTACACTAAGCTCAGTCCCTGTAAGGGCTTGTGCATGCTACGGCTGCTGCCTGGAGTGCATGTGGCACCAACCCCAGGTACTGGATCCTGCCCCCCATTCAGTCTCCCCATAAACCTCTTTTCTTCAAAGAAGCTTCCCTCACTACTCAGTGCAAAGAGGCCCCCAGGCATTCTTTATAACCTCTCTCATTGAAATGTGGGAGTTCCTGTTTATGGTTTGCCCCACCACCACCACCACCACCACCACCACTAGAACATAGGCTGGTTGAGGATGCGAGGATGGAGACCTGCCAGGTTTATCTTATTGATCACCAGATCCCTGGAACCAAACTCAGATCTGGCATAGGAGATACATGTTGGGCATTGGATGAATGGATTGACAGATGGACAGCCGGGTGGATGGATGAATGGACAGATGGATGGATGGACAGATGGACGAATGGCTTGACAGATGGATGGATGAATGGATGGATGGATGAATGGATGGATGGACAGATGGATGAATGGATTGATGGATTGATGGATGGATGTATGGATGGATGGACAGATAGATGAATGGATTGATAGATGGATAGAAGAATGGATGGATGGATGGGTGGATGGGGAGATGGATGGATGGATGGATGAATGGAAGAATAGGTGGATAGATTAATGGATGGACATATGGATGGATAGATGAATGGAGAGATGGATGAATGGATAGATAGATGGATAGATGAATGGATGGATGGATGAATGGATAGATGAATGAATGGATTGATAGGTGGATAGATGAATTGATGGACAGGTGGATGGATGGACGGACAGATGGATGAATGGATTGATGGATGGATGAATGGATGGATACATGGATAGATGAATGGATGGATAGATGGGTGGATGAATGGATGGATAGATGGATGGACTGATAGATGGACAGATGGATGAGTGGATTGATGGATGGATGGATGAATAGATGGATATATGGATGGATGGGTGGGTGGATGGATGGATGGATGGACAGATGAATGAATGGATTGATGGATGGATAGACAGATGAATGGATTGATGGATTGATAAATGGATGGATAGGCAGACAGATGGCTGGATAAATAGATGGGTGGATGGACTGATGGATGGACAGATGGATGGGTGGATGGAAGAAAGGATGGATGGTGATGTGGTTTTTGGGAAACACTGCTGAGACCGAGAAGACCCTTTACATTTACAGGGTCATCTTAGGGGATGCTGTGGAAGCCAGGAAATCAGAGTTGGCTCTGATTCTGTCAGGAGGAGCAACAGGGTTCTGCAAGCATTCTGAGCTGGAGAGAAAGCTTACCTTGGGCTGCTCCCTATGTCCTGCCTCCTGCTGTGATGCAGCCTCAGGGATCACCCTTGCTTCACACTGAGCACGGCTGTTGGGCAGAGTGGATTTGAAACAGAGGGACAGTCCTATAGACCAGGGGACTCTGTGCCTGTGCCATCCCTGAACAAGGACCACACTAATGCTGGGCCAACCCTACCACTTCCTGGGTGCATTTGACCTCAAGCAGGACCTTCATCCAGGGGCAGTCTCAGGATAATTGGGGGTGGAGCTGGTCTCAGGTTTTCTCTAGAATGACTTGGTTGAATCCTCTCCTTTTTGTTAGGGATAGGAAGTGATTCTTTTTCGTTATCTTCACTTTAATTAAGAAATCTTGAACATATCCTGAAAAGTACCTACCATGGTAGGACACATGCCCAGGTACTCATGAAACAGAGCCAAATGAATGTTCACTAAATAATCCATCATTGCCTTCTTCCCGGCCTCCCCTGTGGTTAATTTGGGGTCGCATGATTAGTGTGGGCCAGTGGATGGTGAGCAGGAATAATGTAGGTGCCATTGAAATTTAGGGCTTCAGTTTTTACCACACCAGAGCCGAGTCCAGCTCAATGCCTGTAATCTAGCTGTCATCAATGTCAACTTTTTCCATATATGTTTGGAATTGCTCTCTCTCAAAGAAATACACTATGATAGCTTCTCTCCTCCATCCTCTCACACCCACCCTCACCACCCACCTGGAAGTAACCTCTACCCTGAAATTGGTGTGGGTCATCCCCCTTTTATATTAAAAACATAAAACACAATATACACATCATAATGTATCTTGATTGTCTGTCTGTATGTATATATGTATGTCTCCCTGCAATCAATATGTTCTGCTGCTTAGCTTGTTTTGCAAAGAATGGCATTACTTTGCCTTTTGAAGTTTGCTTTATGTGCCCAACTTTGTTTAGGTAATTTGTCCATGTAGCACGTGTAATCTATTTGATTTATGTATTCCCCTGCTGTGGGAGAGCTAGGATTTCTATCCTGAGATTTTGCCACTCCAATCAGGGCTGCAGCGAGCACCTGTGAACACGTCTCCAGTCAGATGCTTGGATAGGGTGGAAGATGTGTGCACAACTTTCTTTTTCTCTACCTATTGCCAGCTTATCTGTGAGGTGACTCACTGCTCCACACCTTGGAGTCATCAGACTTTCCATGTTTGCACTCAAGTGGGTGTGAGATTACAGCTTAATCTTGTTATTTTGCATCTCCCTCATACCTGGTAAGATGGAACATATTTTTCTGTGTTTATTGACTTTTTGGGTCTCGTCCTCTGTGACTCACCTGCTCATATCTCGTGCCTGTCTTTTTACATTGGGTTGCTTAACTTTTTCTTGACCCGTACCTCTCTACTCTAAAAAGCCCATGTCATTTCCAGGCCCCTTAATTTTAAGATGTGCCCTCCAAATGTGTCTTGAACTCCTGCCAGGTACCATTCATTCTTTCCCAACACCTTCTAAGGAGGTTTCCTCCTAAGAATGTTTTGCCATACCACATTCATGTCTCGAAGTGCAATTGTTAGAATAGCAATTCTGATGGATGGTGTATTAGTCAGCTATATGGCAATAACGAACCCAGTGGCATGCACTCAGCATTTATTCTCACATCACTGTGTTGACTGTGGTTTGGTTACTTTGGCCAAGGCTTGGCTGGGTGTTCAGGCTGTTGGCTGATGGGCTTGGGTCTGCTTCATATCTGTTTATACTGGGACTCGAGCTGACAGGAACAGGACTGAGGCCACCAGGACATGTTCTTCTTATGCAGAACACCAGAGCTCAGGAACCAAGCTCAACCACACAAGCACATTTTAAGACTTCTGCTCAACTCACATTTGCTAGGGTTCCATTTGCCAAGCCATGGTCAGGTTCAACCTCAGTGGGGCAGGGGGAGTACAGTTTGAGGAGGTTGGTGGGGTGGAGGGAAGGGAATGCTTCCTGAATGGTAATTTAAGGTATTTCAAGTAATAGCTGATTCCAGAGAATACATATGGTGTGGTCATATTTGATAAATATATTTTAGGGAAGAAAGTTTCAGATTTCTTTACGGTAGGATTTATCAGCGTCTCTGATACACTAATACACATTATACTTCTCCAGGAGAAGGTTACACAACATTTCTTAATCTCATTTAATTCCATAATCTTTAATTTTTCTTTAAATTTTATTATGATTTATATATATATAAATTTATGAGGTACAAGTATAATTTTGTTACATGTGTAGATTGCATAATGGTGAAGTCAGGGCTTTTGGAGTATTCATCACCCGAATAATGTACACTGTATGCACGAAGTAATTTTGAATACTCCACCCCCCCGTACCCCATCACAATTCCAAGTCTCCACTGCCTGTCATTTTCTCTGCCTCCATGTGTGTATATATATATATATATATATATATATATATATATATTTTTTTTTTTTTTTTAGTATCCATTTATGAGTGAGAACATGTGGTATTTGTTGGCTGTAAATATGTGGCTTTATTTCTGGGTTCTACGTTCTGTTCCATTGTCTTTCTGTGTCTGCCTCGTTTCACTTAAGGTAACAACCTCCAGTTCTATTTATGTTGCTGCAGAAGACATGATCTCATTCATGTTCATGGCTGAGTAGTCTTTCATTGTGTATATACGCCACATTTTCTTTATCCAGTCATCCATTGATAGACACTTGAGTTGATTCCACATCTTTTCTATTGTGAATAGTGCTGCGATAAACATATGAGTGCAGGTGTCTTTTTGATATCCTAATTTCTTTTCCCTTTTCCTCTGGGTAGGTACCTAGTAGTGGGACTGCTGGATCTAATGGTCATTCTATTTTTAGGTATTTGAGCAATCTCTGAACTGTTTTCCGTAGAGTCTGTACTAACTTATATTTCCATGAACAGTGTACAAGAGTTGCACTGTTCCACATCCTCACCAACATCTGTTATTTTTTTGTCTTTTTATTAATACCCTTCTGACTGGTGTAAGATGATATCTTATTGTGGATCTAATTTGCATTTCTCTGATGATTGGTGATGTTGAGCATTTTTTCATCTGCCTGTCGACCATGTGTATGTCTTCTTTTGAAAAATGTCTATTTGTGTCCTTTGCCCACTTTTAAATATGATTATTTGTTTTTTGTTGTTGTTGAGTTGTTTGAGTTCCTTATAAAGTCTGGATATTAATCCCCTGTTGGATGAATAGTTTGCAAATATTTTCTCCCGTTGTGTAGGTTGTCTGTCCATGCTGTTGGTTATTTCTTTTGCTGTGTGGAAGCTTTTCAGTTTAATTAAGGCCTGTTTGCCTATTTTTGTTTTAGTTGCCTGTGCTTTTCTGGTCTGAGTCATAAATTCTTTGCCTAGACAAATATTCAGAAGAGCTTTCCCTAGGTTTTCTTCTAGCATTTTTATAGTTTTGGGCCTTACATTAAAGTCTTTAATCCATCTTGAGTTGATTTTTGTATATGGTGAGAGATAGGGGTCCGTTTTCATTCTTCTGCATAGGACAATTCATTTTTCCCAGCACCCATTATTGAAGAGTGTGTGTTTTTCCTAATTATGTTTTTGTCAGCTTTGGCAAAAATGAGTTGGCTGTAAATACGTGGCTTTATTTCTGGGTTCTCCATTCTGTTCCATTGGTTTATGTGTCTATTTGTATAACAGTACCATGCTGTTTTAGTCACTGTAGCCTTGTAATATAATTTGAAGTTAGGTAACGTGGTGCCTCCAGCTTTGTTCTTCTTGCTTAGGATTTCTTTTGCTATGTGGGCTCTTTTTGGGTTCCATTTGAATTTAGGGTTATTTTTTCCAATTCTGTGAAAAATGAGTTGGTATTTTGGTAGGAATTACATTGAACCTGTAGATTGCTTTGGAATGTATGGTCATTTTAACAGTATTAATTCTTCTAATCCATGAGTATGAAATGTTTTTTCATTTGTGTCATCTACAATTTCTAAGGAGGCGTTTGTAGTTTTCCTTGTAGAGATCTTTCACTTCCTTGGTTAAATTTATTTGTAGGTATTTTTCTGGTAGCTATTTTAAATGGGATTGCCTTCTTGATTTCATTCTTAGCTAGATCAATATTGGTATAAAGAAACACTGCTGATTTTTGTGGCACTGATTTGGTATCCTGCAACTTTACTAAATTCATTTATCAAATCTGTTTTTTCATGGACTCTTTAGTTTTTCCAGCTATAAGATCATGTCATCAGTAAACAGGGATAATTTTACTTCCTCTTTTCCAATTTGGATGCCTTTCATTTCTTTCTCTTGGCTGATTGCTGTGGCCAAGACTTCCAGTACCATGTTGAATACGAGTGGTGAAAGTGAGCATCTTGGTCTCACTCCAGTTCTTAAAGGAAATACTTCCAACTTTTCTCCATTCAGTATAATGTTGGCTGTGGGTTTGTTGTATATAGCCTTTATTATTTTGGAGTATATTCCTTCTTTGCCTAGTTTGTATGTGATGTATCATATTTATTGATTTGCATATGTTAAACCATCATTGTATCCTTGGTACAAAATCCACTTGATTGTGGTGTATTATCTTTGTGGTGTGTTGTTGGGTTCAGTTTGCTAGTGTTGTGTTGAGGATTGTTGGATCATTATTCATATTGACCTGTCGTTTTTTTTTGTTGTGTCCTTTTCTGGTTTTGATATCAGGGAAACGCTGGCTTCATAGAATGAGTTTGGAAGTATTCCCTCCTCTTCAGTTATTTTTGAGCAGTTTGAGTAGGATTGGTATCAGTTCTTCTTTAAATGTTTGGTAGAATTGAGTGGTGAAACCATTGGATCCTAGGCTTTTTTTTTTTTGATAGGAGACTTTATGACAGCTTTGATTTTGTTACTAATTGTTGACTTATTGAGGTTTTCTGTTTTCTCATGGTTCAATCTTGGTGGGTTGTATGTGTCCAGGAATTTATCCATTTCTTCCAGGTTTTTCAGTTTGTTGGCATATAGTTGTTTATACTTGTCCTAGTAACTCTTCGTATTTCTGTGGTCTCAGTTGTTATGTCTCTTTTTCATTTCTGATTTTATTTATTTTGAGTTTTCTCTCTTCTTTTCTAGTCGGTCTACTTTGTTGATTTTGTTTATCTTTTCAAAAGACCAACTTTTCATTTCATTGATTTTCTGTATAGTTTGGTAGTCTCAATTTCATTTATTTCTGCTCCGATTATTAGTATTTCTTTCTATTAATTTTGGATTTGGTTTGTTTTTTCTAGTTCCTTGATTTTTTAAAGTTTATGTTTATTGCTATAAACTTTCCTCTTCGTATTTCCTTGCTGTATCCCATAGATTTGGGTGTGTTGTGTTTCCATTTTAGTTTGTTTCAAGAAATTTTATAATTTCTTTCTCAATTTCTTTATTGACCCATTGGCCGTTCAGGAGCATGTTGTTTAATTTCCATGTGTTTGTGGAGTTTCTGATGTTCTTCTTGTAATTGATTTCTAGTTTTATTTATTTGCGGTCAGAAAAGATACTTGATATGATTTCTACTTTTAAAAATTTGTTCAGACCTGTTTCGTGGCCTAAGATATGGTCTATTCTGGAGAATGTTCTATGTGCTGATGAATTCTATAGCATTTGGGTGAAATGTTCCATAAATGCCAGTTAGGCCTATTAGGTCTGGTGTGTAGTTTAACTCTGATGTTCCTTTGTTGATCTTCTGTCTGGGTGATCTGTCCATAGCTGCTCATAACTGAGAGGAGTGTTAAAGTCCCCTGCTGTTACTGTATTTCAGTCTATCTCTTCCTTTAGATTTATTAATGTTTGCTTTATATACTTGGGAGATTCGTGTTGAGGGCATAGGTATTTAGAATTGTTATATCCTCATGGTGCATTGACCCCTTTATCATTATATAGTGACCTGCTTTGTGTCTTTTTACAGGCTTTGATTTGCAGCCTATTTCATTGGCTATAAATAGAGCTACTCCTGCTCTTTTTTGGTTTCAAGTTGCATGGAATAACTTTTTCCAGCCCATCACTTTCAGTCTATGTGTCATTATAGGTGAAGTGGGTTTCTCATAGGCATGATATAGTTGAGATTTGTTTCTTTATTCATTCAGCCACTCTATACCTTTTCATTGGAAAATCGAGGTCACTTACATTCAGTACTATTATTCATAAGTAAGGACTTACTATTGCCATTTTGTTGCTTGTTTTCTGTTTATTTTGTATATCCCCTCTTCCTTTCTTACTATTTTTCTTTGTGGTTAAGTGCTTTTTCTCTAGGAGTATGTTTAAATCCATTGATACTTATTTTTATTAAATCTATTATAGGTTTTTGCATTATGGTTATCATGAGGCTTATAAAATCATATAGCATGTTATTTTAAAGTGATAATAATTTAGATCACAAAGAAAAGAATAGAAACAAAAAAAATTATGCCCTTTATCCTCATCTCCCCCATATTTTTACTTTTAGTTGTTTCAGTTTACGTATTTCTATATTACCTATTTCTCAGCAAGTTGTTGTAGCTATTACTGTTTTCAATAGATGTATCTTCTGGGCTTCATACTAGAGTTATGAGTGGATTGTGTATCACAATTATGGTATTAGAGTATTCTGGGTTTGTCCATGTCCCTAATTTTACCAATGGATTCTAAACCTTCAGGGTGTTTTTTATTTTTTATGTATTTTTTGCATGCTAGCGTTTTAATTTTTTTTCCTTTCAGATGGAAAAACTCCCTTTAACCTTTCTTCTAAGACAGATGCGGGGGTGGTGAATTCCCTCAGCTTTTGTTTGTCTAGAAAAGACGATATCTGTCTTTCATATTTGAAGGATAACTTTGCTGGCTATAGTATTCTTGGATGACAGTTTTTTTTTTCTTTTAGCACTTTGAAAATGTCTTTCCACTCCTTCCTGGCCTGTATGATTTCCTTTGAGAAGTCTGTTGCCGGATGAATTGAAGCTCCTGTATGGGTTATTTGCTTCTTTTCTCTTGCTGCTTTATAAATCCTCTCTTTGTCCTTGACCTTTGAGAGTTTGATTATTATATGCCTTGGGGGTAGTCTTGTTTGGGTTGAATCTGTTTGGTGTTCTCTGACCTTCCTGTACCTGGATATTTATATCTTTTTCAAGTTTTGGAAAGTTTTCTGTTATTATTTCTTTGAATAAGATTCCTAACTCTTGCTCTTCCTCTACTTTCTCCTGAACACCGATAATTCTTACATTTGCTCTTTGAGGTAATTTTCTGTATTTTGCAGGTGATCTTTGTTCCTTTTTATTCTTTTTTCTTTTTTCTCCTCTGACTGTATTTTCAAATAGCCTGTCTTTAAGCTCACTGATTCTTTCCTCTGCTTGACCCATTCTGCTGTTGAGAGCCTCTAGTGAAATTTTCAGTTCCACAGGTGTTTTTCTCAGTTCCAAGATTTCTCTCTGTTAAATTACTCTGATAAATATCTGAATTGCTTTTCTGTGTTATCTTGAAGTTTTCTTAAAGATGCAGTTTTTAATTCTTGGTCAAGGAGCTCACGTATCATCATCTCATTAGAGTCAGTTACTGGTTTCTTACTTTGTCCATTTTGGGAGATCATGGTTCCCTGTTTGCTATTGTTTCTTGTAGATGTATGTCAGTGTCTTTGCATTAAAGGATTCATTATTTACTATAGTCTTCTCTGTCTGACTTGTTTTGGTTAAAGATTCTTTACTGCTAGGCCACTGCCTCCTTTTGGACTCTAAGTGGTGCCTTAAGCCCAGGTTCTCCTTGGCTGTAGTAAAGGACTGGAGTGCTGCCTTTCCCAAATAGGGGAGGTCTCAAAGGGGATTTCTGGGTAGTGTGGGGATGGCAGCCATGGGTTCATGCCCAGGAGACCTGTAGAATAAATCTCCAACAGCATGGTGCTGCTGAACAGACACTCTGATTTGGAGTCCCCTTTGGCCAAATTACAGAGCAGAGTTTTCACGGCTGGGCTTGGTAGTCCTTCCTCCCTTGTCTCTGATGTCCTCAGGGATATTTCTCCCTTCAGCACTTGAGTTGTTTTCTATGGATCATGGCAGGAACAGTCTCCCGCCAGAGAACCCAAGATGATGGGGAAGCTGGTTGTCCACCTCAATCCCACTTTTTCCAGGGCAGAAACAGTGAGTTGGTGGTAAGTTTTCTGCAGGCTCAGTGCCAGGCAGGATGGGGACAGAGGCATCAAGGATGTGGAAGTCCAATTTTCTTACCATCTGCTCTGAGTCTTTTCACTTCTCTGTGGCTCTGGGAACAGTCTCATCTTCACATTTGCATTCTGAAATATTGCTGGTGATCATCTCAGTGTTGTATATTTGTTTTTGGTTTTCTGTGGGTGGGAGTGAAGCCAGGTTGCTTCTATGCTACCATTTTGGAACCGGAAGTCTCCTTGTTTTTTTCTGTCTTTTAATGTATAGAATTTTAACATATGTTGTGAATGCAGTCTGAGGAATTTGAGCAGTGAAGCCCAACAGCAATGCAGCGTCCTCTGACGCTCACTGATATAAAGAAGCATCAAAGTCCTTCTCTGCAGAGGCCAATGATGGCCCTGGGGGACATCCCCATGGTGTGACCATGCTGAAATTGACAAAGCCTTCTGCAGAGTGTCTTACCAGCCTATGGGCTGTCCTGGGTATCACAGCATTCCTCTCTGTGCCCCCATAATGTTGGAGCAAACAAAGAGCTGTCATGCTGATTAGGCTGTTCTTGGTAGATAACGCTGAGAGTTCATAGCCAGTTTTCAGATGGGAAAATTTAAGAGGTGATATGCTTTGCCCTTTGGTCATCCAGAAAGAGGGGGACTTCAGAGAGAAACAGTCTTACACTGTAAGGGGAACTCTACCCTTAAGGTGATGACAAGCATGGAAAGTCCTCTGTGCACATAGACAGGCCTTCGTTTCAATTCTGGCTCCATATTTCCCTTCTTGGTGACCTCTCTGGGTCTCCTCTGTAAAATGAGCCTAAACATTCAGACCTCATTGTAGACCTCATGGGCTCTTATGAAGATGACAGCAGACAATGCGTGTAAAATGCTGGGCACTTAGTAGATGTCAGAGGTCTGTTTCCTTCCTTCTCCCATTACCTAAAATGTCCCATTGGCTTTTCACCAGCTGCATTTTTGCTCCCAGGCCAGTCTCCCTCAGTGTTTGCTTTAACATCACCATGGAGATCTGAGTTTGATTTAAACAAGAGTCACAGCAGATAGGGATTGAGAGAGAGGCCCTGACTGTAAAGCTTTCAGGGTTACAGTGTATTCAATAAATAATTCACTGTGAATCAATGATTTGATGAGGTTAGGCTCTGAGGCCTTGAGGTGCCTTTAAAATGTTCTGGGACAAGATCTGAGGTGACTGAGAAATCACGAGAATTTGAGGAGACTTCTCAGCATTCCTAGCCCCTGGGCCCAGCAGCCTCTTCTCTCCATCCTTTTTTTTTTTTTTTTTTTTTTTTTGAGACGGAGTCTGAATCTGTCGCCAGGCCAGAGTGTAGTGGTGTGATCTCGACTCACCGCAACCTCTGCCTCCCGGGTTCAAGCGATTCTCCTACCTCAGCCTCCCGAGTAGCTGGGACTACAGGCATGCATCACCACGCCCAGCTAATTTTTGTATTTTTAGTAGAGACAGGGTTTCACCATGTTGGCCAGGATGGTCTCCGTCTCTTGAACTCGTGATCCACCCACCTTGGCCTCCCAAAGTGCTGGGATTGCAGGCATGAGCCACTGCGCCTGGCCTCTTCTCTCCATCTTGACTTTAATACCTGCCCTCCCTTGGGTCCGGGCTCCAGGGACCCCTCTGTCACTGCTTCTAGCTTCTCTGCCTACTGACTTTCCTTCTTTTTCTCTTTCCTCTCTTCCCTTCTGCCTTTTTCCTTCCCTTGCTCCCCCTTTCCCATGTATCCATCCACCTATCTGATCAACCATCAATGCTTTCTTCCTTCCTTCCATTCCTCTATCTTCTCTCCTCATTTCTATCCACCCTTCCCACCTTTGCTCCTCTCTCCCTCCTTCTCATTCTTCCTTCCATTTGCTATCCATCCACCCATCCATTTCTTCATTCACTCATCCATCATCTTAACCATCCACCCATCATCCACCCCTCCATCCACCTACCTGCCTTTCCTCCCTCCATCCATTTAGGCTCTGGGGTGGGGTGAGCTATGATAACTGATATCTAAGACTCAGAGTTTAGTAGGGGTACAGACAAGGAACCAATCCATGACAGTGGCATGTAATCTACCGTATGGTGGGGCTGAAAGAACCAGGGAAGCCTTAGACACCCCTACTCCATTGGAGCAGAGGAAGTGGTAGTCATGTAAGACTTCCTGGAAGGAGATTCACCCCTGGTTCCCAGACACCACAGCCTCCCTTCTCTTAAAGCTGCCCTCCCTACATAGTGCTTTCAACACTGCTACAGCCACGATGCCTCTTTGTGTCTGCTCCCAGCCCAGCACACCCCCACCATCCCTAGCATGTATGCTGCCAAGGTCTATCAAGTCTGTGCAGCAGATGCCAGCCATCCTTCTGTAATCCTAGGCTGTGTGGCAGAAATGCAGCTGCTGGCCCAGGAGGTGGTAGGGACACTCTGCCCCTCTGTACTCTGGCTGGGCCTGGGTCCCAGCTTCTGCTGTAGGAGCTGCCCGGAGTGTGTCACGGCCCATCGGGGCTCACCCTGGTGTTGTGTGCCACCCGCGTGTCACTCTCCTTTCCTCCCCTGCATCCTGCTCACTCGGCCTTGCTCCTGCAGGCCGATGGCCACCCCCTGGAGTTAGTTCTCAGGGAAAAAGCAAACTGGGGCAGAAAGGGGTCTCAACTTCTTCTGAGTGAGGCTGGCAGCTTCTGCTCCAGCCAGAGCGTTTGTTCTGAATTTAGCTTTCTGACAGTGTGCAGGGGGGTCTGGCTTCTCTCCCTGGCAGAGTGACAGCCCTGCCCATCCAGACGACCCCGTGCATTCTGAGCTCACAGCCAGCTTCCTAGCCCATAAGATCGTCTCAGATGCTTTTTTAAGAACTGGGGGACAGATGCTCAGTGGAGATGGGGAGCCTGAAATGTCGGGTGATGATTTGATTCTGCACCTGTGATCAGCTGAGAATCGTCTCTCAGGGTTGGTCCTCCCAGCTCTAGAGGATTCTCCCTCCAGAGTTCTCCCATCAGCCCCTCCCCACCCCTGGGGCGGGGGCCCTCCCTGCAGGTCTTGCTCCTCCTGCTGGGTCTCCCCAAGCACCCTTGCTGCTTCACCTGTCCCCCTGGGCTCAGCTGTCCTTTCCCCATGGGAGCCCTTTTGGATCCCTCCTCCCACCCAGGCTGGGTCTTGCCCCACCCCTGGGCTCTCCCAGGGCCTCCGCCACAGCCCCCATCCTGTCCCCACCATGGCAGGCACCTCCTTGTCTCTAGGGTCTGGGTTTTTGTGTTCTCTGCACCTGGCAGAAGCTCTGGGACCACCATGAGCCCAGGGGCTTTCAGAATGGAATCCACATCCACGAGGCATCATGCGTGAATTTCAGTGTTAACCGCCTCCCATTTCCTCAAACCAAGGTACTGGGTAGTGCCTTAAGGTACTGGGTAGTGCTTTAAGAATCTCTTCTTAAAGACATTCTTAATATGGGCAGGGCCAAATCCCTCTCCAGAAAAATTCTCCCTCAAAAAGTACCACATCTTTATATACTGTAATTATAATTTGTGATCATCATAAACACGGCGTAAAAACAATCCCCTGTGTTAACCCCACCTCATGAGATTCGAACTATTCATATTTGAGATAAATATTCTCACTAGTCTTAAGATGCAAATATGTACGTGATTTATAAATTTAGAATTCCAATTGAATTATGTATTAAACATGTTCTTATGATCCTCCGTATTTTCACAGCTGCTTTTTTTTTTTTTTTTTTTTGAGATAGAGTCTCATTCTGTCACCCAGGCTGGAGTTCAGTGGTGTGATCTTGGCTCACTGCAACCTCCACCTCCTGGGTTCAAGTGATTCCCCTGCCTCAGCCTTCGGAGTAGCTACATGCGCCCGCCACCATGCCTGGCTAATTTTTGTGTTTTTAGTGGAGATGGGGTTTTGCCACATTGGCAAGGATGGTCTCAAACTCTTGGCCTCAGGTAATCTGCCTGCCTCGGCCTCCCAAAGTGCTGGGATTACAGGCGTGAGCCACTGCACCTGACCCACAACTGCTATTTTTTAATGGCTGTATAATATAGTTTCACATGAAGGAGGTGTTAATTATTTAACCAAGTCCTCATTTTTAGACCTCTGAGTCATTTCTGATTTTCACTAATGCCGAGATGTAAAGGGAGCTGTGGTGGGTGTCCTTGTACATACCCTGCCCCACGTCTCTATGTTCTTAGGGTAAGCTCTTCTGTGTGCCCTTTTCCTCCTGCCTATCGGATTGCAGGGTGCTGGGATTCTGGCGTGGCTTTGGGTGTGTGGAGGGCCTGTCTCTGAGGCTGTTGCTGATGTTACTGGAGGATGTAGAGACGAAAGAGCCATTTAGGGAAGAGGTAGTAAGATACATGTGAGATCAGCCTCCTTTCCTGGTGTGAATGTATCTCCAGCTAAAGGAAAGCTCGACAAGGCGAGACAAGGATACGCTTGCTATTCTGTAAATCCCATTAACGGATGCAGGCGCTGCTTTAGGCATCAACAATTCAGACTGCACAGAACACTGGGGCCAGCCAACCAGGATCCTGCCAACCAGCAGAAGAACAGAGGACCCAGGGTGGTAGCCCACAGTTGCACATGGCAAGACCTGGCTGCACTTAGGTGGTAAGGAGCCCCGTCCTACCCCCGGGCATGCTGGGATAGGTTCCCCTAGGAGGGACTTTGGAAATAGCTTCTGAGGGATGAATAGAAGTTTTCCAGGCAGGGAAGGGCAAGTGGAACAGAGGAAGGCAGTCTAGGCAGTGGGAGCCGCGGGGCAATGGCTTGGAGTGTTGTACCCAGGCAAGTTAAGGAAACACCACACTTTGAGATGAATTAAGAGTCTTTTATTAAGCCGGCGGCCAAAGAGACAGCTAATGCTCAAAATTCTCTCGGCCACGAGGAAGGGGCTCGATTAACTTTTATACCTAGGTTTAGGAAGGGGAGGGGGACTCAAATGTAATAATTCTACAGAAGTAAAAACATGCAAGAATCAAAAGAATCAAAATGGTTACAGAGTGATAAACAACTTAAAAGACAAATGGTTACAAGAAGAGCAACGGTACCAGGTGCAAGGTTCTAAATCTTTCATTATAATTAGATATAGGGTCTATGCTGGACACGAACTCAAGGTTTTATGTTGTTATTTTTTGGAGAAAATTCCTGGGAACTTCATACATGGTTGGTGTTGGTACCTTATCAGTTAATTGCGCTCCTTTGAAATGCTGAGGATCTGTTTACCCAGGCCAACTCCTCACAAAACGGGGTTGGGTGAGGAGCCCTTAGTGTCTTGTAAATTAAGGGGTCAGTTGGAGTTTGTCCGGCTTTCCTAGCTAGAGAGAGTCTTATTTACATGAGAAGCAAGGCTAGGTGATTAAAGAGACAAGCAGGACAAAATTCAAAGTAATGAGTTAAAGTAAAAACGAGGTAGGCATTTCAGGAGGCTGGGAGCTGCCGGGGTTTTGGGGCACGCCTTGGTAAGTGCATAGGCTGGTGGCCAGGATGTCCTGTTTTCCATGGCTGCCGTAAAAATGACCACAAACATAGGACTTGAAGCAACACAGGTGTGTCATCTTACAGCTCTGGAGGCCACAAGTTCAACCAGGTCCTACTGGGCTCCAGTCAAGATGTGGACCGGGTCGTTTCTCTCCCAGGGCTCTAGGAAAGAATCCATTCTCTTGCCTTCTCCAGCTTCTAGAGTTGGAATGCAGAGGCTGCCTGCCATCCGTGGCTCAGGCCTTCCCTCCCAAGCCAGCAGCGTCACCTCCCTCTGACCCTTTTTTTGTTGTCCCACATTGTTCTCTGACCACAGCCAGAAAAGGTTCTGCCTTTTAGGGACCCCTGGGGTGACACTGGGCCCACCTGGATAATCTAGGATAATCTTCCCATTTCTAGGTCCTTAATCAGACCTGCAAAGTCCCTTTGGCCAGGTAAGGTAATATGCTTGCGCTGTGAGCATTAGGATGTGGACCTGTTTTGGGGACCTTTATTTTGTTGAACACACAGGCATGAAGGCATCTAGAACGATGGTCAGAAGTTATCAGTTGAAGGCCTTGCTGGGGCACCAAGATTGAACACAAGATGTGAAGAATCGTTTCTCGATAACCTAATTTTGTAAACATTCTTGAGCATGCCCTCTGTGCTAGGCACTTTGCCAGGTCTTAGGATTGACCAACCTTGACAAAGAGGAAGGGATGGATAGGGGCCCAACATCCAGTGTTGAGGGCCCTGCAGAAGAGGGCAATTGGGCATTTCAGAGGAGATGATGTCTGAACTGGACTTTGAAGGATGGATAGGAGTTTTCAGGCAGACAAGGGAAACATGATGTGCAGAAACACAGAGGCATGTAGCAGCCTGGTGTGGAGGGACCCTAAGGAGTTTAGAGCGGCTAAAGCGTTAGGTGGGAGGAGGATGGCAGGGGAGTGCACTAGTGATCTAGCCAGGGTTGGATTAAGGAGGCCTCATGTGCCGGCCGGAGGGGCCTGGACTCTGTTCTGTAGGTGATGGGGAGTTAGGCCTGGGATTTCAGTAAGTTAGGCTTGTGGACTCGAGCAAACATTTGGCTGCAGCGTTCGTAGGGGACAGGGAGGAGGAAATTGCAGGGGTTTAGGGAGGCACTTTTTCAGCCAGTGGGCAAAGGAGGCGTGGTATTCAATAGGGTGCTTGGCCCACAGAGCTCCCCCTCCTTGCCCTCCAGGACACAGTTGAGTGCAAAGTCCAAGCATGTGTGTTCCTGGAGGGGCTGAGTCTGGGGCAGGACTCAGTACTTTGCATTCTCCCACTCCCACTGATGCCCTGTGTACGGTGCATACACACACTCATGCACGCTCACACAGACACGCACGCTTCCTCCTCCATACTGACACACTCACACACGCCCACACGTGCATGCATGTGCACATGCACACACACACACATGCAGACACATGCTCACACTTGTGCGTATACACAGACACGCATATGGACACATTCACACACAAGCACACACATGCATGCATGCACACACTTGTGTGCACACTCAGACACGCATGCATGCACTCACTCACACTTGTGCACACACTCAGACACACACGCATGCACACACACTTGTGCGCACACAGACACATGCATGCATGTACACACACGCTTGTGCACACACAAACATGCATGCATGTACACACTTGTGAACACACACAAACATGCATGCATGCACACACACACTTGTGCATGCTCAGACACACACATATGCATGCACACACACGTGTGCAGACACACTGACACATTCACACACACGCACACATACTCTCGCACACACACACCCACACACCCATGCCTCTGCCTGTGGTCTGCAGAAGAGCAGAGCGGGGTCTCCTGCTCTTTGCATTAAAGTGACATTCTGCCCTGGGGATATGATGCATTTTAATGAAGCCCCCCACCCCGGGGTGGGAAACACGAGGAAACTGTCTTTGTTTTCTGTTATGTAGTAAACCTCGCTTGAGTGTGCACTGAAGGATGGAGCCATAAACCTGTTTACAGGGCAAGCAGCATCTGGGATTATGCCGGCGGCCGAGTGGCATGAAGGGCGAGCTAGACTTGTCCAGGGATGATGCTCTTTTTATAAGGGTCCTTGTGGAGTGGCTGAGAGATGGCAGCGCCAGGAAGCCCAAGTCCTGCCTTTCTTGGAGCCCTGCTTTTCCTGTCCACAAAATGGGAGCTGACAGGATTGCATATGGGCCACTCTGGATGGAGTTTGCTTAGCACAGGGGCTAACACAGGGAGCAGTTTTTATTATGCTACGGATGGTAGCTTGGGGGTAGAAGCTAGTGTTTGTCTGAGTTTGGGAGAAGCATGGGCACCCTAATTCTGGAAGTCTCAGCTCTGCCATTTATGAGTGACCTTGGGCAAGTCTTCTGCTGTTTCTAATCCTGTTCTCCCACCTTTAAAACGGGTCTGCTGAGATGGGGCAAAGGTGCTTTGTGAGGTCCTCAGTGACTGTGGGACCCGCTCTTCCCGGAACGTGGCCCTTGGCCCCTATCACTTCCCCTGACCCTGCTGGGCCTCGGCTTGCCCAGGCGTGCACTCCTCTGGTCCCTGCATCAGGCCTCTCCTATCTGCAGAAGATGCAGAGAGCTGAGTCGCCCTTTTCAATTCAATGGGGAGTGAGAAGCGGAGGCCTCTGAGCCAGTCCCAGTTGGGAACGGGTCGCTGAAGGCTCCCAGGGCACATGAAGGGTGAGGGGGAGCAGCCCCACCAAGGGGCAACAAGTTTTCAGTTGATGCCACAGGAAAACATAAGAGTGAGCCAGCAGAAGGCTAGAGGGGCCCTGGGGTCAGTGGAGCTTCATGGCTGGTGTCTGGCTCATCAGATGTTTATGAAGCCCTTACCAGGCACTTGGCCTGTGTCAGGTGCCATCAGCTGGAGGCTCTTACCAGTTACGCTGTCACTTCTTCCTCCTCCTCCTCACCACACCCACCTTCCCTTCCTCCTTCCCTTTTTTCTGAGTTTTTCTGAGCGCTCAGCACATTTCAGGTGTACCCTAGACTCCGGAGATTCAATGTTGAATGAGGCAGACACAGCCTCTGTCCCCATGGGGCTCGCGTTCTAGCAGGGAGGCAGACAAGTCACTGGGTGATGCCCATTCAGTGATATGAGCTGTCCCATAGGGAGGAAGTGCTGCGGAAGTGCACGGGACGGGGCAGCAATGCAGGCCCAGGGGTCAGGCTGGCTGGCCTGGGGGAAGTGCTCTCCCGCCAAGACTTCAGGATGAATCTAAGTTAGCCAACAGTTAGAGGGAGTATTTCAGAGCAGACCACCCATGCAAAGTCTGAGAGACTGACAATGGATGGGACATTAAGCGCGAGGTGGAGTTGGCAGGGCGCAGGACTGTGGGGGTCACAGAGATCATTGTCTCCACTCCACGAGGACCCTTATAAAAATAGTATCATGTCTCAAAAAGTCTAGCTCAGAAATTAGAGGTGATGGAAGCTGTGCCCTCTGCGGGATGAACATTGAAGTTGCAGTGAGGGTGATATATCAGTTAGCTTTTGCTGCGTAACAAATGACCCCCCCCCCCACCAGATTTGTAGATTAAAACAACAGTCATTCATTGAGCTTACGATTCTGTGAATGGGCAATGTGGGCTGGGCTCAGCTGGCTGGATCTTTGGTTATTGACTGGGCTCAATCTTACATCTGTAGTAAGCAGCCAATTATCTTGGTGGCTCTCTTTCTGAGGCTTGGCTGGCCTTTGCCTGGGGCAATGGGGAAGACTGGGCCAAATGACTCTTATCCTCCAGCAGGTTAGCCTGGGCTTATATACACAGGGCACCTGGGCAGAGGTTCAAGAAAGAACGGCAGCACATAGGTCTCAAGGCATGGACTTGGAAGTCACGTAAGATCACTTCTGCAAATCTCATTGGCCAAAGCAAATCACAAAGATTGACCTTTATTCAAAAAGTGGGGAAATAACTCCACTTATTAAAGGAAGGACCTTTGCAAATGGGTGTGGATACAGGGAGGGGATGAATTGCAGCCATTTTTTTCAACAGAGGTATTTGGTTTGGAGAAGAGAAGGTATGAGGCTAGTTCCCAACTGCTGAGTGCTTTCTGGGGTTCAGGAGACAGGCAGTTCCATAGGGTCCTGAGGGCAAAGCTAGGATCCAGGACTCCATCTGGAGAAGACCTTTTTGCTGGGTAGAGGTCTCTCATGGGGTCTGGCTGGCCTTGGACACTGGAGGAACCAGGAAAGGCTGTGTGAGCCTTGGTGAGAGACACATGGCCAGAACTCAGGTTACAGAGAAAGGGTGGCCTCTGAGGTTATAGCAATGGGCCTTGTATTGAATGGACCACATGCTCTGGTTGACCTTTGCAGTCAGTGCTCCAGGCATCCAATCCTCTGCCTATTTGCAAAGCGTTGCAATAAAGAGCCCATAATCTCTCGAGTGCATGGATTTCTTCCTGTGGAAGCTCATCAGTTTCTCACTTTTCCTCTGTAAACACTGGTGTTTTGAGTCAGCCTTCTTCCAAGGCGAGCTGGTGTCATCTGAACTGCAGATTGGCAAGCCGTCTCAGACAAATAGGCCTCTCTGCACTGGTCCAAGGACTTGGCTGAGACATGCTGGGTCTGCAGGACAGTGTAGATGGAAGCCAGATCTCTGGATCTAAGAGGCAGCAAGCTATGTCAGGGTAGGCTTGCTGCTGTAGCAAACAGCCCCAGTGATTCAGTGGCTTCCTAGGATGAAGTTTCTCACTTGTGCAATGGTCCAATGTGGGTATTCCTAGCCAGGTGCTTCCTGGGCAGCTCTTCTCTGAGCATTGTGATGCAGGGACTCAGATTCCTTCCATCCTGTAGCTCTGCACACTCCTCTCCCGCTAACCAGGGCCTAAGAGTCCTCCAGTCTAGCAGGCCGGGGAGACAAGAGAGCATGGATTATACACAGAGGACTTCCAGCCACACTCTGTCAGCCAGATCTCAGCCACTGGGCTGCTCCCATCTGCAAGGGAGGTTGGGAAATGTAGTCCACAATGTGCCTGGGGGGCAAGGATTTGGCTTGTGAACACCCAGCTGGCCCCAGTAGAAAATGGCTGCAGCAACGCCAGTTTTGGAGTCAGCAGACTTGAGTGTCAAGCAGGCTCTCCCATCTCCCATCTAGGGCTCTCTGGGCCTCAGAGTCCCCATCTGTAAAATGGGCACAGTGATATTCTCCACCTTGCAGGTTTGTGGGAGCCTTGGATGAGATCAAGCAGTGAAAGCACCAAGCCATATCCTGGCTGGGCACAGGTCCCAGGAGAGCTAGCTGAGACTCAGAGAGTGTCCAGGGCTCAGGTCCAGTTGGCACAGCAGCCAGTGGACATGTGGGGGCACTGGAGAGGTTCTGGCAGCTTCTTTCATGTGCAGCTGGAGGCAGACCTCATGGGACTCAGGAAGGCAGGGTGTCCAGTGTGGCCATGGAAGGAAGTCTGGTGTCACTGGAGGGGCTGCACACCTTGCCTGCTTGTCCTCTTTCCTGACGCCACTGAGCCCATTGCCTCCCCTGAGCCCCGTGCCCCATCTAGCAAGCTAGGGCAGTGGCAGTCACATACCTGGAGAGGACTCCGTGGGATTCAGGACCCACACGGTCCTGAGGCTTCTTCTTAGACCTTATCCACCATGCCCCACCAGCCAGCCCGCCTGCCACCGTCACAAGCTGGAGCCTGCACGGCATGCTTGATGCCACTCAAAGCTTAAGTAGGTTCTCGGCTTGGCGCGGAGCCTCTCGCTTGCCTCCTCTGCCCGCCTGTCTCCTCTGCCTGCCGTTGCAGGGGACAGCAGGGTGCCCAGTGCCCCACTCAGCACGTGCGTACCAGCAGATGTTTGCCATCACTGGTGTTTGGTTCTGCCCTCCTCCTTGGAGATGGAGACCCGGGCCTGGTTCCCAGTTCTCTCTTGGGTGCTCAGGGACCCTAGGGCTGTTTCGCTCCATCCCTTGCCCACACAGTGTTTGCATTTAAACTTCTGCTTGGGTCCCCAGCACAAGCTGTTGGCTGAAGCCCCAGGGAAGGCACTGGGCTCTGCAGTGAGTCAGAGGGGGCACCCACCTGGGTCATCTGGTGCACCACGCCATGCGTTTCCCACGAGAGTCCCTGTTCCCACAGCTTCTCCTGTGTCTCCTCTCTGCTCTAGAGGGATTGCATGAGAGGTGGCTAAGAACGCAGGCTTGTGGACCTGATAGATCTGAGTTCCAGTCCTGGCTCTGCCTCTTGTTAACTGTGTGGCTTTCGGGAAGTGACTTTCCCCCTCTGAGCCTGGTTTACTGCATCTGTGATAATAGAGTTGCTGGGTTGCGGGGTCCAGTGGTAATGGATGTAAAACACAGAGCCCAGGCCTGGCTTCTAGCCAGCGCCAGGGAATACTCGTCATCGTCGTTCATGGTCATTCTTTAGCAGCACTGTACTTCTTGGCAATGGGAGTGTGGGGGGTGAGGTTCTTGCCCCCCATAACTCCCTTTGTGTGTCTCCTAAGCCACAGCCTGGCCTCCCTCTCCAGTGGCTCCGGGGACAGCGAGTGACTGTGCACAGGCTCGGCCCTGGGGTCTGGAGCCCCCGCTGGCTCTGTGGGACGGCCACTGCGGCCCCTCTCTGGTCTCCCTGTTCCTGCTTTGGCCTCCTCCAGTCTGGAGGGCTCCTGTCACTGAGGCCTCCTGCCTGCCACCTTGCAAATGAAATCCAGTGGGCTTGCAGGAGAGGGAGTGCAGGGGCTGGGGCGGGCTTGCAGGAGAGGGAGGGCAGGGGCTGGGGCGGGGCTGGGCATCACGCTCCCTCCCCCATGGTCGACCTTGAGATGCTCACTTCCCTTGTCGACCCCCACCTCCTCATCTGTGAACTGAAGTGGGAGGGGTTGAACCACACCGGTGCAGTCCAGCCTGGTCGGTGCCCCCTTTGCTACTTTTCCTCCATGAGCCCTGCATTTCGGAAAACCAAGTCCACCATCTTGTACGGGTTAATCGTCACCCACCTAACGTGGTCAGACACGCCACCTGGGTTCAGCATGTCAGAACCTGTGCCTCCGTCACCATCCATTCTCTGACCTTCTCCTGTCACTGCCCTCTTGAGTGGGCCACCTGGGCTGATTTGTCTCAGAGCCCAGCTCAGCCTCCTCGGGCCATGCCGTTCTCTGGGACAAGGGGCCCCCAGGCTGGGGGAATGTGCTGCCCGGAGCCTGCAGCCTCCTCTAGGTCCTGGATGCCCTGCCCGCTTCTACAGCCTGGGCAGGCCCCTCCCGTGGCCTTCCTTTCCGTGGACACTGCCCGTGGGCCCACAATGGCTGCCTAGGGAGAGAGGTGTGTGGACCGGGCTGGTGTGTAGGGGCTGGGGTCTACACTCAAGTTTGAGACCCCCTGCTGTGCAAGTCAGAGCTGGGGGCAGAGGTGGGGTGGTCCCAGGCCCCCTTGGTGCTCCTGCCCTAATCCCCTTGTGTGTGAGTGCTGGGCTAGGTTGCCATCCAGGCCATCTCTCAGACCCACACACTCCTTAGTGTCTCCCTCATCTCATCCACCTGCAATTCCTCCAGGATGTCCCGGAACAGGGACCTCCTCTCCCATCCTGTGGCACCGCCGTCTCTCGCCTGGACGCCACAACCCAGGTCTCCCTGCGCCTGCCCTTGTCCCCGAGAGTCCGTTCCAACACCAAAGTGAACTTCAGAGAGCACAGAGGCCTCGTCACTGCCTGCTAATAACTGACCCAGGGCTTCTCAGCACACCCGGAGGTCCATGCAGCCTCCAGGGCACCCCGCGGGGATCCGCAGACCACGGCCCCTCTCCATGGCCAGATCTCTAAAGGCCCTAGTATGTACCCGCCCCAGCACCTGCCACCCCTCCCCTACCCCCCACCCCTCTCTCCACTTCTCAGCCTTCACCCCAGCTCATCCCTCCCAGGGAACTTCTCCTGATCTGCTGGCTCTGATTCCTCAGATGCCAGCTGAAGGCCACCTCCTCCGAGCCACTCCCCGCACCCATCCACGCTAGGGGAAGGTGCCCTCCCTGTTGGAGGCTCTGACTCCGTGCTGTTTTCTCTTCATTGCACTGATCATAACCGCTCAGGCCTTAAATGCATTATTGCTGATGATATTATTTTAATGCAGTTTCCTGTTAGAACATTATAATTGTTATTATTTCTTTATCTGTGGCCTGTGTGTCTGCTCCATTAGGTGACAGGCTCAAGGGAGCAGCATCCCTGGCTATGTGGTTCACTGTTGGATTCCAGTGCCTAGAGCTCTCCTGTGGTGTGGAAAGCAGGGGCCGGAGGTTTTTGCTTTTTAGAAACAGGGTCTCACTCTGTCACCCAGGCTGGAGTGCAGTGATGCTTATAACTCACTGGAGGCTCGAACTCCTGGCCCCAAGCAGTGCTCCCATCCCAGCCTCCCTAAGTGCTGGTGTTACTGGTGTGCACCACCACACCCAGCTGAGACTGGACATTTCATTTGTCCTGTCTGAGATGCTGGCTTGTGATCACTCTTTGGGGGACAGGTCAGTTTCGTGCCCAGGACCAGCCCTACCCTGGCCTAGCACCTGGCATGAGTCGGTGCTCAGGGAGACCCAGGCTGCCCCACGGTGAGCTCTGGGGTGGATGACTTTCTTCAGCTTGTTTCTTTAGAAACAGTGGTGTGCTGATGAATGTTGAACAACCAGCTCTCCAGGAAAACAAACAAACAAACCCAGCAACACTGATTTGTAATGTTGGCCAGTTTTCATGGTGTAAGTTCTCCCACCGTGGCGGCCAGCGTCAAGCTGCCAAAGTGACATCATCACACGCGGTGTTGGGAAGAGGCACACTCCTTGCTCCTCAGCAAGGGCCCAGGCATGCTGTGGCTTAGGAGGATGGCAGGGCGCTCCGTGTCCTGGCATCCGTGGGTCTGTGCACAGCTGGGAGGATGCTGCTTACCCAGCGGAGAGTGGGATGTTGCCAGCTATTCCCAGGACCTTGGTCCCTGGCCTGTCACCCTGGGTCTCACATTGTTCCTGGCCATGTGTGAAAAGCGGGTGGTGGGACAGAGCTGCAGGCTTGGCCCAGCGAGGGGACTCTGCTGTCATTAGCTGTGTGACTCTGGGCAAGCTCTAAGCTCCCTCTGAGCCTCTGGCTCCTCGTCTGAAGGGTAGGGTGGGGTGGCCATTGTAGATCCTTCAGGAAACCCCACGATGGCAGGCAGTGGCAGGCAGGAAGGACTGGCAAGCTCTGTCTCCAGCCTGGGCTCTCTGGGCCTGAGCTGTGTGTGACCGTGGAAACATCCCGTTGTCCCTCTGGCATCACTGCCTCTGTCCACCCAGTGTGAACGCTGTGCCCAGCCCCTTGGCTATAAAATCCGGGTCCACACAGTCCTCTGAATTGGGGGAGGAAATGCAGGCTTGGAAAGATCTAGAGGCTTTCCCAAGTCACCCAGTGTGTGGGTAACAGAGCCCTCCTCTTTGCCGCTCCTCACCTCCTCATGGTGGCAGGAGCGCCCCCCTCTGCTAACGTGACGTGTGACCCCCGCACTCCGCAGGGCTCACAGCAGCTCCCCAGCCCAGAGTCCCTGTGCCGGGGCTCTCAGCAGGACAAAGCAGTGAGGGCGTGCGGGCACCGTGGTGGGTGTTCTGCATGGGAGATCTCCTTAAGCCCTCCCTACCATGCCTTCAGCACACACAGGCCCCCACATGCCCAAGGAAGGCTGCCCAGTGAGTGCGTGTTGGGGCCTGCCCTAAAATCAAGGCCTGAGGGACATTGGACCACACAGTGCCCGGCACCACCTCCCGAGGGGCAGGCACTCTGCTCCCAGGACACTGGCATGGGTGCTGTGCCCCGGAGGGCCGCGGGGTCAGCAGGAAGGTGGAATGGATCCCTGGCCTTCTGTGACCTTGCCCCATCTGTGGGCCGAGCTCAGGGACACAGGATGTTGGTGCAGTTCCGGGAGGTGCCAGATTCCACAGGCTGCAGGGGTGCCTCCCCTGTCCTGCTCTCTCCAGCCTCTCACGACCCAGAGCCTCAGATCCTCCCACACCAGAATCCACTAGGAACAGCACACCACGCAGGAGCCTCCGTTTTCGGTTTTGCTGAATGTCCCAAATCCCTGGCCCTTGATCGCTGTGGGGTGACCTTCGGCTCCAGAGACCCCAGGACTGGCCTGTGTGGCCTTTGGCAAGCACCTGCTCTCTGTCTCCACAGCCGCAGCCTGGGCAAGAGACGTCCCCTTGAGATGAGATGACCCCGATAAAGGGCCTTGCCTGTGGAAGGTGCACTCGCTTCTGCTGTCCTGGTTTCGGTTTCCCCCGTGTCCTGGGAATGGCAGTCTGAGAAACTGGTTTGGGAGTGGCGAGACGTTCCCCTTCATTTTGCAGTTACTCCCACTGTCCTAAATAAATGATACCTAACCCCTCCTGGATTAGAAGCCCGACACCTGAGCGGCTCTGCTCCTTTCCTTGGTCTCACAGAGAAACGTCAGAGGCTTCTGAGCCGTCAAATGGTTGTCAGGAGGCCCAGGTGCCAAATCACACTCATTTTACAGCGGGAAATTCAAGGCCTGCAGAGGGCCCAGCTCAGTCTTCAGGTGGGTTTGGTTTGGCCCGGCCCGCAGTGGACCGAGCTGTCAGCATTTAGGAATTGCGAGTTCTCACATGACCAGCCTGGGGTCCCCACCTCGCTGGAGAAACGAGGAAGGGGCGGCAGCAGGCAAGCATCCCGAGGCAGGGACGGCCCATTGGATGGGGCCTAGGCTCTGCCTCGTCCACACTTCCGGGCCCTGGCGCTCTCTGAGCTTGTGCCCCAATCTAGTCCAGCCTCTTCTGGTTACAGAAGGGAAACTGAGGCACAAAGGCATCATGATCCCGTCCTGGGGAGTTAGACCCGGAGCACAGGTCTCAGGAGGGCCAGCCCCTGGGTCTTCTGCCCCGGGATGCTGGAGGCGTGGGCAGTGTTGTGGTTTTCATTCTCCATCGCTTGCTGTTCATCAGTGTATGTCCTCCCGAAACAGATGCACTCACAAGGCCGCCCTGTGGCTGTAGACCCAGAGGAGAAGGTGGGGAGGCCGGGAGTTGCGGGCCAGGGCCTGTGTTTTACCTTGTGGGGGGAAGCCCTGGGTCTGCTGTTCCTGAGACATTTTTCCCCACCCTCAATGAGTGGCCCATCGGATCCCGGGGCTGGTGGCTTTGAGCCAGGGGAGGCCCGAGGACGGCTTTGCTGGCTTTGCAGGTCAGGGAGACAGTCCAGCTCCTGAAGAGGCCTTCCCAGCACACACTGCCCCGCTGAGGGTGGCCCCTGGGGGCCCATTACTAAGAACCATGTTGCAAAGTGTTGTAGGCCAGGTGTGGCTCACACTTGTAATCCCAATACTTCGGGAGGCTGAAGCAGGAGGATTGGTTGAAGCCAGTAACTTGAGACCAGCCTGAGCAATGTAGCAAGACCCTCCAGCATTCTCCCTCTGTAGGAAGCTCAGGGAGGGTTGGTGTCATCAGCCCGATGGAAATAGCACATGTACTGGGTGTCTTGTGTGTGCCGGGCCCTGGGGTGTGCTCGATGCGGTCACCTCATTTCCTCCCTGGACAAACCCCACAAGAGAGGGTACCTTTACCCTCTTTGTGTACTTATGGGATGCCTGAGGCTGTGGGCTGGTCAGTGGCTTGCCCAGGGTCACACAGGTAGCGAGTGGTGAGGCGAGGCCCTCCCGCACCGGCAGTGAAGCCCGTGTTTCTCTGCATTAACGTCTGGCCTCCCAGAATCCACATCTGCTCCGGCAATGCCCAGTTGTGCTGAGCGGGGCCTGAACCCGGATAACAGTGGGGGATGTGTTTTGGAGCGATGGGGCCCTGAGGACAGGCTTCCTGGGGCAGCCATGGAGGCTGGGCCCCTCCCACCAAGGAAGGGCTTAGTGGTGGGGGGCACAGGGAAAGAGCGGTGGTTCCATTGAGCCCTCGCCTGCCTTGGGCCACGGCCTCCCAGGGTGACAGCCTGGATCTGGAGAGTTTGAGAGGTGCTGGGGAGAATCCTGGCGCAGCCGGAGCTCCAGGGTAGCGTTAATGGCAGCATATCCATTGTGGGCACATGGAGGGTGACCTAGGGGGCCTCTCGGTAGAAGAGCAAAGTCTTGTGTGGCTGGACTCAGGCTCTGGGGGGGGCTTTGAGTCACTGAACATGGCTGTTTTTATCCCATCCCTTGCTTCGGAGCCAGACTCTAAATGTGATCTAAGCATAGGCCTGGGGCCTCGGGCAAGAGCACTGTCCCTCCCTGGGCTGTAGAGGTTTGGAAAGAGAGGGGGGCCAACTGTCCCCGACTTCACTCCTGAGCTTCAGCAGTGGGAGGATGGGCCAGAGCACCTCATGGGGACGGGATGAGACGGTGGCAGGGGCCGAGGAGCTGGGCTGCGCCTGGGACTTGGAGCATACTTCCTCCTGCCTTTGGCAGCTGACCATCTGTGTTAGTGCGTTCTTGGGTTGCTATAAAGAAATGCCCGAGTCTGGGTTTCATTGGTTATGCAGGACACCCCAGGAGGTGGGGTGCTGGGATCTGCTTCGTGTGAGACTCGGGAAGCTTCCAGTCATGATGGGAGGGAAGGAGGAAGCAGGAGTGTCACATGGAGGCAGGGGGCAAGAGAGTGGGAGGCAGATCTCACGTGAACTGAGGGGAGGACTCATTCATCAGCAGGGGATGGCACGGAGAGCCTTTCCTGAGGGCCCCTCCCCAACGATCCCACACCACCGCCCCCCCGCCCCCCCGCACCAGGCCCGACTGCAACGCTGGGAATCACATTTCAACACCAGCTTTGGAGGGGGCAGGCATCCGAACCATATCACCACCCCTGAGGGCGGGGGGATGGAGGTTGCACTGCAGCCAGAGGGCAGGAACAGGTTCGCTCACCTGGGGTCTGCTCTGTGGGCTCTTCTGGGGGCACCCATCTCCCTGAGTTTCCATACCCAGACTCCATCCAGCCGTCATCTGTGGGTCCTGGGGTGGGGCCCATCTGCCCGTGGCTTCACCTGGACCATGGAGGACAACCTTGTTTTGCACAGCGTCCCTGGGGCGGCTGCTGGAACTGAGCACAACGGATTCATATTCATTTATTGAAAGATGGGCTCCATATTGTATAACTGGAAGGTATGGCCACAGCTAGGCCTTGTCAGAAACACACAACCGCAGGGCGGCATCAGCACAAAGGGCAGACCAGAGGGCTGAAAGTGGTCCCAGAAGAGCCAGCGTTCATTCGCTCATCCTGTGCTCATGGAGCCTGTTCCATGCTGGGCTCTGTCTTGGTGACAGGACTGTGGCAGAGACCACTGAGACGAATTCCTGCCTCCTGCAGCTCGCATTCCAAGGGAAGCCAGGCCACAGCCAGATAGCCGAGTAGAGTCAGTTATGGGGCCGAGGGCAGTGAGGGCAGCAGAGACTAAGACAAGTGTGGAGTGGTGGTGGGAATAGCAGGTGGGGGCCGGAGGTGATGCTGGGCAGGGTTCTGCAGGGAAGGCCTGAACCGCAGGAGGGACTGAGAGGAGCATGTCTAGGGCCAAACAAAGGCCCTGGGGTGGGCCTGGGGTGTGTGCAAGGCCAGGCCGGGGTGGCTGGAGAGGAAAGAACAAGGGGAGGGGCTGGGCTGCACCAGGGTGGGGTCCACCCGGCTGGTGGTGGGTTGGTAAGGGCCTCAGCTTTTATCTGCTTTTACTGGGAGTGAGGAGGTTGTGAGCTGGCCCGGACTTAGATTTTGTCAGGATCACTGCTGTGATGAGACTAGACAGGAGGGGGTGGTGGCGCAGGGGAGCCCAGACCCCAGGAAGGCACCTCTTCACCAGTCTGAGTGAGCCGAGTGGCTGGCTCACAGGGTATGTCCACTAGCAGGATTAGTTGTCACTGTAACCTGGTAACCATGCTGCTGGATAGGGATGTGGGGCTGCTGTGACCATTTCACAGACGAGGAAAATGAGGAAAGGAGAATGTAAGGGTTTGTCCAGGGGTGGCAGAGTTGTTGACTTTTGACTTGGTGCACTGCATTGAGGCACATGCGTGAGTGTGTGCATGGGGTTGGGCCGGCACACCCCCTGCCTAGGGCTTTGGGGAAGGTGCCTGTGACATCACGATGTCCCTGCGGCATGGCTGGAGCTGAGCGTGGGCTTCCCTGGTGCTGCTCTATTCCACCCCAGCTCCCCGGAGATGTGGCTGGGGGCTCACAGCAGCTGGGCATCCCTGCACCCATACGTGCTCTCAGGGCCTTGGCATCAGCATTTGGCTAATTTACCAGGTCCCATCGCCTCTTCCGCCCTAAGGGCATTTGGTGAGGAAGACATGAAGAAAACAGCAGCAGAGAGTGGTTAAGGTACTCTGGGAAAGTGAATCTGCCTTACCAGACCTGGAAATCACAGTGTAACTTAAAGATCTGTAAAAATATAACAATGAAAATGCATTTTCAGAGGCTAGCTGGAAGAACAGAAAAGACAGAGGTGTCATGGAAGGACTTGCCTAGAAAAGCCCCTTCCTCTGTGCATGCACCCGGCGGGCCCCTCCCACAGGGCACCCTCCATCCTGCGGAGGACCCGGGGAGGTGGGGTCACCCAGGTTAGGGATGAGGACCCTGAACCAAGGCCACAGAGTGGTGGGGTCAGGACTTGCACGTGGACATATCGTGGGTCGCGGGTGTGAGGACAGAGAACACACGCCCTGAGCCTGCTGCTCCCTCCACTACTGGCTGTGTGGCCTCGGGCAAGTTATTTAACCTCTCTGGTTTCAGCATCCACCTCTGGGGAATAGAATAAGAATAGTCCCTGTCTCACGGTGACTGTGGGAGGTGGGCCATGAGGGAAGCCAGCCCAGCTCCTGGAGCCATGCCCGGCAGGCTGGCAACCCCCGTCCGGTGCACAGGGGCCACTGTCCTGGGCCCTGTGGTGCCTGGCACTCGGGTGTGCTGGGGAAGCTTTTCCAGGCCCGCTTCTCGTTGTAAGGAATAGATTTGACTTTCATCCCTGGAGGTCACGGGAAGTGAAAGTGGGGGAGGGAGCGTGGACAGCATGGGCTGTCCCTGACGTGCCCCTCCAGGGCTCAGGGCTCACTGTTCCCACATTGAAGGTGGCTGTCCCCACGGACTGCTCTTCCATGCTTTCCAGGAGAGCCCTGAGTTTGTATAAATTATTCACCAAAAAAAAAAAAGAGACAGAGAGAGAGAACATCGTTGGGTATATTTGTATCTGGTTTGAAGTTTCTAACAACACATCACTTCTAAGAAAAGCCCCAAGCCAAAACAAACAAACAAACAAACAAACAAAACAAAAACAACAACAACAAAGCAGCTGGACCACCAAGCCCTTTTCCAGGCTCCCACAGCCCCTCTGCATCTGGTGTGGCCGAGAAAGCCCGAGGGGCAGCATCCATAGGTGTTCTGGGACGTCCCAGGCCTCCGCCTTACGATGGCATCTGAAGAATGCCCAGCATGTGTCTGGCTGAAGGTGCAGGTACTTGCTCGGCTCTGGCAGCCCGGCGGGAGCCCTCTCCCTCCTCCCAGGCAGAGATGCTCCTCTGTGCGGCGCAGTCACCACCTCTGGGAAATCCATGCTCAACATCTGTCTTGATTTCCCATCCTTGCTGGGATGGGTCTCCCAAACTTCTAGGCCCAGTAGGGCCAGCTGCTCTTCTCCTGGGCTGGTATCTCCTCTCCCACAGCTGGACAGTTACAGCACCCTCCGCTGAAAAGCCTTTTCCAGCCTGAACGCGGCGGCTATGGAGTCATTTGGATGGACTCCTTAAGCCTCAGTCTCAGTGCTGAATGGTGGTGCTGCCGTCAGCACCAGTGGGCCCGTCCCTTGCTCCTCCTGCCTCTCTGCCTTTAGACCCCAAGGCAGCCACTCCCCACGAGCACTTGCAGAGCACCTCCTGTGTTCCGGGCTTGGTTCCGGGCACAGGGGATGGAGGTGACTGAGACCCTGCCACAGGCCTCCACAGCTTTGGTGGCGGATGAGTGAGTGGAGGGGTCAGAGGGCCCCTATGGGGGTGGGGCAGGGCCGTGCTCATGACCTGGGTGTGCAGCTGGGCCTGTGGGGTCATGGCCAGTGAGCTCCGTTCATCACGGGCAACCATCTAGTGGAGACGCATGTGCTCAGTGGGTCTGTGGGAGCAGCTGGTACCCAGGCCCAAGGGGTGGGTAGGGAAGAGGGTGTGGGGACACCCCACCCTGACCACCCACTGCAGGTAGCTCTGGGGTGGGGGCAGGTGGGCTGAGCTGGGCCACCTGGCAGGTGTGGCGCTTGCCCTCTCCCGGCCTCTCCCAGGTGACCTGTCGGGGGATTTCAGGTCATGTCACACATACTTCCCGGTAGGCATCCTCCCGACTCACAGCCAAGCCAGAGGAGGGCCTATGGCTCCATCCTGTCCCAGAGAGTGTGTCAGGTGGGAACACCTACCGGCAGGCAGACAGAGAGCCTCTGGGGCTGCTCCTGGAGAGGGTGGGTGGTCTCAGGGGAAGAGGCAGATACTGAGGCCAACAACTTCGGGCCCCTGTGTTTTGGAGTCTGGTGCAGAGCTGCCTTCCCATGGCCCATCCGGTGGCCAGGCACGACCACCACCCCTTGCTGGCCTTATCTTTTGTGGGACTGCCCAGCGGGCCCAGGCCTGCCCAGCCAATAGGGGCCACTTCTGAGGCATCCAGAATCTCAGGCCCAGTGTGCCTGTGTTCCTGGGGCGGTGGCCCAGGTCTGCGACGTTTACTTAAGAGCTCGGGTGTGGCCTCTTGGAAAACAGCACCCGCTCACATCCCGTCCATCCAGGCCTGGCGCACCTCTTACTCAAGAGGAGAATTAATCCATGGGCCTCAGGTGAAATACCAGCTTCCACCCCCGGGACTCATGTGTGCGGCTCCCAGATGTGTGAGCACCTGCTGCGTGCAGATGCTGGGCCAGCTGCAAGGACACTGCAGGGTCATGCCCAGGGGCTCTCCTGGAGGGGGCACAGTGTCTTAGGGGGGCCAAACAGCAGGAGCAGAAACCACAGGAGCACTTGAACCCAGATGGAAACCCCCCCCGGAGGCTTTCTGCCAGAGGGGGCACCGGGGCGAGGTGGAGGCACCAGGGTAAGGTGGAGGCTGTTGTAGCAGCTCTGGGATCTGCGCCTTCCCTGAGAATAAAAACACGGCACACGGCATTTGGAGAACGCTTGTGGTTTATACAGCGCTTGCACCGCCAGACTCTCCTGGGTGCCCCGCTGGGCCCCTGAGATGGGTTTTCTGGTCCCAGCAGACTCATGAATGCCGGTCTCGGGGGAAAGGGGCTCCAGAACGTCTCTGTGAATTGTCTCAACATTCTTGTGAGGCAGGTATGATCATCCCCATTCTACAGATTAGAAAACTGAGGCTCAGACAGCTGGAGGGCTGTGTTCACCGTCTTTGCCCTCGCTGCTCCACATCCCGGTGGCCACCCCAGACTCCTCCGGCTTTTCCCGGGAGCTTTTGCCTGGCATATTTTGCTCTCCTGACTTTGAGCACACCCCAAGACTTTCCTTCTGCTCATTACCAGGGCAGCGGAGGGTCTGGGGTGCAAGGAGAGAGAGGGACCCTGTAGTGGCTGAGACATGGGGGGGGACTGCTCCGAAGCCCAGCAGCCCTTGGAGAATGTGACCAAAGCCCCAGACCTCTCCCCGGAAATGTCCAGGGATACGTGCTTGTCATACACACCTTTGGCAGCCACCCCCAGGGACTCCAGGTTGAGAAGCTCTGGCCTGAGCGAGACCCAGACTCCCACCCCCGGCTGTTGGCAAGAGGTAATGACCCTACTAGTGATGGGCCCTCGAAGCCTCCGTCCACCCCTGCCTCCGCTCACCCCGGCCATGACCCCAGCCTGGCTCACAGCCAGATGTCCATCCAGCAGAAGGTAAAGGGGCACCTGAGCCCATGGGCAGGCTCTCATGGGACCACCGGCAACATCTCAGCCTTGGAGATGAGAGGGCAGCCTTGGCTGGGTCAGGGAGCGGGGCACATGAGTGTGTTCCGGTCCAGTAGAGATGCTTTCAAGGGCAAAGCTGTGCGGCACCGTTGTTAAGAGAGAGGCTTTCGGGATCAGGAATACTTGGTTTTGAACTTCAGCTCTGCTCCTTCCCAGCCTCCCTCCTCAGAGCTTCAGTTTTTCATTTGTGAAATGGGGATGGGGAAAGCACCCACCTCATGGGCCTCGCTAGCAGGCTCTGGGTCTCTGGCAGCCACGGTCACGCGTGTTCCCCAGCGTGGAGGTGCATCTCTTTCCATACATGCTTCTGGCAGTGTTGCACAGCGTTGCACAGCTTGGCGGCCTCCTGGCTCCTGCACCAGAAGCTTGGGCCCAGGGCACACTGGTCGGTGCCCAGCAGTGGGGTCCTGGGGCCGTGGCAGGCCCCCACCTTCTTGCACACAGCCACGGGGTCCATCATGTCCTTGAGACTCTCAATGAGCACGGGCTCGTACTGGGTGACGAAGTGCTTGCACTGGATCATATAGGGCAGCGGCAGGATGCTGCAGCCACCCTTGAAGGCCACCAGGATGTCTCGCTTGGTGCTCTTGCTCTCCAAGTTGTGGGAGGACACCGTGAGCAGCCTCTTGCACCCATTGCAGAAGCTGCCCTGGTTCTCCGCGTCCCACTCTGGGGACGGCACGATGGCATAGGCATCATGGACTGCCCGGGCCCGCCTCCGGTTGCCACACAGACGGATGAACTTGCACACCTTCTCTGGGGTGATTTTGGCCACAAGCTGCACCAAGGAGGGGCTGTAGGTGTCCACCAAGATGATGCACTCCTTCGTGATAGAGGCAGGCATTACCGAGCACACGCGCTCCAGGGCATGGGTGATCATGAGCTCAGAGCTGTTGGACATGAGCCAGTGGTCCAGCTTCTGCACCACGTTCATGCACACCTCACAGGTCACACCGGCCTTCATCTGCATCTCGCTCTGTTTCCTTGGCAACCCCAGCTCCAGGGAGGGGACCCCGTCCATGGCCACTACTTGAGTCAAACGGGCAGGTGCCCCTAGCTCCTCACAGAATCCCCCCTTCCTGCAGAGCTCCTGCGGGGGGAGAAGCCTCAGTGCTTGGTCAGCAGGGACAAAAAACTGGAAGAGGTAGTTCTTGCAGAGGACGGCCAGGCCAGGCCCCAAGGACTCACACTGCTCCTGGATGTTCAAGTCGGCCAAGGTCAAGTTGGACCGGACAGCCTCCTGGAGTCGGGAGACCTGCCGTACACAGTCTTGGCACAGAGCTCCTTCAGGCGCCTGGCGGGGGTGGAAGGTAAGGGGCCCATTGGCCATGAACGGAGCCACAGCCTCAAAGGTGTCCTCTTTGGAGAGTGGCCTCAGGGTGGCCAGGTGCCTCTGCAGCGGCTCACAGAGGCTGAGCGCTGTGCACACCTGTGCCGGGGCACTGTCCGGGGCCCCACGGAGCATGCTCAGGATGGCCGAACTGTGGGCATCCACCATCCACTTGCATCCGGCTGAAGACTCCTGGCTGGGGAGCCACTCACAGGTCTTCATCACCAAAGCCAGGATGTCAGACTCCGTGGCGTCAGGGTTCAGCCCATTGCCAGCGGCGGCTGCTATGTCCTGGCATACGTCGCAGGGCAGAGACTTCGCGGTGGGTTTGTTCCATACGGCCCCTTGGCAGTACCCCACAGCCCCGCACCTGGCAGCTGTCTGCAGATCCTGACACCACACCGTGGAGCCCTTTGCACACTCCTGGGGGCCTGAGGTGGGGCTGGCCCTGGTGGCCCCCAGGAGGCTGGGCAGGAGGAGCAGGGCACACAGCATGCTGCCCAGGGACTCTCTGGCTCCAGAGTACCCAGCAGTGGCTGCTGCTATAAACCTGGCTCTCCTGCCTGGCCCCAGAGGAGGCACGGAAGGGCGGCCCCACCTCCTGGCCACTCCCACAGCCTGACTCACACCCTGTGCCCGGGGATTCCTGGCCTCTTCGCCTTTGCTCTTGGAGTGCCTGGAACACTATCCCTCCCCTCTTTTCCCCTGGATAAGATAAACTCTTAGCAGTTTTCTGAGCCTAGCTGATACGTGAATGAAGCTCGGCTCCTAGGAAGCCCTCCTGGCCCCTGGGCTGTGTCCCCCACCCTCCCCCTGCTGCAGTAGTTCCTGGGGTTCCCTTCCCTGCAGCTCACTGTCCTCTCCTGACTTGTGTGGCCTGGGTCCCCTCCTGGAATGTGAGCCCCCCTCACACCCCGAGGAGTCTCTGCCCCCATTCTGGGAGGTACGGAAAGGCACCCTCTGCCTTATTTGCTGAAGATCGAGTGTTCCCAATGACTGGCCACCCCCTGGATGCCACTGTTTTCTAACGTGGCCTCAGGGCCACGTGCCCAGCTGGGGTTCTGCCCCTGGCTGTGCTGTTTGGGGAGTTAGTCTCTTTGAGCTTCAGGTCTTAAACTGTGAAGTGGGAGAGCTGTGGACCTCACTGCCACACCGCAAAAGCCACTTGCAAACTCAGGTCCTCGAGCCCAGCCGGTCTCTTCATTCTAGAAATGTCAATCAAAGGCTGAGTGTGGGCTGGTCTGTAGTAGGCGTAGATTAAATGTTTGTTGAAGGTACACACACACAAAAGAGGTTTGTTTCGTTTCTGTGTCATCTGTTATCTTATCTTTTTCTTCTTCCTTAGTTTTTAAAATAGTTCTTAGGCAAGAGAGTCAGCTGGGTGAGCACGCACAGGCGCCTTGCGTCGGGTCCTGTTCATTAAATGGAGAAATCTGGAGTCAGCCTCACCTCTGGCCTAATTGCCAAACAGCCATGGAGTGGGCAGGCCAGAGGTTTGATGGCAGGGGGCTCCCCTAGCCCCACATGTGGGTGTCCTCAGCTCAGCTTCCTGGGCTTGGGTGCTCTGTAGGAACACACTTCCCAGTTATGTGGGTCGGGCAGCCTGGCCTGAAATTGCAACAGCCACACATGAGGAATGCAATAGTGCAGGGTGCTTCCCGCCAGCCCTCCTGCTGGGTACAGGGGTCAGGAAGAGAAGACGGAAAATAGGATTTGCTGAGTTCTTGCAGTGACTTCCAAGGACTCTGGTTGCTGGGGACCAGTGGAGGGGACAGTCTTAGGGAACAGGTGAGCCTGGGTGTGCTCAGCTGCAGGATGGCAGCTGGCCAGCACCTCCAGGTCATACCCCAGGTGGGGCTGGAGACGTGGGTGTCCTTACCTGGACTTGGCTCAGCCAAGCACGTGTTGATACATTTCTATGGGCTTATGATGGGCCTGCCATTCATTCAGTCCATCGCCTGACATTCCCAGGGCACCCACTCGCATCCCACCAGGACTTTGGGCACCAGGCTGAAGCAAACAGAAGGGCCTGCCCCTTGGCGTGAACGCAGCTGTGTGCCAGACTTCCTGCGAGTCTCTTGAGACCCCACCCCCACGGCGCTGCCTTGGTCTCTTGCACTGAGGGGGTGCGACCCAGGAGGCCAGAATGTCCTCCTCATCCTGACATCCCTTGAGCCTGGCACAACATCCCGATAATGAAGGACTTCTTGGCTCGGCATTGTCTTTGTATGATTGACCCACGCTGCTGTGTTTAGCTGTAGAGCCGACATTGTCGTTTCTGGGTAGAATTCCACTGGGCAGGTGGAATGCCCCACTGGGCCCTGGGTGTGTATTAATTAGGTCAGTGCACCATGGTGGATTTGTCTACTCGACCCTTGATGGGCCTTTGGAACAATTCCACTTGGGAGCCAGTAGAAGTAACGCTGCCCCGAACACTTCTGTGTATGTCTTGGATGCACACGTGTCTTCCCTTCTCTGCTGGGTCTTATGGAGGAGCGGCACGGATTGGGCATGCGTCGTGTGTGTTGAGCAGGTACTGCTGGATCGCTTTCCAAAGTGGTTGTGCCCGTTCCCACTCCCCTCAGCAGCATTTGAGGAATTCTGATTGCTCCATGTCTGTTTTGTTTCGGGGACTGGGGTGTTTTCCAACACCAACGACCGATTCTTACAGACGCCAACTGGGAGCCCTGTAATTCCTTTCAGTTCTGACACCAACTACCTGGAGTTAGCACAGACCCCACACGTTAAGGGCTCAGCCCCCACTGTAGATGCTAATAATCACAGGTCCGAGGTTGGCACCTGTACTTCTGACGAAGTGGCTATAAACCAGGGTCCTGAGACCCCCTCCTCGGGTTTGATAATTCTCTAGGGTGGCTCATAGGACTCAGGAGACCGTTTGCTTACATTTCTTATTTATCATGAAAGATATGACTCAGGAGGCTGTGTACAAGGCAAGGACTAGGGGCCGGGGTGCAGGGCTTCCACACCCTCTGGGTGTGCCACCCTCCTCACGCCCCCATGTGTTCACCAACCCAGAAGCTCATCAAACCTCATTGTCCAAGAGTTTTTCCAGAGTTTAATCTCCAGCAGCCCCCACCCCTTCCCAGAGGCCAGGGGGTGGGGCTGGAAGTTCCAGTCCTCGAATGGCTTGGTCTTTCTGGTGACCAGCCCCATCAGAGGCCATCTAGGGACCCCACTGTAGGTCACCTCATTAGCATAAACTCAGGTGTGGTCAGAGGGGGTCATTATGAATAACGAAATACACTTCTGTCACTCAGCAAATTCCAAGGGTTGGAGCTCTGTGCCAGAAAGTGGGGACAAAACCAAACACTTTTTTTTTTATCCCATGGCGGGGATGATGTTGGATTACTTAAAGGATGGCTGCAAGAAGGGTACAAGGCACTCCCGAGTACCTTTGCCCAGACACACCTGCCCCACTTGTTTCGAGGTTCTCACTGCCCCTCCCTCCTTTCCTCTCACCTGTCTGTCCACCTACCTAGCCACCTACCTGTCTGTCCACACACATGTATATATTTGCACGTAATTTTTTTATAACCTTCGAGCGTAGGTGGAGACATTGTATCTCTTTACCCCAGTTACTTTGGTGCCTATTTCCTAAGGACCAGGACATTCTCTCATAACCACGGTGCATTTATGAAAATAAAGAACTGTAGTGTGGATACAATACTAGAATTTAACCCACAGCCCAGTTCAGCTTTACCAGCAGCCCCAGTGCTGCCCCATGTGGCATTGATTTCCCAGGTCCAGCCCCAGTCCAGGCTCACACGATGCAATTCCTGGTCATGGTGCCTCAGAGGCCTTCCATCGGGAGCTGATGGCAGCTTTGTGTTTTCTTTTGTAGCACTGGGGAACCAGCTGGTTATTTTGTAGAATGTCCCTCTGTGCAGGTCTGACTGGGCTTTCCTCTTGACCAGACCCAGGTCATGCATCGTGTGGGGGGCCATTGTTGATTTATCAGCATGTGTGATCTTTGATCACTTGGAGAAGATCTACCAGCTTCCTTCTCTGTAAAGTTATTTCCCACTTGTAATTAATAAGCAACATTTAGAAAGGTATTCTGAAAATATGTAACTATCTTGTTCCTCATCAAATGTTTATGCATTTATTTGCGCACCTGCCCATCATTTTCTAGCTCTGTCTTCCTTCTCTATTGATTAGTTTGTATTCTTCTGTGAATAAAAAAGCTTTATCTCCCCTTCCTCTCTCCTTCCTTCTGTTCCCTTTCTCCTCTCTCCCTCCCTGCCTCTCTTTTTCCTTCCTTCCTCTTTCCTTTTTTCTTTTTTAAAAGACTCAGAATTATTTTTTACTTATGTTTTTTTAAAAAAAGTTTATTTAATAGACTATAATCCAACACACCTGTCCCACTTGCTTCGAGGTTCTCACTACCCCTCCCTCCTTTCCTCTCACCTGTCCACCTACCTAGTCACCTACCCATCTGTCCCCACACATGTATATATTTGCACATGCTTTTTTCATATCATTCATTGTTTTTGATGCCTAAATTGTCCCAGATGTGATCTGTGGGAGTCCCCTCAGGCATCCTTCTTTGGCACTTCTGTACTTTCCAGCACAGGGCATGTTCCAGGCTCATCTTTTTTATTCCTTGAGCCAGCCCTGGAATCAGCCTGTTCTCCAGGGAACATGGTGTTTAGAAACCAAGATCTGGATATGAAATGTGCTCATTGCTCCTGTGCTGTCGTGCCTTTTAGGCCCTCTGAGTGAAAACCTTACCTCTTCCTGACATGGGGTGAAAGAGGAAGGAAGGAAGGAAGGAGTTTGTATATATATATATACAAACACACACGTGTGTATATGTAACATATTCATCCATCCATCTTCACAAGACTACGAGTTCATACTGATACTTCCAACACTCAGTGCAGTGTAACTCCCCTGCCCAACAGTGAGAGGCTTGGCTCCCATGATTTTTAACCTATTTACCCCTTACTGAACCCTAGAATATACCCAAGACATTTTAGAAACACCAATCCATAGCACTGTGAAATGCAAACCCTGCTAACTAGAGCTCTCTCTTGCTACACATTTCTTTTTATTCTGCTGAGATAAATTTCACCTACAGCTAAACACACACATCTTCACACACCTGCAGAACGCACACCCTAGTCAAGGGGCAGAATGGTCCTGAGTGCTCCTTCCCAGTTACTTGTCAATGAGAGCAAACACTTTTCTCCCACAGATTAATTTTGCCTGTTCTTGAACCTCGCATTGGTGGAGTTGAACAGGAGGGAAAGGATGTCCTCCGTCCCTGCCTCTTTCGCTTGATGTTATGAGATCCAGGCATGTTGTTCCCACAACTGTAGGCTGTTTCTTCACCTTGCTGGGCAGTGCTTCATTGTGTGGCTTTCTCACACTCTATTTATCCACCATGAGCTGGCATGGGGTGGTTTCCAGTTTGGGGTTATTCAAACATGGCTGCTCCAAACATCTTGGTGACGTCAGATGGTGTGCAGAATGTTTCTGTAGGGTGTGCACCTGTGGGGGCAGGTGGGTATGTGCTGAGCAGATTCCCCAGGACTTCTCCGAAGTGACCACAGCAGCTGCTGTCAACCACCCATGTTGCTGGTGCTGATTGCTGCCTGTGGCTCTGATTTCACCCCTTCAGAAAATGCAGAGAATGGTATCACAGACATTCATCCTCCACCCACACTTTAACAAATGCTACCATTGGCTGTATTTATTTTTTTATTGTAAACCCCATTTGTTTCAAAAAGCTACATGCAAGGTATTCACATTTTCTCCCCAAGTAAAGACGAGCCTGGCCACAATGGAATTAGGGAGCGGGGGAGGAGGCTGCGTTGCAGGTAGGACCCTGACCTGGAGTCTGGGACCGGGGAGGAGGGAACAAAGAGGGGAGCTCTCTCCCCAAATAATTGTTCTGGGGGGACAGAGTCTGCCTGCGGCTTGCTTCAAGGACAGCCATCTTTCAGAGAGTGTAAGGGAGGGTTTGATGCTGACCAAGGGAGAGCACGAATAGGAACAACATGCTTACCTCCAATTTCTGAGGCTTTGGCCCTTTCACCCCCATTTCACCATTGGCCCTTGTGGCCCTGCCATGCAGAAGGGAAGGGGTTACCTTGTGTACACAGTGCCACACGCTACCGTTCCTCTCTCTGAATGAGGAGGGGCAGGGTAACAGAGTTGCCTCCTTCTCCTGAAGCCCAGTGGGGCTTGCCCAGCCTGCTCTGGAACTTGGGGGCCTAGACAGCACCATCTTACCTGTCTCCCATCCCCTCTGCCTGGTCACCAACTGCTGCCACTTGCTCCCTGCCCACCCTCATGCTGCCTCTCCTCCCCTCTGCCCTTCCCAAGTCTCCTGGGGGACCCTCCTGTCCCTCTCTGGGGCCCAGCTTCATTGCCCGGCCACATGGGGCCTCGAGGGTGGGCATCACGGGTCACTCATTTCACGATCATTTTCCAAGCCCTGCTGGGAGCTGCGGGGTGAGGGCTGCTGGGTACTAGGGGCTCAATGGGGATGAAGACGGATGAGGAGTGGCTCTTTGCGGTGGAGAGACAGACCATGAATGAGTGAGCACTCAAATGGCAGGCAGAAGGGAGTTTCGTGGGGTGAGACCGTGGGGGAAGGTGGAGATTTGGGGAGAGGTGGTGCTGTCGGTCCCTGGGAAGCAGGTGTGAGCTCAGCACTGGGATGAAGTGGGTACCCAGGGGATAGCACCCCAAGAGGGGGACTCGGCAAGGGCGAAGGCCCCAGTGTGGGCACGAGCTGCCAACTGAGTAGCAGGGAGGGTCAGAGGGCAGGTGAAGAGTGAGGCTAGAAGGAGTTGTTGGCTGCTTCTGGGAAGGTGGAGGTGGCATTTCCCAAATACTGCCTTTGCAAAAGCTGGAAAGAGCCGCACCCCAGGTGAGGGGCAGCCTGAGGCCAGGGTCGGGGCTGCTTCCAGGTGAGCAGCAGTTGTGGGAAAGGCACTGCATACAGAGGCCTGCTTCTGCCTGGCAGAGCCGGGCAGTGAGTGGGGACAGCCTGATGAGCTGGGTGAGGGTGGCTGGAGGCTGAGTGGGATGCCCTGACTCATACCTGAGCTGAGTGTGGGTGCCGAGGGCTGGGCAGGGTGCAGGGGAGGCGCAGGCCGGCAGGAGAGGGAAGCGCCCTTGCCATAACCCCTTTCCACTCAGAGATTTGAGAAGCCAAGGAAGGGTAGAGCCTGGGAGCTACCCAGCCCAGATCATCATCCACCCCTTCCTCCAGCCCAGATCACCATCTACCCCCTCCCCTAGCCCAGATCACCCTCCACCTCCTGCCCCAGCCCAGGTTGTCATCCACCTCCTCCCCTAACCCAGATTACCCTCCACCCCCTCCCCCAGCCCAGATCACCCTCCACCCCCTCCCCCAGCCCAGATCACCCTCCACCCCCTCCCCCAGCCCAGATCACCCTCCACCCCCTCCCCCAGCCCAGATCACCCTCCACCCCCTCCCCCAGCCCAGATCACCCTCCACCCCCTCCCCCAGCCCAGATCACCCTCCACCCCCTCCCCCAGCCCAGATCACCCTCCACCCCCTCCCCCAGCCCAGATCACCCTCCACCCCCTCCCCCAGCCCAGATCACCCTCCACCTCCTCTCACAGCCCAGGTCACCATCCACCCCCTCCCCCAGCCCAGATCACCCTCCATCCCCTCCCCCAGCCCAGATCACCCTCCACCCCCTCCTTCAGCCCAGATCACCCTCCACCCCCTCCCCCAGCCCAGATCACCCTCCACCCCCTCCCCCAGCCCAGGTCGTCATCCACCTCCTCTCACAGCCCAGGTCACCATCCACCCCCTCCCCCAGCCCAGATCACCCTCCACCCCCTCCTTCAGCCCAGATCACCCTCCACCCCCTCCCCCAGCCCAGATCACCCTCCACCCCCTCCCTGAGCCCAGATCACCCTCCACCCCCTCCCCCATCCCAGATCACCCTCTACCCCCTCTCCCAGCCCAGGTCGTCATCCACCTCCTCTCACAGCCCAGGTCACCATCCACCCCCTCCCCGAGCCCAGATCACCCTCCACCCCCTCCCCCAGCCCAGATCACCCTCCATCCCCTCCCCCAGCCCAGATCACCCTCCACCCCCTCCCCCAGCCCAGATCACCCTCCACCCCCTCCCCCAGCCCAGATCACCCTCCACCCCCTCTCCCAGCCCAGGTCGTCATCCACCTCCTGTCACAGCCCAGGTCACCATCCACCCCCTCCCCCAGCCCAGATGACCCTCCACCCCCTCCCCCAGCTCTGCCCTGCCGCAGAGGTCAGCTCTGAGGCTGTGGTTTCTGCCCTGTTTCATGATATCAACAAAGCGGAGAGCAGCACCCCCAGCCCAGCCCCAGCACGTGGGCTTTCGCAGGTGCCCTGGAACTCATGTGAACAGTATGGAGGTTCCTCAGGCTGACAAAACAGTGTACCACAGACGGGGTGGCCGAAAACAACCGGAACTCCTTTTGCAGTTCTGGGGGTCTGACGTCCAAAATCAGAGTGTTGGCGGGGCCGTGCTCCCTCCGAAGGCTGCGGGGAGGCTCCTTCCTGCTTCCTCCCAGGTTCTGGTGGGGGCCAGCAATCTTCCCCGGGCCGGGGTTTGCAGCCGCCTTGCTCTAGCCTCTGCCTCTGTTGTGGCTTTCTTCTCTGTGTCCAAATTTCCTTCTTCCTATGAGAATACCAGTCATTGGATTTAGGGCCCATCTGAATTGAATATGACCTCATCTCAACTAATTACATCTGTAAAAACCCTAGCTCCAAATTATGTCAGATCACAGGTACCAGGGTTAGGACTTGAACATATCTTTTTTTGGGAGGAAGGGGGCACAGTTCCACCCTCCACTGATGGATTCTGGGCGCTGGTGACCTTGACCTTAAACTCAACTGTGGTTCAGATCCAGCCTTGGCCCTAAGAAGTCTGGAAGGGGAGGCCACCTGTGGTGCACAGCATCTTAGGGCGGGCACCCGGGTGTTTGTGGAGCACCTAGGACTCACCAGTCTCTGGCTGCTGCCTCTAAAGCCCTTCTGAGCGCACAGCCGCGAATGGAGCCTCAACCCCCTGAGATCACACAGGCCTGAGACGCAGGGAGTTTTGGGAGCCAGAACCCTGGTTCCTTAGTCCCTACAACCCGAAACCTTGAGAGACGCTGAAACTTCCAGCCACAGTGGCCCCAACTCCAGACATTTAGAAGCCGTGTCCTAAGGCTTAGCCTTATCATAAGGTGCAGAGACCCAGGGTCCACGGCATAAGGACCGGAGACCACAGAAACTTAGGTGTTGAGACTCAGGACTTTGGGGCCTTGAGGCCACACCTCCAGAGTCAGAAACCTTCTTTCCGAGGCCTCAGCACCTTGGCGTTAGAGGGAAAAGTACAGAATGCTGAACTGGCCAAGCATCTCCCATGTGGCCTGGCCTCCTCGTTCCTGAGTCTGTGGCTCCTCCCACGGCATCAGAAGGCCCATAGGTGGTTTCCAACAGGGGTCCTCCCCAATGTGGGCATGCCAGCCTCCACCTCCCTGGCCTGGCTGCCGCTGCTGGCCGATCTTAACACAATGGGCCCCACATGTCCACCTGACCCCAAAAGCTCCTTGAGCGAGTTGGGAGTGCCTCACCCACAGGTAAAGGGGCTGTCTTATCCCCACAGGTGAAGGTTGAGGGCTGGTGAAATAGGCAGAATCTCTCCTTCCCTGTTAGAAGAGGGGAAATAGGCAGATCCTAAAAGCAAACACTTGTACCATGTTTATTTGGCTTTATTTTCATACGCGTATTCAGCAATTATTTACTAAGAGCCTACTATGTGCTGAGTGCTATTCTAGGTCCTGGGAATATTTGAGTTAACAAAACAGACAGAAACCCTGTACTCTTGGAACTTATATTCTAGCGGAGGAAGCAGAAATTAAACAACACATAATAAGTGTTACAATATGGAGGAAAGTGATGAGTGAGGTGGAGAGGTGGAGACATTGTATAGGTTGTAAGGGGCCTGGGGACAGGAGCATGTGTGTTCAGGGGAGGCCTCTGTGATTCAACAAAACATTTGAGTGTAAACTTGGAGGAGTTGAGAGAGGTCAGTGTCTGAGTGTGCACCAAGCAGCAAGGCCAGCCTGTGCAAAGGTCCTGTGGCAGCTGGGTGCAGGAAGAACAGGGGCCAGGAGACTTGAGCGGAGTGATGGGGGCAGGAGCAGAAGGCGCCACGGTCAGAGGGATCATGTAGGTGGACTCTGCTTCTTCCTCTGAGGGTAGTGGGGAGCCATAGCAGGGTTTTGAGCAGAGGGCTGACATGATCCCATGGTGCTTCTAAAAGGATGGATCTGGGGCCAGGGTGGAAGCAGGGAGCATGCCGAGGAGGAGTCAGAGGCGACTGTGGTGGTCTAGAGGAGAAGCCACAGGGCCTCAGGTGGCGACCGTAGGTGACAGGCTGCAGATTCAGCATCTGCTTGAAGTTAGAGCCAATAAACAGGATTTGTAGTTGGTTTGAATGTGGCATGTGCGAGAAAGAGAAGAGTCAGGAACACACCGAACGTTTGGCCTGGGCCACTTGGACGATGAACCGGAGGAGGCGACCCAGGCAGGCAGACCTGTTGGGCTGTGGTTGCAACACCCAGGTGGCCTGATCCAGGGCGGGGAGCAGAGGGAGGGCGGGGAGGGATATAGGACTGGACCATTGCTGCGGGTGGCAAGAGGGAGGGATTGGGGGAGGCCCAGACTTGCAAGATGGGCTGGCTGTCTCTTCTCCCAGGAGGTCAGGACTGGGTTGTGGGAGGCAGATGGAGACCTCAGGGCCAACCTGGTGAGGGTGAGAGTCTCTGGGACATGCCTGCAGAGGCACCCTTGCAACAGATACTTGGGACTTGGCAGTAAGGGCCAGACCTGAGGAGCAAGTACAGAAGTCACAGGCTCTGGCTGGTGTTTGAGGTTCTGAGGTTGGGGACATCCAGAGGGAAAGCCGGGGGAGAGGAGCCAGGGTTGATGGGGGAGAGCCGGGTCTGGAGGGGGCTGCTGGATTCACAGCCCAAGATGTGGGAGGGCATCCTGGGAAGAGCATGAGGCCTCCTGGAGGGAGGAATTTGGGTGATTTTGAATCACAGCTGCCCTCCATGAGTGGAAGAAGGCCTGGGGCGCGGCAGCAGGTCCTGTGGATGGAGCGGGGCCGAGGGGAAGCACCAGGGCTGGACTCCTTGGCTTCTGTTCAGAAGCTGGGCGCTGAAGGCAGAACAGGGCGGGATGGAGGCCAGGATGGGGGCTGCAGGGAGGCCAGAGGAGGAGGCAAGGGCCTAAACGCTTCTCTAAGTGGCATTGCTCAGGATGTTGTGGCCCTGGGCCAGTCACTCACCTGTCAGGCTGCCCTTTTGTCAGGGTTGAGGCAGACCCAACCCTCCTGGGTTGCTGGGGGCTGGATACGTCGGGAAGTACAGGACTCCAGAGAGGCCCAGGGATGGCCAGCTGCTTTTCCTGGTCAGAGCTGTCATCCCTGGGGCCACAGGCAGCATCCCCACTGGCCCTGAGAGTAGAGGGATGGGGGACAGGTGCTCACCTGCCCAGGCCCACCCCTCACACCTGCACAGTTCCTCAGGCCAGAGCCAAATGCCTCGAAGCTGCTTTCTTTCCTTTGTCTTTTCTTTTTTTTCCTTCCTTCTCTCCCTCTTTCATTCCTTTCCTTTCATTTCTTCCCCCTTCCTTCCTTCCTCCCTGTCTTCTCTTCTTTTCCCTTCCCTTTTGGTTGAGCTTAAAGCCAATGAAAGAGGTCAGACTGGGGGTTGGAGGGATGGGGATAAAGGAAGGAGGTAGGGAGGGGAGGGGAGGGGAGGGAAGAAAAGAACCTTATTTCCCAGCAGAGCTGAGCATCAGTAAGCCTCTGATGTCGCACAGTGAGTTGGAGGGACACAAGCACTCGGCCCTATGCCCCACCCACCCCAGGAGCTGTGGGTGGCTTTCAGCACCGCCCCTGCCATGGCACCTCGCAGTGGCGTCCGCAGCATCAGGGGCTACAGGTAGCTTCACTAGGGATTGGGGCTTCAATATATGAATTTTAGGGGACACAATTCTACCCATAGGGTCATCATTGAGTATTTGTGAGTGTTGGGGTACAAGCTGGGGTGCTGTAGGATCGTTCCAATCAACTCAGATGCCTGGGACACTGCTGAGGGGCTGCCTCTGCAGCTGGCCTTTCCTGAGCCCTCGGGAGGGACTGAGCCTGCTCCTTTGTCCCCAGCATGACCCTGAGCAGCCTTGTTGGGGTGATGAGGGGTGGAATCCAGGCCTGGAGTTGGGGCTTGAGTGCAGGGGCCATGCTTCCTTTGAGCCCCTGTTCCTGGCATACAAGGGGGTGCACCCTAGTTTTAATGCCAGCTGTGCCAGGCATCCCTTAGCAGTGGCCACCAGGGGCAATTGTACGTGCAGTGTCGTGGGGAAACCCCGGGACATGGAGATAGGACCTGTGTCCTTCCTGGAGAAACCACTAAGCCATTGTGAATGTCAAGTCTGCAGGGTTAGCCCCATTTCCCATTGCAGAAACTGAGGCTCACCCTAGGTCATGGCAGCCTGCTGCAGGACTAAGGTTTCCTTCACCTTCAGCCGGGCTGTCTCTGAGCCTGGCTCACCTCCTCACCCCACTGTGCTGAGATACATCCGGGGCTGGCTCTCCCAGCACAGAGAAGAAGCCATGTCACCTTTACTGACAAGTACTTTTCTTATAGAAGCAGGTCCCAAAAGGACCCCGTGTGCTCAGTTCTGGGGGCTGGAAGTCCTAGATCAAGGTATGGGCAGAGTTGGTTCCTTCCGAGGCTGTGAAAGCAGTTGCATCCTCCTTGTAACTCCCTGCAGGGAGGTTACTGGGTTGCTGAGGGGAAGGGTGCCTAGGCCCTGGTGTCTGAGAGTGGATCATGTCATCCTGAGCATCCCCTGCCTGTGTGAGCTGACTTCTGCCTCCGTGCCTTGCCTTGTGTGTAAAGAGAGGATCCTACTAGTGCCTGACAAGGGTCACAAGTTAGAACATCCGGCTAAGTCCCTGGCACATGGTAAACCCTCAATATAGTGTCCATTTTCCAGATGGGAACACTGAGGCTTAGGGAAGTTCAGAGCCAGGGTTGACCTGAATTTACACTTCCGATGAAGCCAGTATGTGCACTTGGATCATAGTAGATCCATCATTTCTATTTGGATTTTTCTTCTATTCTGGAAAGGGTTCTGTTTTGCAGGGAGAGATAGATATGCAACTCACAAATAAGTCCATCCATGCATTGGGACTGTGGACCTCAAAACTTGGCTGCCAGAGCACGGGGGTCCTCCAGGCTCAGCAGCCATGGGGACAGGCTCGGGGCAGGACCCCGAGGAGGCTGCTGCTCTTGGAAGACGGAGCCGGGCATTTCGAAACTGGAATTATGAAACAAACTACGACCCAGGATGGAACGGAGCCTGTGCATCCCAGGATGTCCCACAGATGGGAGCATTCTGCATGTGCGTTTTGGGTTACTGAGAGAAGTGAAACACTGCAGATACGGCAGAGGTGTTTCTCCCCTCCCTCCGCCCCTAGATGTGGCCTTCACACGCAGGCTGATGCGCTCCCTTCCCATCCACGCCTGCTCGGTTTTGCCACATATGCCGCTGTGCTGCCGGCCTTGAATGTGTATGAGCGGCTCGTGCTGGGGTCAGCGGAGGCTCGCTCTTCTTCACCCTGTGTTACGTCCAGGAAACACATCCCTGTACGTAGGCGAGAGTCCACTGTGGGAAGAACCAGCAGTGTGGCTGCTTTCTTTCTGAGGCACAGTTGTGTTTCGTGCCCCCCACTGTCCTGCTGCTCCGGGCCCTGTGGCGTGCAAGCAAGCAGGGAGAGTGGCCGGAGTGTGGCGCCTGGAGGTGGAACTGCGGCGCAGGGCAAGGGGCATCTCCCACGTCACCCAGTGTGGCCAAGGCGTGCTTAGGGCCCTGCGCCGGCCAGGCACAGAGAGAGATGCTGGACTCTAGGTTCCTGTAGTCCAAGGAAGGGTTTTGCCTGCCTGTCTTCCTCCCTTCCTTCCTCTTCATTCCCTCCCTCCTTCATTCCTTCTCTTCTCCCCTCCCTCGTCTCCTTCCCTCCCTCTCTCCCTTCCTTCTTCCATGTCTCCCTTCCTTTCCTTTCCATCTCCCTCCCTCCCTTCCTCTCTTCCTTCCTTCCTTCCTCCCTCCCTTTCTCTACCCTCCCTTGCTTCCTTCCTCTCCTTTCCCTCTCTTCCTCTATCCCTTCCTTCCTTCCTTCCTTCCTTCCTTATTTCTTGCCTGCCTTCCTGACTTCCTCCGTCCCTGCCTTCCTCCTTCCCTTCCTTCCTCTCTCTGCCTTCCTCTCCCCTCCCTTCTTCCTCCCTCCCTTCCGTACTTCCTCTCCCCTCCCTCCCTCTTTTCCTTTCTCTCCCCTCCATCCCGCCCTCCCTCCCTTCCTCTTTTCCCTCCCTCCCTCCCTCCCTTTCTCTCTTTTCCCTCTCTTCCTCCCTCCCTCCCTCCCTTCCTCCCTCTCTTCCTCCCTCCCTCCCTCCCTCCCTCCCTCCCTCCCTGCCTCCCTCCCTCCCTCCCTCCCTCCCTCTTTTCCCTCTCTCCCTCCCTTCCTGTCTTTTCCCTCTCTCCCTCCCTTCCTCTTTTCCCTCTCTTCCTCCCTCCCTCCCTCCCTTCCTCCCTCTCTTCCTCCCTCCCTCCCTCCCTCCCTCCCTCCCTTCCTCCCTCCCTCCCTCCCTTCCTCCCTCCCTTCCTCCCTCCCTTCCTCCCTCCCTCCCTCCCTCCCTTCCTCTTTTCCCTCTCTCCCTCCCTTCCTCTTTTCCCTCTCTTCCTCCCTCCCTCCCTCCCTCCCTTCCTCCCTCTCTTCCTCCCTCCCTCCCTCCCTCCCTCCCTCCCTCCCTCCCTCCCTCCCTCCCTCCCTTCCTCCCTCCCTTCCTCCCTCCCTTCCTCCCCTTTCTTCCCTTCTCTCTTCCTTCCCTTCTCCCTTCCTTCTTCCCTCCTTTCCTTCCTTCCTTTCTCTCCCCTCCCTCCCTCCCTCCCAGCACCTTCACAATAGCCCAGGATGGAACGTACAGACTGACCAGGAAACAAACCCTTGCTTTTCTTCCCACCTATGGGTGAATTTGGGCAAGTTACCACGTGACGTTGTGCCTCTGGTCTCCCTGCCTGTGAGATGGGGATGACACTTCCTGCCTGACAGGGCTTCTGCGACCCAGCACCAGGTTCAGGATGCACCTGGCCCTTGGTAGATGCTGGGGGCTGCCATGTGTTTGTTCATGGATTCACGTTGGGTGGGCTTGGCTCTGTGCAAGGTCCTCCGGAGCCCCCACATCCTCCTCTTCCATGTTGGCCCTGGAGGGAAGCGGCTTCTCAGAAGACAGAGTCTGTGCTGTCTCCAGCCATCTTTGGCCTCGGAAATCGCTCCAGTGTTCCCGGAATCCAATGGCATCCCCACTAGCCAGACATTTCTTCATGCCTAGGGTTCCCAGGAGCCACCCCGCCCTCCCAGAGAGGTTCATGAGGAAGGTACTTGGGGCTGGCGGGAGAGGTGGGAGCTGGGGAGACATCTGGAAAATTCTCGATCCTTGAAATTAGTTAAACAAATAATGTTTGCTTTCCTGCTTACCCTCCAACAACCTGAAGAATGGGGCCCCTGGGACACGTGGGGCTGGGCGTTTTCCTGTGTCTTGTCAGGGTTTCTCCAGAAAGGAGGGTCCCAGGATGGATGTGGGCAAGGCCCTTGGTGCCTTCGGGACCTGGGCTCTGCAGACTGCATGTGGCTTCAGGCAGGCAGCCCCCAGTGCCTCAGCCTCAGTGTCCTCATCTGTGTCTGGGGTACTTTCTGGCAGGGTCTTTAAGGACCCCCTGTCTGTGACTCATGAGCTCTGCCTGGTGGTGACAGGCTCTCTGGAGTGACACGGTGTGTGACCCTCTAGGCTGTGGGAGGAATTAAAGGAGCCAGGGAAATCATCACTTGGCTGCCAAGCTGGAGGGGGCAGCTGCAGCCCCTACACCTGCTCTCCAGCCCTTTCTTGGGCCCCCAGGTCCTCCAGAAGTTGTCAACCATCACGGTTGAGTGTCAGGCGAGGCCCCATCATCTTTGTGTCTGCTCAGCAGCTTCTGGGTAACTGTGACCCACATGCCAATGCCCCCATTCCAGGTCAGGCTCCCAACCTTGCCCCGCAGGACTCACCACAGCTGTAGGTGCTGTGTGTAAGGATGCATCCGTGCCTTCTCTCACACACATATGTTCCCCAGCTGTCCAGGGCTCTCCTGCCCTGAGCTCCAGCACCTGTATGAGGCCTGGCACATGGGACATGTACATCCGCAGCAGACTGAATGAATCTGAGTGAGTGAATGAGGGAGTGAGTGCATGAATGAGTGACTGAATGAATGAGTGAGAGAGTGAGTGAGTAAATGAGAGAGTGAATGAGGGAATGAATGAATGAGGGAAGGAATGAGGAATGAGTGTGTGAATGAGTGAGTGAATGAGTGAATGGATGGGAGAGTGAGTGAACGCATGAGTGACTGAGTGGGTGAATGAGTGAGGGAGTGAATGAATGAATGAGGAAGTGAGGGAATGAGTGAGTAAATGAGTGAGTGGATGGGAGAGTGAGTGAATGCATGAGTGACTGAGTGGGTGAATGAGGGAGTGAATGAATGAGGAAGTGAGGGAATGAGTGAGTGAATGAGTGAGTGAATAAGTGAATGGATGGGAGAGTGAGTGAATGCATGAGTGACTGAGTGAGTGAATGAGTGAGTGAATGAACGAATGAGTGAGTGAGGGAGTGAAAGAATGAGTGAGTGAATCAGCAAGCAAGTGAATAAATGCGTGAATGAATGCATGATGGAGTGAGTGAGTGAATGAATGAATAAATGAGTAAGTGAATGAATGAAGTGGCCTGGGGCCTGGGCCTAGGTCTTCAGCAGCAGCAGCAGCAGCGGCAGTGGGGCCTGGTCTCTGGGAGCCCCTGCCACACCCCAGCTGGGAGCCCCGAGGCCAAGCCACTGCCCTCCCTTGGCCTCAGTTTCCCATCAAGGGATGAGAAATGGTTTCCAGATTCCACCCTCTTAGCAGCTGGCAGATATCCACGAGGCACACCTCTTTGTCAGCCCAGTGCTGGGTGCTGGGAATACCCAGCTCTCAGACCTGTCCCTACTCCTGAAGAGTGTTCAGTGGTGACATGGGGGACCAGCCTTCCACACACCTGACATGCCCCCACTGGGCCATTCACGTGCTGTGGGCACACAGGGCAGGGCAAGCCTTAGTGGCATGCAGTCTGCCCATGGGCACAGGTGGGGTTGAGACCCTCAACTGCCACCATAGGGATTCTGGGCTTTGCCACTGGGGTGGTGGGGGGGCTATAGAAGTGTTCAGAGCAGGAGTGTGCCAGGCTGGTTTTGTGAGTCCCAGACCCCACTGGTGCAGGATTGCAGAGGAGTGAGGGCCAGACTGAAGCGGGGAGCTCAGAGAGGATGCTGAAGCCCCTCCAGGCTTCTCAGGGCCAAGGCTGGGTCTGAACATTCCCTGACACCTGGCAGGCAGCACCTTCCTCCTCCCAGGACAGGAGCGAGATCCCCTGAGGTGCTTGCGCGAGTGCACATTTGGCCAAGGCAGGAAGTGCCCTTCACAGTGTGACCCAGGCCCTATTCTGTGCCTTCTCTCCCCAGCTGCCCGGCTCCTCCTGCTCTGCACAGCCTTCCCCTCACCACCATGAATGTTCCTCCTTGTGCCACACACCCGATACCACTGACCCACAGCTCCCACTCTGCCTTCCAGATGGAAGGCTCTTCTTTTTTTTTTTTTGAGATGGAGACTTGCTCTGTCACCCAGGCTGGAGTGCAGTGGCACGATCTTGGCTCACTGCAACCTCTGCCTCCTATGTTCAGGCAATTCGCCTGCCTCAGCCTCCTGAGTGGCTGGGATTACAGGCATATGCCACCATGCCTGGGTAATTTTTGTATTTTTTAGTAGAGACAGAGTTTCACCACATTGGCCAGGCTGGTCTCTAACTCCTGACCTCAGGTGATCCACCTGCCTTGGCCTCCCAAAGTGCTGGGATTACAGGCATGAGCCACTGTGCTCGGCCTGGAAGGTTCTTCTGTTCCCCCTCTTTTCTGCTGGCCAAAGTCTATGATGCTTTTCCGTTTTCACCTCAAACACACATCACCCCCAACTGCATGCAGTTTTCCGGGAGCCCTGCCCCAGCCTTCTGTAAGCTATGTGCTCTCCTGCTGACTCCTGGACCAGAGGATCTGGACCCACGAGGGCACGGGCAATGTCCGGGCCTCTCTCTAGCCACATGCCCAGCAGCTGGCTTACCACTCTGTGCCTCAGTTTCTGCCTCTGTAGAATATGTCAGTAAAAGGACTCAGCTCCTAGGATTGCCGGAAAGATGAGGTGAGCAGCGTCCAGCAGAGCGTAAGAGCTTGGACGTGTTAGTGTCAGGCGCCATGTTGGGGTCAGGCTCCGTGTTGGGGTCAGGTGCTGTGTTGGGGTCAGGTGCTGTGTTGGGGTCAGGTGCCGTGTTGGGGTCAGGCGCTGTGTTGGGGTCAGGTGCTGTGTTGAGGTCAGGAGCTGTGTGTTGGGGTCAGGTGCTGTGTGTTGGGGTCAGGTGCTGTGTGTTGGGGTCAGGCTCCGTGTTGGGGTCAGGCGCCGTGTTGGGGTCAGGCTCCATGTTGGGGTCAGGTGCTGTGTGTTGGGGTCAGGAGCTGTGTGTTGGGGTCACGTGCTGTGTTGGGGTCAGGCACTGTGTTGGGTTCAGGAGCTGTGTGTTGGGGTCAGGTGCTGTGTGTTGGGGTCAGGTGCTGTGTTGGGGTCAGGCTCTGTGTTGGGGTCAGGCTCCGTGTTGGGGTCAGGCGCTGTGTTGGGGTTAGGAGCTGTGTGTTGGGGTCAGGTGCTGTGTTGGGGTCAGGCACTGTGTTGGGGTCAGGAGCTGTGTGTTGGGGTCAGGTGCTGTGTGTTGGGGTCAGGCACTGTGTTGGGGTCAGGCACTGTGCTGGGGTCAGGAGCTGTGTGTTGGGGTCAGGCACTGTGTTGGGGTCAGGAGCTGTGTGTTGGGGTCAGGAGCTGTGTGTTGGGGTCAGGTGCTGTGTTGGGGTCAGGCTCCGTGTTGGGGTCAGGCTCCGTCTTGGGGTCAGGCTCCATGTTAGTGTCATGCGCCACGTTAGGGTCAGGCACTGTGTTGGGGTCAGGTGCTGTGTGTTGGGGTCAGCTGCTGTGTTGGGGTCAGGCACTGTGTTGGGGTCAGGAGCTGTGTGTTGGGGTCAGGTGCTGTGTTGGGGTCAGGCACTGTGTTGGGGTCAGGAGCTGTGTGTTGGGTTCAGGTGCTGTGTTGGGGTCAGGCACTGTGTTGGGGTCAGGCACTGTGTTGGGGTCAGGAGCTGTGTGTTGGGGTCAGGAGCTGTGTGTTGGGGTCAGGTGCTGTGTGTTGGGGTCAGGAGCTGTGTGTTAGGGTCAGGTGCTGTGTTGGGGCCAGGCACTGTGTTGGGGTCAGGAGCTGTGTGTTGGGGTCAGGTGCTGTGTGTTGGGGTCAGGAGGTGTGTGTTGGGTTCAGGTGCTGTGTTGGGGTCAGGCACTGTGTTGGGGTCAGGAGCTGTGTGTTGGGGTCAGGTGCTGTGTGTTGGGGTCAGGTGCTGTGTGTTGGGGTCAGGAGCTCTGTGTTAGGGTCAGGTGCTGTGTTGGGGCCAGGCACTGTGTTGGGGTCAGGAGCTGTGTGTTGGGGTCAGGTGCTGTGTGTTGGGGTCAGGTGCTGTGTTGGGGTCAGGCACTGTGTTGGGGTCAGGAGCTGTGTGTTGGGGTCAGGTGCTGTGTGTTGGGGTCAGGCGCTGTGTTGGGGTCAGGTGCTGTGTGTTGGGGTCAGGTGCTGTGTGTTGGGGTCAGGTGCTGTGTGTTGGGGTCAGGCTCTGTGTTGGGGTCAGGCTCCGTGTTGGGGTCAGGCGCTGTGTTGGGGTTAGGAGCTGTGTGTTGGGGTCAGGTGCTGTGTTGGGGTCAGGCACTGTGTTGGGGTCAGGAGCTGTGTGTTGGGGTCAGGTGCTGTGTGTTGGGGTCAGGTGCTGTGTTGGGGTCAGGCTCCGTGTTGGAGTCAGGCTCCGTGTTAGTGTAATGCGCCACGTTAGGGTCAGGCAGTGTGTTGGGGTCAGGTGCTGTGTGTTGGGGTCAGATGCTGTGTTGGGGTCAGCTGCTGTGTTGGGGTCAGGCACTGTGTTGGGGTCAGGAGCTGTGTGTTGGGGTCAGGTGCTGTGTTGGGGTCAGGCACTGTGTGTTGGGGTCAGGTGCTGTGTGTTGGGGTCAGGCACTGTGTTGGGGTCAGGCTCTGTGTTGGGGTCAGGCTCCGTGTTGGGGTCAGGCGCTATGTTGGGGTCAGGAGCTGTGTGTTGGGGTCAGGTGCTGTGTTGGGGTCAGGCACTGTGTTGGGGTCAGTGCTGTGTGTTGGGGTCTGGTGCTGTGTTGGGGTCAGGCACTGTGTTGGGGTCTGGTGCTGTGTGTTGGGGTCAGGTGCTGTGTTGGGGTCAGGTGCTGTGTGTTGGGGTCAGGTGCTGTGTTGGGGTCAGGCACTGTGTTGGGGTCAGGTGCTGTGTGTTGGGGTCAGGAGCTGTGTGTTGGGGTCAGGTGCTGTATTGGGGTCAGGCTCCGTGTTAGTGTCATGCGCCACGTTAGGGTCAGGCAGTGTGTTGGGGTCAGGTGCTGTGTGTTGGGGTCAGATGCTGTGTTGGGGTCAGCTGCTGTGTTGGGGTCAGGCACTGTGTTGGGGTCAGGAGCTGTGTGTTGGGGTCAGGTGCTGTGTTGCGGTCAGGCACTGTGTGTTGGGGTCAGGTGCTGTGTGTTGGGGTCAGGCACTGTGTTGGGGTCAGGCTCTGTGTTGGGGTCAGGCTCCGTGTTGGGGTCAGGCGCTGTGTTGGGGTCAGGCACTGTGTGTTGGGGTCAGGTGCTGTGTGTTGGGGTCAGGCACTGTGTTGGGGTCAGGCTCTGTGTTGGGGTCAGGCTCCGTGTTGGGGTCAGGCGCTATGTTGGGGTCAGGAGCTGTGTGTTGGGGTCAGGTGCTGTGTTGGGGTCAGGCACTGTGTTGGGGTCAGTGCTGTGTGTTGGGGTCAGGAGCTGTGTGTTGGGGTCAGGTGCTGTATTGGGGTCAGGCTCCGTGTTGGGGTCAGGCTCCGTGTTGGGGTCAGCCTCCGTGTTAGTGTCATGCGCCACGTTAGGGTCAGGCACTGTGTTGGGGTCAGGAGCTGTGTGTTGGGGTCAGGTGCTGTGTGTTGGGGTCAGGCTCTGTGTTGGGGTCAGGCGCCGTGTTGGGGTCAGGCTTCGTGTTGGGGTCAGGCTCCGTGTTGGGGTCAGGTGCTGTGTTTGGGTCAGGAGCTTTGTTGGGGTCAGGCACCATCTTGGGGTCAGGCTCCGTCTTGGGGTCAGGCTCCGTGTTAGTGTCATGAGCCACTTTAGGGTCAGACGCAGTGTTAGGGTCAGGCTCTGTGTTGGGGTCATGCTCTGTACTGGGTTCAGATTCTGTGTTAGCGTCACATGCTGTGCTGGTATCAGGCGCCGGGTTAGCATCAGATGCTGTGTTAGTCCACTCAGGCTGCCAAAACAAAATACCTGGGACTAGGGGCTTAAACAAGAGTAATTCCTTTTCTCACAGTTCTGGAGGCTGAAAGCTTGAGACCAAGGTGTAGGCAGGGTTGGTTTCTCCTGAGGCCTCCCTCCCCGGCTTGCAGATGGCCGCTATCTCCCTGTGTCCTCACGTGGTCGTCCCTCTATGTGTCTGTTTCCTGATCTCCTCTTCTTATAAGGACATCAGTCCAGTTGGACTAGGGGGCCACCCAAATGTCCTCATTTGACCTTAGTTACTTTAAATGTCCTAGTTCCAATGACAGTCACATCAGGTATTGGGCTTCAACACAGGCATTTCAGGTGGACACAATTCTGCCCATGACAGGAGCTCACTGGTGTTTGTGATGTGAATGAATGAATGAATGAATGAATGAAATTATGCGAATGAGGCATTTCCCTTCTGCTGAGGGAAATCACAGCCACCAAAGAGTTGGTCTCTGTTTCACATTCAGGACAAGCTGCCCATCCACCTTTACATGCATTTTTTTCCTCTGTTTCCCACCCATAAGCCTGAAGGGTGAGAGGGGGGGGGCCTCCTTTTGAGGACAGAAACATAAAATGGTCCGGGCACTGTTGTCCCTCCCCACCTGAGGACAACAATGGTGTTTGGAGCTTGGGGGATGCTTGGAGAAGAAGGTGGCTTCTGTGACCAGCAGCTCTGTCCCCACCTGGGAGAGAGGGTAACGCAGGAAGGGGCTGTCAAGAGCAAACCCTTGGATTTTTGCTCTGGGCACAGAGGAGATCTGAACAGAGGGAACTGCTGCTCAGTGGCTTTGAGCCAGACCTTGGGTGCCTGCTGCTTGTCCCCCTGTGGCAGGGGTAGGGGGGTGGAGGGTCATCTCTCGACGATCAGTGTGGAGGGAAGGATCACAGGCTTTGGGGCCTGCAGAATTCCACCCCACCCCACCCTACCCTGGCATTTAGAAGTGGTTGGCCCTGGGCAAGGCTTCACTGCTCCACGCTCCATTTCACCCCTGGTTGGGTGCACGCAGCCACCTCCAGGGTTGTGGTGAGGGGTGAGTCGACGAGGTCAGGGTGAAGGCCGAGCCTGACACTGGGCATGGTGCTGGCAGAGACCTTTCTGTCCATCCCTGCTCCTTGACATTCCAGAATTCCTCAGGACCCAGCACACAGTAGGTGTCAAAAATGCATGTTGATTGACTGACATCAGTCAACCAGAGTGAACAGCACACGACAGCCCCCGGACAGATTCCCCGCCACCAGTTAGCTTTTCCCAAGGCATATTCTGTCTTCCCAGCCGCCATGCACTGGACCTGAATCCCAGCCTGTCATCTCCATGTAGATGGCCTCAGTGCTGGGTGAGGTGACTTTATCCCTGAAAGGACATGCAGCCAGGCCTGGAGGCAGAGGCCAGGACTGCAGGTGGGGAGGGACAACAGCACCTGGGCCCCGAGTGGCTTTTGGCCAGGGAGCCGCGTGCCCCAGTGAACATCGCAAGCTGGCAGGTGTGAGCTGCAGCCAGAGGGCCTGGCTCACACCAGGGAGCGTGCCCCAGTGAACACTGCAAGCTGACAGGTGTGAGCCGCAGCCAGAGGGCCTGGTTCACACCAGGGAGCGTGCCCCAGTGAACATCACAAAGCTGACAGGTGTGAGCTGCGGTCAGAGGGCCTGGTTCACACCAGGGAGTGTGCCCTAGTGAGCATTGCAAGCTGACAGGTATAAGCCGTGGCCAGAGGGCCTGGTTCACACCAGGGAGCATGCCCCAGTGAACACTGCAAGCTGACAGGTGTGAGCTGTGGCCAGAGGGCCTGGTTCACACCAGGAACAGCATCAGGGGTGTTTTCCTTTTGTGTCTCTGCCTGAGCTGCTCTGCTTCATGGCCTCTGGGGAAGAGGCCAGAAAGGGAAACTGGAAGGCCCTGGGGGTTTTAGTTTTTTGAGCTGACACAGCTGCCTGTTGGGCCTCTGGAGAGGTCAGGAGGGCTGCAGGGCGGGGGTGTCCACACCACTAGCCCGAGAGGCTGCGGGGCAGGGACGTCCACACTGTTAGCCCGAGAGGCCGTAGGGCAGGGGCATTTGGTCTGCAGCTCCTGGGATGTCCTGGTTACCCCAAAACAAAACTGCCCATTGACCTGGTTGAGTGGGTGCCCAACTCCCCTCAGGGGTGCCATAGGTGACACAGTACTTCTGCGAAAAGTTTGAGGGAGGGAAGGGTCTTCCGGAAAGAGGGAAGATCTTGTGGGCAGCACCGAGGCCTGGGAAGGCATTGCTGAGTCCTCCTGTGGGGCGGGGGGAGGCGGGGCTGGCAGGGAAGTTTGACGCCAGAGGCTGGCACAGGCTGTAGGTTGGAGGCAGGGAGACGGTACTCACTACTGTAGGTACTAGGGAGACACTGAGGGTTGTTGAGCAGGGGGAGGGCTGTGCCTCAGCGGAGCAGGGCTGGGTGCAGGTCTGGTCTTGCGTGTTAATGCTAGTAGTTTTCCAGCTGTGCTCCCCTGAGTCCTTTGGGGGCCCCTGAGCAAAGAAGGATGTGGGGAAACCGTGGAGAATTCCCCCATGGTCCCCATTCCCCAAACCAAGCAGCCTGACATTCATGCTTCACTCCTACATAGCCCTTTCAGGTTAGACTTCATTTTGGACAAAACTTCCTGCTGCTTAAAACTTGTTAAACACCTTTGCCTAATGAGATTGATGTGGGATGATCTCGCTTTCATTTATTTGCTCATCAAACTTGACCTGAGTGTCCTTTCTCTAGGGCCTAGGCTGGACAGGAGACTCAGGTGACCGAGACAAGGTCCCAGCCAGGAGGAGCCCACTGTCCTGTGGGACAGCCTGGGGCTCAGGCCACCCCAAGGGGGTCCCGGGCACCATAGCGGGAGCAGTGGTGGTGTCCCCAGGGGTCAGGGGAGTCTTCTTGGTGGAGGCAATGCTTAATGGAGCCCTAAGGAATGAGCAGAAGTTGGCCTTTGGGACCAGGAGAAAAGGGTATAACTGGCTGTGGGACCATGTGTGCAAAGGCTTCTCTGCTGGCTGCGGGGACTGGGCTTGGGCCTGGTGGAGTGTGGGGGCCGGCAGGGGGTGCATGGAGGGGTCAGAGAGAAGCCTGCTGGGCTCCTAAGGCGCGTGGCAAAGGCCACGTCCTCCCCGATATTGCTCCCCTGGGCTGGGGGCACACTCTTCTGTGTGCGCAAAGGTGTGGCCCTGAGGGGTGCAGTGAAGACCGTGTGGCTTTGGACTCACCCAGCCACACAGAGCTCAGATCCGAGCCCTCCCTGCCCCACCATGGGACGCTGGCGAGTCTCTCCACCCTTCTCCGAGTCTCTGTTTCCTCAACTATAGAAGAGGGAGGATCCTTTGCACCCCTAAGTATTGCTATGGAGAAGGCATCTCTCCCAACCCCAAGCATATGGCAGGCCTTGTACTAGGGAGACATGAGGTGGGGGTCAGGCACAGAAAGGCGGTGGTGTTGAGGCTGCAGGCTTGAGCCCAGCTGCTGAGTTTGAGCCCCTGTCTGGCTCAGTTTCCTTATCTGTAAAATGGGCTTTACCATTCAGTTCCTCTCTCCCAGGTGGACGTGAGAGTTGAATAAGGTGACACCCATGATGGCCGGGCCCCATGGTGGTTAGTGAAGCCCATGATGATGATGCCACGATGCCTGGCCCCGGGAAGTGAGGCAGCCGCCTCTCAGAGCTCTGAATTCCCCGGGCATCTGTCCTGGCCCAGCCTGGGGTGTCCAGGCCACTGGTCTCTCTGGTCTCAGAGTGCTCAGGAGGACTTCCCAGCATGGCCTCAAGTGTCCCATCTCCAGACAAGCCTCTCCATGGCCAGCCCTGCTCCCATCACCCTCTGGGATGTCGCCTGGTTGGGTTCAGGAGCCTTGAGGGTCCTGTGAAGCCAGCCTGGTCACATTGAGGGCATTAGCCAGGGCCATCCACTTTGGGGAGAAGTACCCGGGCAGGTGGCTTCTGCCCCCAATTGGTAGGGAGGGAGAGAGGCAAGGAGCAGCTGGGAGCATTGGCAGAGTGGGTGGTGGGGGAGACCACGTCCTTCATGTCATCCAGGGCCACCCCTGCAGAGCCCAGTGGCCCTGAGCATCCAATCTGGTAGGCGAGGGGCATTTAGGGTAACTGAGCTGCTGCCGGGGCCTGGCGCTCCTCTACCTTGTCAGGTGACCCAGCAGTCCCTCCCCCTGCATGGTGCCCAGTGCTATTTGAGGGTCTGAGCCAGCCAATGGGTTGAGAGTACCCCCGCTCCCCACCCAGCGTGCCAGCTAGTAGAATCCTGGGCGGGCCCAAGGGAAATGAGGCAGTGGTACCTTGGGGTCCTCACACTGAGCGATGCCATGCCCTAAGCCCCAGAGGACATGGTCCCCGATGCTGCCATCTTTCTGATGGGGCCCACCTGGGCACTAACCAGCCAACCCCAGTCGGTGGCCAACGCAGCTTCCACGGGCCCCTGCACACTTCTAAGGTCCAGACATTCGGGGTGCCAGACTCCCCCAGCTTCAGAACAGCTCGGTGGTCAAAAGGCAGCCTGGAGTTGCAGCCTCAGTGAATTCCAACGTACCCCCACAGCTTTCCCAAGCCCACCTTGCGCCATTGTGTCTAGAGCCGCTCCAAGGCCCTCTGGCCGCTTAGACCCCATGGTGCATTTCCATGACTGGAGTGGCATCCGTGTCTGTGGGAACAGCTGCAGGCATGTCGGAATTGCATGCCGAGAGCTGTGTAATCGAGATTTGGTGACATTAGTTTCTTGTAGGTGGGAATGTGGAGGGAAAGGGAATAGGACCTGGCTGGATATTCAGCTCTTGGGAGTAACTCAACACGCTCCCTAATCCTGGGTGTCCCATGAGGTCACTTTTCAGCGGTCACGTGACAGCTCGATGTTGCATTTTCACATCTGTGGCCGTGACCCTGCCGTGAACTCACAGTCGCCTCCTGAAGCCTGGGCCGTGCATCGGCTACACACGGCCAAGCTCGCAGCTTGAATTTTTCATGGGACCACACTCAACACAGGCACCCGGTTTCCATCGAGGATTTCATTTCTCCCCCCTCTCTTTCCATCATCCTCGTGCTGCTCCTTGCCACCTGCTGCCCGGGGAGTGTCAGAAATGCCAGGCTGCAGGCAGACCTGAAGCTTGCTGGAAGCTTCTTCAAGATGCCCTGCCACAAACATCAGAGGACATTAGAGAGGAGGCCATGTCAGGACTGAGGATGCGGTGATTCGATCAGTGATGAGCTCTCTCCCCAAATTAAATTATTCATCATTTCCTGGTCCTTAATAAAATAATTACTGCCTTCGCTCTTTCCCTCTGCCGTCACAGGACTTGCTTCCATCTCTGAACGTGAAAGATGCTGTGGGGGCGTCTGCAGCCCCTGGAGCTGGAGCCCCCGCCCTCCTTCCCCTCTGCCTTTATCTTCCTCCCCCAAAGTCCCGCCTCACCAGCAGGGGGATGGCCGAGCTTCCAGCTTGACCTCTGGGCTGTCAGCCTGGCCGCGCCAAGGCCGCCTCTGCATGGTGGCTGCACACTGCGTGTGATCAGTGGGGAAACCTGTAGCACCCCCGCGAGCAACATGTGTACATGGACTCACGCCGCACTGTGCTGGGATTTTCATGCACGTGACAAAATCACATCCCACACAGAAAATTTCCAAGGACATAATGAGAAATGAAGTGGCACTGTAGCATGTTTGCATGATCCGAGGAGCGTAGCAGCAGCCTCGCTGCTGGGGTGACAGAGAAAACCCAGCGAGGAGCTCTCTCCCCGGCCCTTCCACGGTCTGCAGCCATCCTCAGGATATAGCCCAGAGGCTTGGACAGGGCGTTCTGGGTGCCTCACCTCTGACCCCTTCTTAGCTCCCCAACCCCTGCTGCCCAAAATATGGCCTGGGAACCCACACATCAAGCCCCACCCCACATCTGCCCACCTGTCATCTGCATATTAACAAGACCCCTGGAGCTTCCAGGCACACCTGGGAGGTGCTGTCCCGCAGGCTTCAGTGCCTCTGCTGTCCTGCAGGCTTCAGTGCCTCTGCTGTCCCACGGCAGCTGGACACAGCTGGCATCTGAAAGGCACCGCATCAGGCTCACCTGTCTCTGTGCCCAAAGTTCTAAGGAATTATTGGAACTGTCAAGAGAAGCCACAGTGCAAGTGAGTGTAAGGGAGAGGATGCCCAGAGAGCCACCCAGAGTGCCTTGGAGCCCGGCCTGTGTGCTTCGCTCTTCCCTGGGCTCCGAGGTGGGGAGACGAGCTGACATTTGTTAAGGCTGTGCTGGGCGCCAGCTCTCCTGCCCGGTGCTTCACGCAGGGACAGGTGGATGGGGAGACTTTGGAGTCAGCCTGGGACTTTAATCCCAAATGTCTCACCTGTGAGCGGGAGATGTGAGCAAATCACGTACCTTCATGAGCCTCAGCTTGTTCATCTATGTAATGGGGCAAAGGGCAGCACGAAGGATCTAAAGACGGGCTTCGGGAGGCTGGGAGTGGGACTAAGAACTTTGGCCTTTGTTTTATGCTTTTTATAAGCCTATCAGTAGGCCAGGGGTCCCTGATGTGCAGAAGCCCAGATAAAAGCAGGCAGTGCCCTCAGTGTACTCCAGAGACGTTGGCTCTAAAGCCTGGATTCCTCCCCTCCTGGTGCACCTGGAGGCGACTCACAGTCCAAGCATGCGTGGCACTGTCATCTGTTTCCAGAGTGCCCTCTGCTGTCAGAGTGACCTTTTCCAGGGATGGAGCCTCTTGTTCATCCTGGCGACCTCAGTCCCTGGCTCTGGGTCTGGCACGCAGGAGGAGCTAAGTGAATAAAGGAGGCCAGCTGGGCCCCAGCCCCTGTGCACGGAAGAAGCCGGTGCACACTTGCAGAGTGAATGAATAACAACAGCATGTTGTGAGCACTCACTATCTGCTGTCACGGTGCACTCGCCAGAGGGAGCGCTCACAACATGCTATTATCATTTCCCAGTGAGTTCCAAAAAACAAATAAAGAAATGAGCCACTCTTGCCAATTCCCCATCCCGTGTGCCAGGCTTGCCAATATGGGGACTGAGGAGTGCCTGTTTGAGATCACTAGCCACCACACCTCCCTGGTCTCTGCCACCGTATCTCAGCTCCCAGTGTGACAACAGCCCCACAAAGGCCCCTCCAGTTCAGTGTTCTTGTTATCATCCTCATTGTACAGGTGAGGAAACTGAGTCACTGTCTAGAGCCTAGGGATAAAGGGGCAGTGGGCCAGGGAGCCTGGCCCCGAAGCCTGGTGCTGACCACTCTGTTGAGAAGCCTCCTGAATGAATGACTACGGGATTAAGAGGGGGCACTGCTGGATTTGGTCCATGTTATAGGATTTGCTGCACAGCCCGTTACTCAGAAAATGGGGCTGTGGTATCAGACCCGGCTTTGAAACTGGACATAGTCCAGCTGTGTGACCTTGGGGATAGGAAGGGAATGGTTATTTGACTTCCCTGAAGCTTCACTCACATATTCTGAAAAGGGGATTTAAAAAGGAGACTCCAGCGCATAGTAGGTACTTAGTAAATGTTTCCTTCCCAGAGTGGAGGTGTGAGTTTTATTTGTTGAAAATCCCTGGGGGTGGGGGCGCAGAAGCTCTCGACTCCAGGGCCTCCAGGAACAGACCCCCATCCTTGGAAAAGGCCTTATCCTTCTCCACGTCTCTGTTAAAACAATCAACGCTGGAGGCTGGCAAAGCAATTTGTTGCTTAACTTTAGTGGAAAAATAAGATCAGTGATTTGTGCTTGCTGAATTTGGAAATAGTAGGGAGGAAAGTTGGGCGGGCTTGGGGAGACGGTGGTGCCACTCTCCTGCACCGCTCTGGAGCACCGCGCCGTGCATACTAACGGCCCTGATTAGTGTTTCAGCAGGAGCCCTGCGCCGCCTACATACTGATGCGTGCCGGACTGGTGTGGAATTGGTTTCCCAGCTGTCACACTGGGAACCAAGATACAGTAGCAGAGACTGGGGAGGTGCGGAGGCTGGTGATTTCAAACAGGCACCCCTGAGTCCCCACACTGATGAGTCTGGGACGTTGGATCGAGAATTGGCACGAGTGGCTCCTCTCCTTTTTTGGTTTTTGGAACTGACTGTGAACCCAAGTATTCATTAACTCATTCAGTCAGGAAGCGTGTGTTGAGCTTCTACACTGGGCTGGCAGTGAGCTAAGAGCTGGATGCCGCAGTGGACTGAACACACCTGGTCAGCCTGGAACTTTCCACTGTAGAGGAACAAAATGGGCCAGGCAGCTTCACCATCAGGCGATGTCACAGTGCTGGGATTCAACCTGCAGAACCCACCCAACTACCCATGAGTGAGCCCCTAACTCTAGCTGGAGAAGCCAGTAGAAGTCTCCATGGAGGTGGAACAGGTGGGCTCTTTTGTGATGGACATTGAGGGATGAATAGAAGTTCACCAGGGGGAAAAAGAATGCACTCTAGGAGAGGCTGCCCGAGCTCTGGATGCCCTGAGGGAGGGGCTGTGGTCTATTCAGGGAAAAGGGAGCCGCAGCCTGTGGAGGGCTGGTGGGAGCGGTGGTTGGCAGATGCAGGGCCTGGAATGCCACACTAACTAGCTTGGACTGAGCCCCGAGGGGAAGTGTGCTGCAGAGGGATTTGCAGCAGAGAAGGGCTATGTGGTTAGGTTTGTAGTCTAGAACGGTGTGTGTTGCATCAAGAATGGATTATTTTAGGGTGAGAGTTTGTACCCATTCAAAGGTAGGACTAGGGGCTGCTGTACTTTTGGGGATCCCAAAAAATGGTGTACTCTGACCATTTCCATTGGGATCAATGACAAATAAAAAACAGAAAGCTCACCTTGAATTTCCTCCATAGTCCAGACTTTCTGAACTTCCGGCACTATGGAATGTACTTGTTTGTGCTGGGCATCGGGATAGTGCCTAGCACAGAGGAGGGGCCTGAGAAATGCAGATGGGGAATGGGAGAGGTGGGTGATGCTGCCTTCCTTCTAAAAGCCGGCGCCTCCGGCCATGGGTCCCGGCAGCACAGCCCGGCCTCCACGGCGGCTCCTCGCTGCAGCCTGAGGCCACGTGGTGTCCTGACCTTTGCCCTAAGTGCTGGGGGTTCTGCCCAGGTTATGTCACCTCTCTAGAAAATGAGGATGACAAAGCACCCCCCTTGCAGGGTTTTTGTGGTGAAGTGAGGACAGTATTAGCTTCTCATGGGTGAATGACACCCGGGGCCGCTGGGCGAAAGAAGGCCCAGGATGCTCTGCTGGGGCCAGGGGATGGGCGCGGACCAGGCAGCCCCGAGCAGGAGGCCTCTGCTCCATGGCAACATTCTCCTGCATTTAGCCCTCAGGAGCTGCCAGGGCATGAATATTTAATCTCAGCGGTTGCCATTTGTCTTTGCACTGTTAATACTGCTTTTCCTTTTTAATTTAGCAGAAGGGCACACATCTTGCGAGTTTCTTTATATGTAAAATATGTGGTATTCGGGCTTTATCCAAGCTGCTGTGGGAGCTGGCTGGGAGGGGAGGGTGAGTGGGCTTTTCCCGGTGGCTGGAGGTGACAGGCTTCCCTGTGCAAGGCGCCAGGGTGGGCACAGGCACTGTGAGGAGCCAGGAGCTGGAGCCATCTCCTTTCTGCTGTTTTTGGTGTTTATAGTAATGTGTGTCCCCCTCTCCAGGGGCTTGTGCTGGAGATATGTGTGCACTTTTCTTTTAAGTTCGTTTTTTCTCCTTTATAAAGATACGTAGACATTCTAGAACATGTAGAAAATATTGAAAAGAAAATTCATACATGGTCCTACTCACCAAGGACAATAAGGCTTCCCCGCTTCTAATAGTTACACATGTACAAGAGGTTGATATGTAATCTCCATCAAGATGGTGAATAGAACGCAAGCCCAGACAAAGGCATGGCTTATTAGCCGCTGCTGTTTTTTAGTGGGGGGCTAAGTGTTTACAGGAGTAAACCATGATGACCCTGGGAGGTGGGTTCTCTCATCATTCCCGTTTTGCAGATGAGGAAACAGAGGTGCAGACAGGCCAAGGATCCATGCAAGGCAGAAGGCCTGGGGCAGGGGCAGGGCCAGGGTGGGAACCCAGGGCTCCAGGTTGATAGAAATTTTTTATTAATTGCCCCAAATCTCACAGCTCGAAGACTATTGCTATCCACATCATGGGTATTCATTTATCCAGATTTTTTCCACACAAAGGGATATGAATGTGCAAGCATTCTCTGAGTGGTTTCTGCTGGAACAAACGTCCCCAAACCAAAAGGTGTTTCCTGGTCTTGTCTCAGTCTGATGAGAACTTCAGGGCAGGTGGGGGTGAGAGTACATCTGGTTCACGCCCCTGCAGTCAATCAGGGGCCCAGGCTCCTGCCTCCTTGTGGCTCTGCCCTCCTCCAGATCTAGGAGACAAGGAGAGGCTGGCGGGATTCCACGGGGGAGGGTGTTATGGGCTGGTCCACCATGGCACCCAGGACTCTGCCCACATTCCGCTGGCCAGAGCTCAGTCACGTGGCCACGCCCCACTCAGAGGAGGCTGGGAAATGTGGTCTTGGTATGGGGGCAGGGGGTGCATGGAGAGAAGCAGTTTAATGAGCCAGTTCTGGAGACTGTGTCATCTCTAACACAGGCACACACTCACCTGGCCTCACGTCCATACCCCATTCTCCCTCTGGCTGCAGTGGAAACCCATGGAAAGGGGCAGCCTGGAAACACGGGGTCCTGTAGGAGGTGGGCACCTTGGCCCAGGCAGTAGCTGGTGAGGACTGAGCCCGGGGAGCAGGGAATACAGGTGGGAGGCAGAACCAGTGGGTGGCCCACTACATACAGGGTGTGGAAGACGGCAAATCCAGGCAGACTCCCAGCTTTCTGGCTGGGCGATTCCCTAAGTGGTTCCAGAATCGGCCCAGGGGTGCTGGGAGGCATAGGCACTTGGGAGGTCCTGGAACCTGGTTGGACGCTGTCACTTGACCTCTATTTGCCATGTGCTTGGACAGGGCTGGGATGGAAATGGACCTAAATGCCAGGGGAGGCACCCTGCTGCCTTTCTCTTTGGAGATGGGTGGGGCTTGTATGTATGCAGGTGGCTCAGTGGCTCTGTGGCTCTTTGGCTTGGAGCACACAGCCCACACAGAGGCAGAGTGTTTGGAGGGAAGACACTGAAGCATTGTGTGGTTTTGTCTCAGCATCTAAAACTCCCACCACGGTCCAGCCTGGCGTCCCCCCAGGCGTTTGGCAGCTGCAGTTTTCCTGGCCAGAGCATGCCACAAGTGGTCCCCTGGATGTCCAGGAGGCAGCAAGGCCTGTGTGCTGCTGTTGGAAGCTGCCAGACATGGGCGAATGACGTGTCATCCACAGCCCCCACGCTGCTGCCTTTGTCCGTATCCACTGTGGCCAGGACAGCAGCAGAGAGTGGAAGGGTCCCTAGGGCTCCCACTCAGATCTGCTGTCCTTTCTTCTTGGGGCCCTGGGATGAGGAGCTCACCCTGGGGCCTTCGGTTGGCCTCTGGGTTGGGTGATCAAGGAGGTGGCGACTGCCAGGTCACCTTGTCCTCACAGCTCTCATCATCACTCTGGCCTCCGAGTCAAGTGACATCTCATTCATAAGGTGACAGAAGTCAGAGGGCAGCTGGGCTGGAGCCACCCAGCTCCTGAGTGTGGGCCTGGGCAGTCTATGCCACTTGGAGGCTGCCTGCTGCTCACAGCTCAGCGGGGCCTGCACTAAGCTTCAGAGGCCTCCTGAATCTTGAAGGAGCCAGGGCTCCGGCTCCCTCAGCCCTAGGCTCCAGTCCCAGCTCTGGCCTCTGGGGGAGATGCCACCCAGCTCTTGGTCTCAGCGGCCACTGCCACAAAATGAGGGGCTGCATTCCAAAGTACTCTTTAGCCCTGGCTGCTGTGGCTCCCGGAGCCGGTCCCCGCACAAGGGTTCCTCTGCAGCTTTCCTGGGTGCTTTTCTACATCTCAGGAATTTGTTCTGCTGGTGTGTCCCTGGGAGGCTCAAGCCCCTTGGCCTCTTTATCACAGGAGATAGCTGCCAGGTTGGGTTTGAGTGGGCTCCTGCCCAAGGGGCTGGCTCTGTCCTCCTGGCTTCAGAAGCAAGATCTGTACCTTTCTGCCCCATGGAGCCACACCGAGGTATGAGGATGGCAGCGGGTTCTCCCTCAGTGCCCCCAGCTCCCGCATCTGTTTCCATCTCAACTGTCCCCTGCAAGGCACAGTTGTTCTCTGCCCCTACATCACTCTGCCACCCTCTTCTGAGCAGGCTCTGGTTCTCCTTGTTCCCCCTAAGTACTGATTACAAGGCTTCTGTGTGAATAGCCCCAGGTCTAAGTGGGACTCCACCGTCCTCCTTCCAGGTATGGAGCTACCACTATTAACATCGTCATGGGTCGCAACCTTGTTGATGGTGACTGAGTCCTGCAGCACCCGAAGCCTCGTATGCATGGCTGTCACTCAGCTGCTCCCATCCCCCTCACGCTATGTCTCCATCCTCGCAGTACTCATGGGATCAGCCCAGGGCCTGGAACATGGCAGTTGCCTGGGACTATCTATTTGAGAAGAATACACTGAAAAAAGATGTGTGCATAGCGTCGAGGATGGGGGTTACTTTCCTTCTGTGTAACAGCCAAGAAGCCTCATGGTTCTGGGTGCAGTGGGGGCACTTGGAAAGGTTTGTTGAATGCATCAACGCGTAGAGTGAATGAATAAGCGTTCTTGTGCTTTCACAGTGCAACAGCAAGGCCTGGCATGGCGCTTCACCCAGCTTCATCTTGATCACTTGAAAGGCACTCTCTAGTCCCAGCTGCTTATTTTGGATCCTAACCATCTCTTCCATCTGTTGACAGATTCTTATTGTCAGCATTGTTTGGGGGAGATTAGGTTTTTGAAAGGTGAGGATGCTCTCTGACATTCGGGGGTTTGGGTCTGGACGTTGCATTTGATCTTCCCCTTCCTATCCAAAACGCCGTATCTGTTGTCAGGCAGCTCTGTGTTTCTCTCCCTGCTCCACATCTGGTGGCCGTGTGACCTTGGACAAGTCACTTAACCTCTCTGAACTGCAATGTGCTCATTTGTAAAATAGGAAAAATGAACAGCACTACTCTGAAGAGTTGTTGTGAGGGTAGAAATGAGGAACACTCCTAAAGTGCTTCACACAGAGCCTGACAAGGAGTTAAGACATGATGGTGATTATAGTGAGGCTGGCTGTGATGGTGGTGGTGGTGATGGTGCTGATAGTGGTCATGGTGGTGATGATGATGATGGTGGTGATGGTCCTGGTGATGGTGGTGATGTCGATGATGGTGGTGGTGGTGATGATGCTGTTGATGGCGGTGGTGATAGTGATGATGGTGATGGAGGTGATGGTAATGGTGGTGTTGGTGATGATGATGATGATGATGATGACAATGATGTACCTCATAGCAAGGGACTGGAAAATAGAACGCAGAGACAGTGCTCACAAAAGTTCTTTCTCCCCGAAATTCAGTGCTTTGGGAATGCATTGGTTGCTTCTGTGCAAACCCTAATCCTAAGCTGTGGTTGGAATGTGCGGTTCATGTATCTTCCCTCAGGCTCCCTGGCAGGTTAAGAGCAGGAGGTGATGTATCAGAACCTCCAAAAGGAGCCCTGTTTATCCAGGCAGAGCCTGCTCTCAAAATGCCTGCCTGAGTCTGTAGCTTCCTTCCAGCCCCACTGAGGCTTCCAAGTCTCTTGCCAACAGATCCCCAGTCCTAGCTGCACATGAGTCTCCTGGGCAGGCCTACAGATTATGAAGCCTGGACCCTGCCTCCAGAGATTCTGATTAAATTGGATTGGAGTGGAGCTCCTGTGTCTGCTTAAAAAGCTCCCCAGGTGATTCCAATCTGCAGCCAAGGCTGAGAACCCCTGCAAAGAATTTCTTTCCTTCTCATTGCAGGGCTGTTTAAAAACAATCACTGCCTGGCATCTCATGGGGAGGCGAACAGGCTTCTGAGATCAGTGGCACAGAGAGTGGGCTCCTCAGTTTGTCATCAGAGACAGGAAGACAATTGTTATCAAACAATGGGTCTTCATGCTCAGCACTCTTAAAAAGAAAGAAGAGTGGAGGCCAGAGGCCACAAAGATGTACTGAAGTCACAGGGCCAGCAGGTCCAGTGTGTCCTCCAGGGAAGTTCATGGCCAAGGGAAAACGCTCCTCCCTCTTGAGCATTTTCTAATAAATGAGGAAAGGGGGCCCAGATTGTTTCATTGAACTGTCCAGGGTCAAACAGTGAGTTAATATATCTATCCAGTCATCCATCCATCCTCCCATCCTCCCATCCCTCCCATCCATCCTCTCATCCTCCCATCCCTCGGTCCATCCACCCATCCATCCTCCCATCCTCCCATCCTCCCATCCTGCCATCCTCCCGTCCTCCCTTCCATCCATCTACATATTCTCCCACCTTCCCATCCACCCACACATCCATCCTCTCACTTATCGATCCATCCATCCATCCTTCCATCCATCCATCTATCCTTCCATCCATCCATCCAGCCATCCAGCCATCCTCCCATTATTTCACTCATCCATTCATCCAGGTGGGATAGGGATGGACAGCTGCATGGGTTCTTCATGGAGGCTTTAACTGCCAGGCAAGAGGTTGGCTCTGCCTTGTGGCCAAGGAGACCCATGTGAGCTATTCTAGGAAGGAGAACCCGGTAGCTGCTGTGATGGTCTGGGCGATGCTTGGAGAGACACAGGTGATGGTCTGGGCGAGGATTGGAGAGACACAGGTGATGATCTGGGCGATGATTGGAGAGACAGGGCTCGGAGGAAAAACAGTGGAAGAACAGTCAGGACTGAGCTTGGGGACAGACAAAGCCCTGGCCCCAGCCCCAGCCTGCATGGAGCCCACAAGGCAGTGGGAGGCAGGCCTGTGACGCTCTGACCACCCCACTGCTTCACCTGCATGAGCTCATTGCTGCATCCTCACCTAAAGCAGTGCCCAGGACCTGGAGGGTTCTCTGCAAACATCTCACGCTTGCAGGGAGGTGATGTCAGAGTGATGAGGAGGAGGCAGATGAGAGTGGGTGGGAGTAGTGACAAGAAGGTGCCATGTCAGACAGAGTAGTCATGGGGTCTCTACCAGGAGCAACAGTCTGAGCTGAGACCCAAATGAGGGGGCTGCCTGCGAAAACCCAAGGGAGGAGATTTCTAGGTGGAGGGAACAGCTAGGGAAAGGCAAGGGCATCTTTTTCTCACCCCAGGACAGGGTTCCTGCAGGGACAGATGCGTTGGGAACAGGTCAGCGTTGCACCCGCCCGCTATCGGGGCCAGCATCCTGCATCCTTCCCCGCCGGCCCCGCTTCCCCGCTCCGCTCAGCTCCTGCCTCGCGCAATGCCATCTTCAGATTTCACGGAACACATTTCTGCTCTCAAAGGGCAATGTTGTGGCCTTCTCCCCTCATGAGGAGACAGTGGCTCTGTGGTCCCCTGTGATTATCTTTTCAATTAAATCCTCAGACGCGGCCAGGTCTCCATTTATAAATTCATAAGAAAAGCCTACAGACCTGCGGTGGCTGTCCAGGCCCTAATTTGCTCTAAATGGCAATTTTAAATGATACAGTGCAGGCTGGACAGCTGGGCCACGTCCCCTTCGTTCCAGGGAAGAGGGAGCAGAACGAAGATCAGCAGTGGCCCTCCAGCGGGGCTCGCCGCCCCTACCCCGTTCTCGGTTCCTGGACTCATCAGAGCAAACTGTCCGGGACACAGGGAGAGGGTGGAACCAGGTGCGTCCCTTGTACCCAGAGCCCAGGTTCCGAGTGAAGGCCTGTTCCGGGAGTAGGCAGGTGTGGAAGAGGGACCCTCGGTGCTGCTGGCCCTGGCTGGGGATCAGGCCCCTGTCTCTGGGCCTGGAAGCCCACCTGCTTTGGAGGTGATGTCTGCGGAATGCAACCTTCAGGACGCCCAGGCGGAGTCACCCACAGTGGGGCAGCCCCTGCACAGGCTTTGCTGGAGTCTCCACTGCACTGGCCTAGGTCCAAGCAGTCATAGCACTGCCCCCAGCTGCCCTTCTAAGCCCTGTAGCCTAGTGGATTAGAACCTGGCCTCCCTCTGGAGAAAGGCCCAGGACCCGATTCAGCGGCATCATTCCCTAGTGCTTCGACCCTGACCTCTCTGAGATGGGGTCTATGCCTCGGGGATGAGTGCTCCCTGCACTGGGGGGCTGTGACCACCAGCCTGTGGCCCAGGACACTCAGGAGTGCTCTGTGCTGTTAGCTCGTGTCCCTGGCACTGCCCTGGGCAGGCTGCTGCAGGCACAGAGGGGCCTCAGACCCAAAGAGCAGAAGGGACAGACAGGTCCATGGATGCATCGGGATGGAGGGAAGGGCCTGGGGCTGGCTGCACAGGGGCACTTTCCCCACCTGCTGGGTTGGGGATGATTCAGGGCAGGCTTCTAGGAGGAGGCAACAGCTGAGCGGGAGTTTACTGAGTGGGAAAGGGCAGAGGAGCAGGGGTCCAGGCAAAGTGGACGGCATGTTCCCCGCCTCAGGGGGATGAGGGGATGGCGTGGAGTGTCCACAGAGCCTGCAGCTGGTCAGGGACAGGCACTACAGGCCTAGTGGGTTGTGGCAAGCGGGGGACAAGATCACAAAGGACTGTGGCTTTGACGCCTGAATGCACAGCTGCTGCCCTCCGGGAGGGCCCTGGGCAGGAGTGGACAAAGACCCTCTCCCTCCTGCCCCCTGCCGAATGTTTCTTTCACACACGCCGCGCTTCTGGGAAGGACACGGGAGGGCAGACTAAAGCCGGAAGAAGTGGGAGGCGGCAAGGGGATCTGGTCACATCCCGCTGGCCCCATCCCATTAAGACGAGGCTCCGCTGAGACTGGTCCCCGCTGGAGGGGCCTCATTATGTTTGTAATTGACTCCCCGCTGTGAGGCTCCCACTCTAGAACCTGGTTTGATTGGGGCGAGGGCGGAATTAACAGAACAAAACTGCCTTCGCTCAGATGGTGAAGAAGAAATCACAGCCTGAGTGGATGGGGCCAAAGTGTTCATCATAAAAAAAAAAACAAAATAGCCCTGGAGACCGTTACTGTCAATACTACATCTTATTTCATTGATTCCTTTAACAAAAATGGTATGGAGCCCCTGGCCTGTGGGGTTTTGCATGCTAGACACGGTAGAGTTTGCTCAGGATATCGGCCGACCTTCCTTGTGGCCATTGATTATTAATATTTGTAATGTTAAAGCATCAAAAGAGGGAATATTCTTAGGAAGACAAATGCTAATGACCAAACATCAGAAACTGCTTCCAGAACAAACATCCCATCAATAAAACATCCACAAATATGTGTTTGCCAAGTTGAATGTAAGGGCTCGGGCTGCAGCCGGGAGCCTGCGGGGTGGGTCTGCCCATGCGGGAGGGGCTGAGAGGAGAGGAGAGGGAGATGGCGTGTTCCCAGGGAGCCCTCAGCCCAGGGGCAATTGGGTGCCTACAGGGACCCTGGTAATGTGGGATTGGGTATACGGATGCCCATCAGGACAGCTGACCTCCTCGCAGGGAGCGGCTCCAGAAGAGGGGCTTCACCCTGCGGTTGGGAAGGGCTGAGGGGCGTGCACTCCAGGCAGAGGCAGCAGGAGATGCAGACATTCAGAGGCAGGATGCCCATGGAACCTTCTAGCAGCTTGGCAGGTGGAAGCCTAAGAATCCTGGTGTGGGGGTGAGACTGGAAACCCAAGACAGAATCGGGTCACAAAGGGCCCCGAATGCCAAGCATAGGCGTGTCCGTCACCCTGGAGGCAGTGATGATGGCTGGGCGGTAGCAGGACTAGAAGGGCCTTTTGGGAGGAACTGCTCCTGGCTGGGAGGCTGTGACTTGGCAATGGGGAGGTGGGAGGGTGGGCGCGGTCCTGGCATGGGGTCACCAGGGACCCGGAGGCTGGTGCAGTCACTGCTAGGCAGGATTGAAGAGGCCTGGCTCTGGCGGGGTCTGGGGGGAGAGGGGTTCCCCATGCCCACTTCACCTCCTTCCAGTGCATTCTGCACACAGCAGCCAGAGGGTGTTTCAAAAGTAGCTCATTGGTGATGTCGTTACCCAGCTTTAAAAACTTCATCCGGTGTCCTCTGCTGCACCCATCTGAAGCTCCTAATGAAGCTCTGTGCCTTGGCATGTGCTGAGATGCCCCATGTCTGCTCCCTGGTCGGTTGATGGCCTCCCCCTCAGAGCTGGGGACTCTGTGGTTGTCTTTGCTCACCCCCGTGTCTCCAGGGCCTCCCAGAGCCTGGCACCTGCTCAGCGCTCAGTAGATGGGTGTTGGATGAATGAATGAGTGGATGGATGAATTAATGAATGAATGTGGGAAGGGCCAGATTTGAAAATGGGTTGGAGGCAACATCTCCAGAAACAGCAGGCTGGGCAGTGAGGTCAGCGGGCAGAGCCCCCTCTGCGGTTGGCTCTGCCTGAGTGGCTCCTGTCCCCTCTCCAGCCTCTCTTTATGGCCTGATGGGCTGACAGGCATCCCTCCCTTCAATGTCAGGGAGCTCTTATGCAAATGTCAAAACCCCACTCTTCAGATATTGGACACGTCTTTACCAGGTGAAGACTCTGGGCCAGCCCTAGGGCTGATGTCCGCAGCACGGTCCCTGGCTGCAGGAGGGCATGGGCCAGCAGGGGGCTCGGAGCAAGTGTCACAGAGTCCCCAGCTCTGTGAATTCTGCATGGGGTGCTGGGTGGGCCCAGTTCGGAAGCCCAGTCCACAGTGTCACCAAGAAGGTAGCTGGGAACAGAGTCAGCAGATGAGGGGGAGTGTGGACAAACACCCTGGGGAGCCTCGTGGAGCGAGACTGGGGTCTGGAAGTTCCAGAAGTCTCTGTCTTTGCTTCCTGGGGCTGCTATAATAAACGACTGCCAGCTGGGAGCTTAAAGCAACAGACATTTATCCTCTACAGCTCTGGGAGCCCGAAGCCCGGAACCAGGGGGTCTGCAGGGCCAGGCTCCCTCTATGGGCTCCTGGGGAGTTCCCTTCTGGCTGTCCCACCTCCTGGTGGCCCTGGCAGTCTGTGGCTTACAGACTCCTCCCCCAGTCACTGTCTCCATCTTCACATGACTGTCCCTGCTGTGTGTGTCTTTGTCCACATGACTTTCTTATAAGGACACCCAGCCTTGGACTTAGGGCCCACTCTGGCCTCCTCTTAACTTGGTTCCATCTGCAAAGACCCTGTTTCCATTTGCCAATGCCAGGGGTAAGGCCTTAAACATACCTTTTAGGGGCACCCGATTCCACCAAAAACATTCCTTTGAGAAGTGGATCCTTATGGCTGGAGGTTGGGGGCATAGGGTGCCGCCGTGCCTGGGACTTGGCAGGTGGAAAGTCCCAGGCAGGAAGGAAGGACCTGGAAGACAGGCCAAGGAGTGGCAACAGTGGGGACTATGGAGAGCTGGTCATGGTGGGAAGACAAGGGCAGATCAGTGTGTGGAACACCTGCCACAAGGGTGAGGGGGCGAGCAAGGAGGAAGTCCAAGTGTGAGGAGGCCCGGATGCCTCTGAGGTCCATCCTGCATGTGGTAGGCTCGGCCGGCCCCCCGAGGGCCTGAGAAACCTCCCTGTGCAGCAGCCACAGGAGTGTCCCAGCCTGGGAGCAGAGCAAGCAGGAGGCTGAGACAGAGCATGGCCAGCCCAGCTGCCCCCCTCCTGCCACTTGTCTCCCAGGGAACCCAGGATCCTGGAGCCCCTTCCCTGTGGCTGCAGACATGAAGAATACATCTGAAGAGGAATCAGAACTCGTGACTGTGTGTGCACCTGTACATGTGCATACATGCACTCATGCATGTTCATGTTCACACACAACACACATACACACACATGCACATATACATGACCCCTGCTCCCCGCTCTTACTGTGGTGCTGTGGTCTGGGGCCTGGCCCAGGCCTTTGGAAGACTGCATGTCCAGTGACAGACTCAAAGTCAGAGAATGCACTCAGGCCAGGCCTCCATCATCTGAAGATACCACTCTGAAGGACACTGGGTTCTTGGATCTGGTGCCACTGTCGTCCATGTTCTTGTCCCTTCGGCTGTGACGAAGGACTCCAGTCTCCTTGGCTGGGGCTGGGGGCTTCCCTCGGCTGCCTAGGAGAGTGAGTGGGCACTGTGGGCCCAAGCGGAAGGAAGACAGGCAGGGGCTGAAGGCTCTCGCTGGCCTATACCCAGGCGCTTCTCTCTCCTGAGAGCCACAGGCTGGTGGGCTCAGCCATGTGCCAGCCCGTGTGCTCCAGGAAAACAGAATCATAGGACATGGATGGTTAGGAAGGATAGCCAGGAAGCTAGAGGACAGGTACTCAAGGAGAGATACAGATGGAGGGAAGTCGATAGACAGATATACACATAGACACAGATTGATACATTTAAGAACTTGGCTCATGCAATTGTTGGGGTTTATAAGTCAGGAACCTGTAGGTCAGGCCTGCAGGCTGGTAACTGAGGCAGGAGTGGGTGCAGCCCACGTCTGACTGGGGCTGGCTGGGCAGAGTTTCTTCTTCTCTGGGATGTGTCGGTGTTTGCTCTCAATGCCTTCAATGGATTGGATAAGGCCTCATGTTATTTTGGGTGGTCTCCTTTACCAAAGTCCTCCATAGCAGCGCCTGGATGACTGCTTGATTGGATCACTGGGAACCATAGCCTAGACAGGTTGACACATAAAACCTGTCACCTTTCTCTGCCAATAAAGGTGACACAGACCTTTTCCTGATGAAAAGCCAAGTAGAAAATGCCCCCAAGAGGAACAGCACTGGGCCAGCAGTCCCCAAGTCAGCAGGGCGGCCATGCCTCCTGCTAGGAGTCCCTCTCCAATCATGAACCCTCTCTTGCCACACCTCTCTAAGCAGGGACATGGCCCAGCACCTGCTCCACGCTCTCCCTCTGCTTCCATTTTCTCCACGACTCTGGTCATCATTTGACATCCTATCCCACCAGCATTGCCTACTGTCTGTGTCTCTTACTAGAAGGGGCAGGTCTTCCTTAGACAGCCAGGTTCAAATCTCCAACTCAGTGCTATGTGGTCTAAGAAACTCACACCTGCTGAGCTCCCTTGCTGTCCAGGCAAATTCCCCAAGGCGCTCTGAACTTATTGACCTCCTTTATGTCACCCCCAGGGCCCCAGCTGCAGACACGGCCAGGTTCTGACTCCTCCCACTCAAGGCCTTGCAGCTGTCAGTGACCTCAGTGGAGGAGAAACAGCCCACAGGGTTCCACCTGGGCCGTGGGGAGGGGGCTCTGTGGGGCTGAGTCCGTGGCAGGGCAGTGCTGTGGACAGGTCTCTAGATAAGACGTGGCCTCCGGCACCAAGGCAGGTCCAAATCTTGGGAATAGCCTGAGTCATTCAGAGTCATCCTTCTGGCTATGGGGACAGCTTCTAGGACAGACTCATGGATAACAGTGGGGTCTGACTGAGGATGACCATGGCTGACTGGGGCTGTCCAGGACTGACCACAGCTGACTGGGGCTGACCGTGGCTGACCGTGGCTGATTGGGGCTGACATGGCTGACTGGGGCTGACCGTGGCTGATCGGGGCTGACCATGGCTGACTGGGGCTGACCAAGGGCAAGGGCCTCCTGAGGAGAACAGAGCGGCCCAGTGAGCTGGCTCCCATTCCAGATCCAGTGCTCTTCAAGCCTGCACATGCTCAAAGTTGGATTGGCTAAGAGCTCTGCAAAGCCGGGGTCTGAGGCTCCCCTCTGCTTGTCTGACCCCCAGAGCAAAGCTCAGTGTCAAGAACTGGAGTCTATTCCCGAGGGGGCACAGAAGGCGGGAGGACATGGATGGAGACAAATGGCCGTGAGATGAGATTTCCTGTCCCACTGCATGGAGCCCAGTGAAGCCGGAGAGAAAATGTGTGTAGGAACATGAAGATCCATCCCAGAATTCTGTCTCCAAATGAGTGAGACAAGCGTGGAACAGACTGGGCTTAATTGCTGGATGACCTGGGCCACTTTCCCTTCCAGAGTCCCCGAGTAGAGGGTGGTGGCCATTGCACCCATTTCACAGTGAGGTAAACTGATGCACAAAGTCATCGTGTTGGCTATCGCGCACACCTGCCCTCAGATGTGTGTCTCAGAATGGTGCCTGGGACATTTCTTCCTGCTTCTAGGCTGCTGGAGCCCCAGGGCCCATCCCCAGCCACCGGGGGCCTCTTGAGCCCTTAGAAAGTTAGACACAGGGTGTGGCAAAGGGACAGTGTGTTAAGCAGCCCCTCCAGAGGCTGGGGTCCCGCAGCAGACCACCCATAACGGGAGCCATTTGCCCAGTGAGGCAGTTTGAAAAAGGCCGGGCGTGTAGGGTGCAGTGAGTATGCAGTGATGTGGGCGCTGCAGGCAGGAGGAAGGTGAAACACTCAGCCTGCGAAGGAGGCTCGCTTCCTTTCAGGGGCTATGGGCAGCCCAGGAGACCCCTCCCCATGGTCTGCGTCACCAGCTCCCCCTCCTCCAGGGCTTTGTTGAAATGTGCCTTCCAGGTGAGGCCTCCCACACCCCCTTATTTAAAAGAGTACCGCCACCCCCACCGTCCCCACCCGTACCTCAGCTGCCTCTCTTTCCTGGCCCCGACCCCTGCTGAACCCTGTAATTCAGCTATTCACTGTCCATTACTCTTTCCCTTGAGGCAGGGGTAGAGTCTGTCATGTTCTCCGCTGAGTCTCCAGAGCTAGGACAGAGCCTGGCGCCTGGCAGCCCCCACTGCCTTTTCCCCAATGATTGAGCCATGTGGACCTCCCCCTGCTCTGACCTGGTCACCACTGTATCCCCTGAACTTTGCACACGGCTTCCTGAGTGTGGGTGCCCGATCAATATTTGACCAATGAATGAGAGTGTCTATAACATGGAGACAGTGGTGTGGGGGTTCCTGCTTTCTGTGATCACTGGGAAGGGGACAGAGTGGGCACATGGCATAGGCACTCGGCCCATGACAGGGGAGACCTCTCACACAGCTGGGCACCGAGGCCTGGGTCGGGGACCCTTCGGCTCTGTGTTGGCAGGGGGCCTCGGCCAAGTCACTCAAAGCCTCCGTGGCCTGGTTTCTCCTCTCCTGACGGGCTCTCCTGATAGCTTTGTGTCACCTAATAAAAATGACTTCCGAGGGTTCCCCACGAGCCTCCAGGGTCAAAGCTTCTCTAGAAGGATTCACAGAAGTCTGATAAGCTGTGTTCCTCATGGCAATGGCTCATTACCAGGAAAGGTTACAGGTTAGGATCAGTAAAGGGAGAAAGGCACACAGGGCAGAGTCGGGAGGAGCCAAACGCCAGCAGCCAGCTGCCCTCTCTCTCGGTGGACTTCTGTGGGTGCCGTTTCCTTCTCTGGGCGAGGGTATGTGACCGCACACAGGACACAGGACATGTTGCTAACCAGGGAAGCTCAGCTGAGCCTCAATGTCTGGGCCTTTCCCTGGGCTGAGCCACATCAGTGTGGCTCACTCTCCACGTGCCGCCCTGAGCCTCCAGCCCTCCCTCCAGAGGCCAAGCTGAGACCACGTGCCCTAAAGCCCCCAGATAAACAAACCTGCTCCAATTAGACAGGACATCCTAAGGCTTAGAGGTCATCTCCCAGAAGACAATCAAGGGCCAAACCTTTCTTTGCAATGTGCAGAGTTTGGACAACCCAGCCCTGAGGCATTAGCCCCTTCTGCACACCGCTGCCAGGGAGAGGGCTCTGCGCTGGAGCCCCCTACCCCTGCTGTGCATGCTTGGCTTGGCAGGGCTTGGGCCTCTGCTGGGCTCCCCTCGTTCCTTGTTCAGGGCCTGGCAATGTTTGCATCGGGGGGCCGTGTCCCTCTTCTCCTCCTCTCCATGAGGTCTTGGGACAGGCCCCAGGACGCTGAGCCCCAACTCTGCATGGTTCTAGGATACAGATGCTCTGCAAATGAATGTGAATGTGAATGTCCAGTGGTGGGTGCAGTGAGCAGAGTCAGCCTCTCACTCTCTGACTCCCCATTTTAATGAGCAATTATTTGGTACCCACGTGTGCTCTGTTAGGACTGGGGATGCTGCGATGCACAAGAAAGAGGCAGCCCTGTCCTCCGGGCTCAGTGTCCAGCCCTGGGCGCCATTTATTCCGTGACACCTGGTAGTGAATGCTGCTGGGAGAAGCTCAGGGTCTGCTTAGGCACCTGCCAGCCTCGCCATGTGGCTGAGCCTGAGCTGAGTCTGACCTATGAGCTGAACTCCTCCTTTGGGCAGGAAGCCCCCTTCTGCGTGCTGCAGATGGGTCAGGGTGGGCCTGGAGTGGAGCGGCTGTGGCTCACAGGGGTCTGAAGTGTGGTGGTATTCTGGGCTTTGCCCTGAAGCAGGGACATGTCTGTGACCAGGTGTTGAGCCCGAGAGTCTCTGATGGCACGTGGGCTTTGGAGTGACTGCAGCGTCTGGGACTGTGTGCAGAGAGGATGGATGCTGGTGCTTGAGAGAGGCCTGTGGCTGCATTATTTAGACTAGAGATGGACATGGAGAAGTGACATTCCCAAACTCTTCCAGCCACTCCTTCCCCTCTGGTACCCACAGAGCCAGCACAGCAATTCACAAAAATACAGCCCGGGGGGTTGGAGGAACCTGACCCACTGCAGGTGGGAGACCATGCTCTGAAGCTGGGCAGCGTGCTGGGAGTGCAGGCTGTGTTCAGAACAGGCACCCGCCAAGGGGGCGACTGGAGGGGACCCAGCCCTCGCTCCACCCTCAGGCTGCTGTTGGCCTCAACAGAGTGAGGAAACAGTTCCACCTGCCACAGTGAAACTGGGATGGCAGGTGCCCCGGGTAGCCCAGAGCCGCGGCCAGAACCATGTGTGATATTGCGGTGGTTGTGAGTCCACCTGGAGTTGTGGGGAGGGCGCTGACCGTGCAGACGCATCCCCTCCACCCGCCCCAGGCTCCCCAGCTCGCCAGGGCCGCAGGCCGGTGCCTTGGAGGCTTGGCTGGGACAGGAGTGGAGAGCAGGTGTACCCCACAGCGTGGCCTCCCTGGGTGGGTTCACAGTCTTGATATTTCATTGACGAAATGAGTGTTCCCTTTTCTGGAGAAACAGGTGATATGTGGGGTTTTTAGGAAGAAAAACAGAAAAGATAGGCCTGTGAGGTGACAGGAGAGGTGGCGAAATCCTGAGGGGCTTCTCCTCCTAGACCGACTGTCCTCCCTTTTCTTTGAAATCAAGAGAGCCCATCTGACTCCTGCTAAGTAGCCCTAAGAGGCATTCTAGTGGCCCTGCCTGGAGGGCCCTGTGAGCCAAGCCTTGGCCACACATGGCATCCTCTTTACCCAGCATGCACCTGAGTGGGAGCCACAGACTTTCCTGAGTGGCAGGTGTGGCAAGGACACAGCGTCTGCGACCCTGAGAACAGGAGCGTGCGCTCCTCTTACAGAATGAATAGTCCACTCATTGTGCTCACCACACAGGGGTCTTCGCTGCACAGGGATGGCACAGCCCCGGGAGGGAGCTAGGGCACAAGAATGCTGCCAGGCAGGGCTGGGCTCGGTCAGCAGGGAAGGAAAGAGCTGGGTGGTGGGATTCTGCCTGGAGAACGGTGGCCTCTAGGCGGAGGTCGGCCGGGAGGCCCAGGAAACCTGGGTGGCATCTGGGGAGATCTGGACATGTGGAGTCGGCATCCGGCAGGGATCAAGGGCTCTGGAGAGTTTGGAGAGGTCGGGGGAGCCGAGAGGGATGGTCCTGAATGTAACGTTGACCATTGGTGAGCCAGAGAGGAGTCTGCTGAGGCTCTGCCTGTCCATATTTGAAAGTTTAACTTTGGGCCAGCACTCAGGGGCTTCCCTGGAGCCGTAGGGAAGGGTCTCCTGAGCCTCGGTGGTGGGGAGGGCACTACTGAGAAACTGACATCCTTGTGGGAACACAGAGCTGGGTGTCCTGGAGAGAACCCAGGGAAATGCTGGATGCTGCCAGAACAGAGGAGGGTGTGCCCAGCAACGAGAGAGAACGCTGGCAACGGCGACCTTTGTCACGCTGGATGGTTCTGCCTCTCCCCGCTCATCCACCTGACGCCGTTCAGACCTGTATCCCCACTGCGGACACCCCTGACGTTGTTCAGACCTGTATCCCCACTGCGGACACCCCTGACGCTGTTCAGACCTGTATCCCCACTGCGGACACCCCTGGCTGCTGTTCAGACCTGTATCCCCACTGCGGACACCCCTGACGCCGTTCAGACCTGTATCCCCACCGTGGACACCCCTGGCTACTGTTCAGACCTGTATCCCCACTGCGGACACCCCTGACGCTGTTCAGACCTGTATCCCCGCTGCGGACACCCCTGACGCTGTTCAGACCTGTATCCCCACTGCGGACACCCCTGACGCTGTTCAGACCTGTATCCCCGCTGCGGACACCCCTGACGCTGTTCAGACCTGTATCCCCGCTGCGGACACCCCTGACGCCGTTCAGACCTGTATCCCCACTGCGGACACCCCTGGCTGCTGTTCAGACCTGTATCCCCACTGCGGACACCCCTGACGCCGTTCAGACCTGTATCCCCACCGCGGACACCCCTGGCTACTGTTCAGACCTGTATCCCCACTGCGGACACCCCTGACGCTGTTCAGACCTGTATCCCCGCTGCGGACACCCCTGACGCTGTTCAGACCTGTATCCCCACCGCGGACACCCCTGACGCTGTTCAGACCTGTATCCCCACTGCGGACACCCCTGACGCTGTTCAGACCTGTATCCCCACTGCGGACACCCCTGGCTGCTGTTCAGACCTGTATCCCCACTGCGGACACCCCTGACGCTGTTTAGACCTGTATCCCCGCTGCGGACACCCCTGGCTGCAGTTCAGACCTGTATCCCCACTGCGGACACCCCTGACGCTGTTCAGACCTGTATCCCCGCTGCGGACACCCCTGACGCTGTTCAGACCTGTATCCCCGCTGCGGACACCCCTGGCTGCTGTTCAGACCTGTATCCCCACTGCGGACACCCCTGGCTGCTGTTCAGACCTGTATCCCCGCCGCGGACACCCCTGGCTGCTGTGGTGGGCTGGAGAGGCTCCCTCTGAAATTCACACCACTCAGAACCTCAGAAAGGGACCTTCTTTGGAAGTAGGGTCTTTGTGGATGGAATTAAGGGCAGGTCCTACTGGAGCAGGGTGGGCCCTAAATCCTATGACTGATGTCCTTATGAAAAAAAGGAGAGGCCGGGCGCGGTGGCTCGTGCCTGTAATCCCAGCACTTTGGGAGGCTGAGACGGGGGGATCATGAGGTCAGGAGATCGAGACCATCCTGGCTAACACGGTGAAACCCCGTCTCTACTAAACAAAATACAAAAAATTAGCCAGGCTTGGTGGCGGGCACCTGTAGTCCCAGCTACTCGGGAGGCTGAGGCAGGAGGATGGCGTGAACCCGGGAGACGGAGGTTGAAGTGAACCGAGATTGGGCCACTGCATTCCAGCCTGGGTGACAGAGCGAGACTCCATCTCAAAAAAAAAAAAAAAAAAGACAGTGAGGAGAAAGCCACGTGACGGATGAAGTGGGCAGAGAGTAGCGTGAGGCAGCTGCCAGCCAAAGAACGCAGGAGTTTGCCCACCATGCCAGATGCTAAAAGAAAAGCATGAACAGACTCTGTCCTGGAGCCTTTGGGAGGCACGTGGTACTGTTGACGCCTCGATTTGGGACTTCCATCTCCTGAACTGAGAGAATAAATGCCTACTGTTTATAAGCCACACTGTGCGGGGTGCTTTGTTATGGCAGCCTGAGGGACGGAAAAAAGCACCTACTGTACATGGGGTCCCAGGCCAGCAATGCCCACGTGTCTTCCAAGGGGCTTACAACGTCCTGGGAGGGAGTATTCCTGTGTTTCCGTACCCTCTTGGGAAACTGAGGCCAAAAGAATTAGAGTCTCCAGGGGGTGGGGGGCCAGGGGAGGGAGAGCATTACGACAAATACCTAATGAATGCAGGGCTTAAATCCTAGATGACGGGTTGATGGGTGCAGCAAACCACCATGGCACATGTATACCTATGTAACAAACCTGCACGTTCTGCACATGTATCCCAGAACTTAAAGTGAAAAAACAAACAAACAAAAAACCAAACAAAAACAAAAACGAGTCTTTCAGAAAGTAGCCGATTCAAAATTCAAATGCACGTCTTCAAAGCCCAGGCTCTCCTGTATCTACAGATGTTATTTTCTGACTTACTTTCTTCGAGCATTTAAGTGTTTTTACCTCTCTTTGCTTGCCTGGTGTTTCCTAGAAAACACAGTGCAATAAGTATCAACATATGATGGGAGGCAGCTTAAAGTTATCCATCCCAGCGGTCCCGGTAATCTACTCTCAAAAACCTTCCCACAGCTCGCGTCCCTGCGCCGGCAGATCGCCGCTGAGTCTGAACGTATTTTCCGAGGTGATCGATTTAGGTGTGCTGAGAATTACATCTCTGTCTTCCCACAAAAGGCCACTGTATCTGTCACCCGACTTTTACATTTTCACATTTCTTCATTTGGAGAACCAAAGTAACCTGCGTGGTATCAAGTTTATCTTCCTCCTATTTTATGAATTCCTTTGTCACAGGGCCCAGCCGGAGCGGCCTGCTGGGGATCAAGGTGGTGTTGCCGTGGGAAGGAACGCTGTCCAGGGAAGCCAGTCTCTAGCAAGATTTGTGGAACAGAGAGGAGGCCGGGCTTATAAGGATAGAAAGGGCTTTGGGCAGAAGGTGCTGACTCCAGTGTGGAAATACCAGGAACAGGAAGGCCTCTGCACCTGGGGAGCTCTGCAAGCAATTCCTCTCCTTTCTAACCTCCTCCGTTCTGATCCCAGTTTAAAAGCTAAAAAACAAAATGATCCTCTCTTTAGAGAACTCTGAGCTGGGCGGGCATTTACAAGTTAAACGACAGCCTGAGGCCATCTTCACAACACACACCACCTCCTGCACCCAGCCCTCCTGCACCCAGCCTCCCTCCTGCACCCAGCCCCGCTCCTGTACCCAGCCTGCCTCCTCCACGCAGCCCACCTCCTCCATGCGGCCTGTCTCCTGCATCCAGCCCACCTCCTCCACACAGCCTGCCTCCTTAAGGCCTCCTGGCTTTCCTTCTTTTTCATTTATTTGCACCCCTGTGCGTTGCCTGCTGTCCCGGCCCTCCCCAACATGTCAGGACTTCTGGCTGATTCCTGCAGGGCAGACTGTCTGTTCATCCTCAGGGGGCGTTTGTTGAGTGAATGAACAAGAGATGTAGGAGTCTGGTCACCTGTCCTGTGCCCACACACCCTCCTGAGGGTCTCACTCCACACGGCACACACTCCCACTTTCGTTTGCTCACCTTCCAGGACATCACAGCCCTCCTGGGGCTCCTGCAGCCTTCGGTCCCCAGATGAGATCCAGGTCTGGTCTAAGCCAGCATGCCCCTCCCATCGCCCTGGGCAGCTGTGTCTCAGTCACTCAGACTCCACATTACCAGGAGCATGCTGCTTAGGGTGGATAGTTCCCAGGCAGAGCCCCTGGGCCATCCCAGCCAAGGCCCCGGAGTTGCCTCCACAACTATCCCGTCACACCAGGGCTGGCTCAGGCTCTGCTGAGGCTACTCCACCCACACCAGGTTGGCTCTGTGGGCCCCACCCCTCACCTGGAGCCCCAGGGCCCCCTGCCGGGCCTCATGTCTGCCTTTGGGGCCCCATGGGAAGCCATCTCCTCTAGCTTCTCCCTGGCGGCTCTTGTTATTTGATATCAACAACACACTCTTGTTATTTTTCCTAACAATGGAAAACACGGGAAGGAAACGGAGGTTGTGGGGTCGGGTGGCTTCAGGTTGTACCGGCCAGGCCGTGTGGACCCAGCAGAGGGTGGGAGCTGAGGCTCAGGCCTGGCACCCCTAGAAGGGCAGCTTCCCTGGGGGTGGCTAGATGCAGCTAGCAGGTGCCCACTGTGGGCCCAGGGGAGCCCGATGAGGCTCCCAGTGGCAGGAGGGAGAGACGTGTGGAGGGAGGATGCCAGGGTGAAAGGAACCTGGGAGAGAAAGGACTGAGTAGGGAGGCTCAGGGCGGGTAGACAGGCTCTGGGATGTGGCACCATGGGGCTTCCTCTGTGCTGGCCACAGGGAAATGCCCTAAACCCAGCGGGCTGGGGGCACCCCATGCCTGCATCCTGGCACCCTCACTGTGGTGGCCTGTTAGCTTGAGCCTGACATCAGGCCCTGCATACCGAAGCCCACGGATGTCACCCACAGCACAGCCTGGGGATGGCAACTCCAGACTGAAGCGTCCCTTTGTCTCTGTTGGTTGCTGGAGCCCCTCGTGCGCGTGACAGGGACCTGCAGCACCTGCCTCCTGAGGCCTCTCCCATAGGTTCTTCTGCTGTTGGGAACAAGCCCCGTCCAGTGGAGGGGGGCCCTCCAGTGGCCCTGCCCTCCTGTCCCAGGTCACAGCCCAACCTGAGGGCTGGCCCACAGTCAGCTGGGTCCTCACTGCTGCTGTTGGAGCGCCCGCAGGCCGGCTGGGCCACTATTTGCAGAACCAGGTGGACAGATGGAGGGGTCTTCCAGCCTCCACCACACACGGGGCAGGATGCGGCCTCCACGACCCCCTGGCCCTGGACAGGGTCACTGGGCCTGAGTCCCGTGTCTTGCAAGAAGGTCCCATTCAGGGACCCTGATGCCTGTTCCTGCGGGACCCGAGGCTGAGCTATCTCCTTGTACCCCAGCTGAGAGCGCTGATAATGTGGAGCCTGCGGTAGCTTCCCGGGGCTGCCAGAACAGATGACCCCAGACCTGACTGCTTCAAACAGTAGAGAATTATTCTCTCCCAGAAGCCTGGAAGTCGGAAATCACGGTGTCTGCAAGGCATGCTCCCCCTGGAGCCTCCAAAGGAGGATCCCTCCTGGCTCTTCCGGCTTCTAGTGGCTCCAGGTGTGCGTGCCCCCAGCCTCTACAGCTGCCCTCCCATGGTGTTTTCTTCCTGGATCATCTCGTCTGTCTCTCGTGAGGACACATGTGCTTGGATTTAGAGCCCACTTGGATAGTCCATGATATAATCTCATCATTAAGATCTTTAACTTAATTACATCTGCTAAGATCCTTTCTCCAAATAAGGTCACATTCAGAAACTCTGATTGGGATGTGGACAGGTCTTTTGGGTGGGTCACTATTCAACCCTCTACCGACCTCAGCGGGAAGCGGCTGCATTTGCAGGCTGCCTGTCTACGGGGTGTTCCCAGCCCCAGTGCAGCCCTGTCTCCTACCTCTCCGAGGGCCAGCCCTGCAGAGCACAAAGCCCACCCTCCCGGGTGGTAACGATGTGACTCACCCTCCATGTGCGTGCTCAGGGGACCCCTGCAGGACCCCTCCCTGCACCAAGAAGCCCACCCTAAGGAGATCTGCAAAGCCACTGGCATTGATCAGCTATGGAAGCCTTCTCTGGGTAATAAATCGAAGTTCTGTTTTCACAAGCTGTCTGTTACATTCCCTTGGCCCACAGTCACCAGAGGATCCTGAAGTGGGCTGTGTTATCCCCATCCTACAGCAGAAGGGGTGGCTCCTGGATAAGGCTGTGACTCCCTGTTGGGGAGTGGGGCCCAGACCTCCACTTCCCCCTCCCCTTGTCTGGGCTGCCCTCAGAATTGTCTCTAGCATGGACACCAGGGTGGTGGCTTGTTGAATGCAATGTAAATTGTAAGGAAAAATATGACATGGAGCTCTTTAAATTCTCTCTCCTTTGCCTGCACTAGAGAGAGCGCGCTGCATGCACCTGGCCTCTGCACTTCTACCATCTGGGGATCACCAGCCTGCAGGGCAGCTGCATGCTAATCTCAGCTTCCCCTAGACTCACGTAGCGGTGATAGACGGGGCCTCTTCTGAGGACCTCAGAGCCGCCTTGGTGGGACTTGGCTCCCCCGCCTCCAGCCCCATGCTGCCTGGCCATCCTCTTCTCTGCATCTCTTTCTCTCAATTAATCCCCAGCAGCTACGGTACCGAGGGCTCTGGCTGTGTGCTCTCTGCGCTTTAATTAGGGGTCACTGTGAACAGTATTATTTCCCAGGCTTGCCATGATTCTATTAAAATTTTCTTTTGTAGACATCAGGCATAGCCTGATGTCTACAAAGGAACGAAGGAAGCAGGAATCCGGGGCAGAGCCGCTCGCTCATCAGCAAGTGCTGGGCTTTCTTCCCTGTCACCGCCTCCAGGAGCGTAGCCCTGCGATGGCCAGTAGGTTTCAGCATTTAAGGTAATGCGCATCTCCCGGTACCTGAGCCCTGTGCTAGGAGAGGTTCGGAAATTAAGGCAATCTTGGCAGCCAGGAGTGTGGTCATCAACTAGTGACCAGTCTGCCATGGTCTCAGGCAAGGGCCAGGCTCCCGTGGGCCGGCTGTCTGCTCTCCCCTGTCAAGTCCTTCAGTTCTGCTGTCCTGTTTTGCAGTTGCCAAGGCATTGTTTCCAGCCCAGAAAAGCTCAATGAGGTTCAGAAAGCGGCCGCAGTTGTGCAGTCTGTGGAGAGAGTCCTGCTCCTGACAAACAGAGGACTCTGAGCTGGGTCAAGGGCTGAGATCCTGGGGATCAGCCTCAGTCTCAGGCTGAGGGATGAGGTCAGAGAAGGAGCACTTGTCCCCATGAGCGCCGCCTGGCTACTGCATGTGGTGCAGGTGCCCCCTCTACCTGGGCTCGACACACCCACTCTTGCTGGTGCAGACCCTGCCTCCTGCAGACCCTCTACCACATTTCCCAGAGCATCCTCCACAGCGACTTTCCCAGACCTTCCCTGCCTCTGTCCCCAGGACCTCCTTCCACTCACCAGGACAGGAACGGCCATCTCATTGACAGATGTGGAAATGGGGGATCCATGAGGTGGAGGGACCCATGAGTGTCTCAGCCAAGACGGGCACGTGTCCGTCACTGGCCATGGCAGACATGGCCGCCCTATTGTCCGCAGTCAAATACATCCTGACTGCTTCCTGTTGCTCCTGTCTTCTGAGCACTTGGATGAGATGAGATCCTTGCATCTTAAATTCGTTTATAAAGCTGTTTCATAAATGAGCCTGGTTTACATGCTTAAACTTCTGAGGCAGCTAAGTCCCCCTGTGCCATTTGACAGGTCCGCACTTGCTTGGACTACCATAAATGGTCACTAGCTACATTTACGTATTCGTGCTTTTTCATTCATTCATTCAACGTTTACTAATCATTTAAGGAGCACCTCCTATATGGTCAGCAGCATGCTAAGGCTGGGGATACCTTCATGAACCCACATTTCAGTTGGGGATATGGTCGCTAACCAAATGGTTGCACAGACAGCAAGATGGAGGCTGAAATCCGTGCAACGCTGGAGCCAAAAGCTGGTTCCCTGGACCCTCTCATTTGGTTCCTTGACCTTCTGTCTTTGGGTGCTGGGTGGCAGGAAGCTGGAACTGGTTGCCTAGAGTCATGTTCTCTGGGCTCTTACTCCTTAAATTCCTTCCACTCTTTCAGATGCTGCCATTTCCAAGCACCCTAAACCCACTTCCTAATTTGTGGCTGCGTCGTCGCTGGTGCCTTCTTGAATTGATTTGCCGCTCCCTGTGTTGCTTTTCGAGTTCCTTGGCTGCTTGAGTTCTCAGTCGTTGCTGGTGTCTAGGAAGCATTTACAATTTCAAAGGATCTCTTGAAGGTGTGAATAATTTCTCAAGATGTCTCTCGGTGGTAAATAATCCATGTAAACTGTCCCCGGCCCTCCTGGCCCCTGCAGATGTTATCTGGTATCTGGATATCTGTATTTTAAATGGTCCCAGACAGTGTTCTAATGCAAACAAGGTGACAAGTCTGTTATTTAGAGTTTGAAAATCCTGTCTGTGCATGAAAATCAATGCATGTAATTTGTGAATCAAAATAATCGCACATAATTTAAGTAAATGCTGCATTTCTGATGTTCACAGACGGAGTCTGTGTTTTGGAAAACACAAATGCCTGACAAACCCCTGTCAAAAGCCCTGTTCATCAGGAAAATACTTGTGAGTTGTGGTTCCTATTCTCTGGTGTGACTGGGGCTGGGTGAGTGGTGACCAGGACACTGACAGGGCTCTGGAGCCACAAGGAGGGGCATTCCAGCAGAGAAGGGTGTCCTGTGGCTAGGCGGATGGTGAATGCCAGGCTGGGTTCTCCTTCTATAGGTGGAGGGTTGGAACAGGAGGCTGGTGTTGTATTTCAGGTCTAGAAAGATCTCCAGACAACAGGAGGAGTCTGATAAAAGGGCACAAGATCACAGGCCTGGAGATCAGCGGGAGGGCCCTGGGCTGACACCCCAGGGGCCTGGCTGGCTGGGGAGGGGTGCTGGCCTTGTTGCCTTCTGCAGAAGGGCCCAGGGGCCTCTCCCGGCTTCTCGATGCTCTAAGCATCGCCTGCCTCTGAGGTGGCTTTGGGAGCTCCTTCTTCACCCTCCTCTTGTGGAAAAGACCATCTCCCTTCTGACTCGGCCTGGGGGGAGCTCAACACAGCTCAGGACAGTGCGGGGTCCCAGCCTGCCTCCCTCTGCCAGGCCTGGTCCAGTGTAGGGGGTGAGGCTGTCAAGGGCAGCCTTCCTTGAGGGAAGGGCAGAGCTGAGGACTACCCTAGATCACGGAGCTCAACCATAAGAAAGGTCTCTGCCCCAGGAGGATTTGGTCTTTTAGAGCCTTTGTCCTAGGGACCATGCTAGCACCCCAGAATTGCCACTGCCAGGGAGGTGGGGCTGCCTTGGAGCTTAGAGACCACCTTTCCTTGAAGGAGGGAGAGGGAGGACCGGCAGGGGTGAGGATGGCAGACATGCAGAGAAAACAGACAGACAGATGGCTCCTCAGATAGCTCAGTTCCCAGTTCCATGCACCGTCCGTCCTGGCCCCAGCAGGGGTATCCAGTGAAATGGGGGCAGGTTGTTTGCAGGTGAACACTGGCCAGTGTGTGTAATGGCTATGCCTGTGAGGCCCTCTCTCCGGCTGGCTGGCATCTCCGTGCCCCAGGTCATCTCCCTCGGGGTGTCCCCGCTGCACTCCTCCCAGGCCTGCTTCTCCCTGGGCACTGCCCTGCTTCCTCTGTGCCCTCTGCCCATGCCTTAGCCTCCAGACCACCGTCTCCTCCTAGGGACGTACCTGGCACGTGGCAAAGGCTCCACAAAGGCTGGTCTTTGTTCTTACCAGCTGCCCAGCGGCTGGTCTCGCCCCTCCTCTCTGTCCCTGCCCTGCCGCCCTTCCTGTGGCTTCCTGAAACCTTCTGCTCTTTTCCCTTTGCCTTCCCTTGGGACATAAACCATATCCACTCCCCGGCTCTCCTGCCATCTCTCTCCTCTCCCCTCCTCCAGTTCTAAGTTCCCTGTACCCTGAGCCTTCCTGATGTCCTCTGAACACAGGGCACTGATTTTCCCTTCCAGGCCTTGGCACATGCTGTTCCCTTTGCCCTCTCACCTGAGTAACCCATGCTCAGCCTCCAGCATGGGTTACTCGTAGCTAACCCATCCTCCAGGAAGCCAGTTGTGGTGCTGGGTGGCCCTGAGGCTGCACTGGGCTGGGGCACCCCACCCCTACTCCTGCAGCAGCTCTATGCCCCTGTCATGGAGTCCCGGTCTCAAGGACCCTGCATGAGCATGCCCCTCTCTGCAGGCAGGTGCAGCGGCTGCACTTTTCATGCTGGTGTCCCCAGATGCCCAGGCACCAGCACGCGGCATGGCGTAAGCAGCTGCTCATTTCACGCTGCTGACTGAATCCATGCAGAGGGAACACCTTGGCTAGGACCTCTCTGGATTGACTTCTTCACTTTGACCACCTGGCCAGCAGGTCCCTTGACCTCTCTGAGCTTCTGTGATCTCATTTGTAACAGGAGATGATAGCGGACAAGGCTTGTGGTTATGAAACCTGTATTAAGTCTGCGTGACCCATGCTCCTCTGAGCCCCTCTGCACAGCAGCCCACCCACCCCCCGTTAAGGCAGCTGTGGCTTGATCCCCATTTGTTGGGTAAGTGGGAGGGTGAGGGCTGGCTCAGGGCACCCATCAGGTCAGGAGGGGTAGAACTGGCCCAGATGCCACAGTGGCTGTCCAGGGCTGTGCTCCCAGCTGTGGGAAGGCAGACAGCAGGGGCTGCCTGGAGCAAGCCCAGTGCAGTGCCTGAGCACCATGAATGTTGGCCACCACCCTTTCCATCCAGTCTTTGCCTCCTGGAGGCTGGGCAGGGCAGGGGCTAGAGATCCAGGGCCTCTTCCTCCTCCCTCCTTTTCTGGCCTATCTTCTGCCTCCAGTTTCACCCCAGGCTGAGCCCCATGGGCAAGGAATTAGGTCCCTCTCAAGAGACAGGTGCACGCTGCTGCTCCCAGCAGGCCCGACAGCCTGGCCCTCTCTCCAGAGCAGGGCTGCCCACCTCCCGCCACCTGTAAATACATGATTTTTCTTGACATCTCCCGAGTCCTCCCTGCCTCGCCCAGCCCCCGGTAACTACCATTCTACTCTCTGCTTCTATGGATTCTGCTCTTTAAGAAGTTGAACCTATGAGGTCGCGCGGTATTTGTCTTTCTGTGCCTGGCTTGTTTCACTTAGCACCATGTCCACCAGGCCCATCCATGTTGCTGGGAATGACAGGGGTCGTCCCTTCTTCGTAAAGGCTGACTAGGATTCCGCGGTGTGGATACACCAGGGTTCTTCATGCATCATCTGTTGGTGATCCCCAGGAGGATTCCGGGTGAACGCAGGAGTACAGGGACCTCTTCCACATTCTGATTTTATTTCCTTTTGCTATGTACCCAGCAGTGGGATTGCTGCATTTTATAATAGTTCTATTTCTAATTTTGAGGAACGTCTGTACTATTTTCCACAGTGGCTGTAGTTCTGTAAATAATTAATGAATGAGTCCTTCCCCAGCCCCTTGGAGACTGGCTGCTGACAAGCATACCTGAAGGAAATGGTTTTAAAAATGTAAATGAATGTTTTATTTAATAAGGAAGTCAAAATCCTTTCTTCTTAATACAGCCAGGCTTCCAGGAGTTAACAGCACCAGGGAGGAAGAAGGTACCATTTCCCGTGCACCTGCGGAGCCTCTGACCCCAGGGCAGGCCCGGACTCCTCATCTCCCATATTACCTTAGGAAAGCAATGCTAACCACTGCAACATAAGAGCCCCCCAAATACATAATTGCTCAAAGGCAACAGAAGTTCATTTCTCACCCCCATAAAGTCTAAATGATGCTCCTCAGCAGCAGCCTGTCCTCCAGGCAGTGACTCAGGGACCCAGGCTCCTTCCATCTGGGGTGTGGCCATGCTCCTGCCTTCTGAGGTCACCATGCCCATCCAGAATTAAGAAACAAATGGATGTTTCAAAGTGCCCATCTGTATTGGTAGAGGGGAAAGAGGATGAGAATCTCAGGTGGGAGGGTTTGGGACCCAGCCTGGAAGTAGCACATACCATTTCTGTGCATGTGACCCTGGATGGGACCAACCCAGTCTCAGGACCTAAGTTTAGTGGAGTTTAGAAAATGCTGTGGCAGCCCAGAGAAGAGAGGAGATGGGTTGGCGAATCCCATGTGGTCTCTTGCCAGATTTTCCCTCTGATTCTTCAGAAAAGGAAAGAGGTTCGTGGAGGGGCACAGCAGCTTCCCGAGGCCTGGATCCTACCGGATCTGCCTGACCCTTGGTGTCTAAGCAGCTGCTTGTGACTGTGGGTATCTCTGTGGGTACATCTGAGTCGCAGTGTTGGATCTGTTGGTGGTCGTGGTTCAACTTTCTAAGCCACTGCCTTGGGCTTCAGTTTCCCCAGCTGGAGGATAAAGTGTTTGGACCAGATAACCTCCGATTACCGGCTGGCTACCCTGCTGTACCCTTGCTGAGCTCTGCCCAGGGTGACCTGAGCTCTTGTGGGTGCATGTGTGTGTCCCAGAAGGGCTGGGCTCCAGCTGGTCAGAGAGAGAACACGCGGAGCCATGTCAGGAAAGTGGACACAATGCCATATGGAAGACACCGCTGCTCAGCCTGGATGGGTCTAGCTAGATGTCATTTTTAAAAACATTCCTTTTTATGATTTTAATAGTAATGCACATGCATTGTGTGGATATTAAATGACGTGATACACCCTCGAAATAAACCAGGAAGTAAAAGTGTGTTAACACTGGGACACAAGCCTTTTAGTTTCCATCTGGTGCATTATGTTCAGTGCCCACTTAACATACAGACAGCAAGACCTATACACACAAACACACACACACATTCACACACACACACAGACACACACACATACACTCACATGCTCACACACACACTCATACGTTCACATATGGACAGATGCATGGATGCACGTGAGTGTATTTCTATAGCTGAGATCTTATTCCGAATATAGTTCGTATCTTTTGTACAAATATAGTTTTGTAACCTGCTCTTCTTGGCGTCACTTCCCATACGATGACAGACTTTGCATGAGCTTCCCCATGAGTGGTCCACGCCATGAGCCTGTAGTGACTGATCGAGCTGTTTCCCGGTGTTTTATATCGGTGTGGTTTCCATGTTTTAGTCCTTTAAGCAATCTTGTGGCGAATGGCTTAGTCCATGTGAGCTGCTATAACAAAATATGCAGACTGCAAGGCTTAAACAACAGCCATTTGTTTCTTAATTCTGGAGGCTGGAAGTCCAAGATCAAGGTCAGGTTCTGGTGTGGGCCTCTTCCTGGCTTGCAGATGTCTGCCTCCTCGCTGTGTCGTCTCATGGTGTAGAGAGAGAGAGAAAGCTCTCTGGTGTCTCCTTTTATAAGGGCACTGATCCCCTTGGACCAGGGCCCTACCCTCATGACCTCATCCAACCCTAATCACCTCCCAAAGGCCCCATCTCCAAATACCATTAAATTGGGGGTTAGGGCCTCAGCATGTGCATTCTGGGAGGCTACAAACATTCAGTCCATGAAACAGGGAACAGCTTTGGACATCAGTCCCTGCCTGATTTCTGGGCTGTTTCCTTAAACCACATCCTTAGACATGCAGTGGTTGGCGGTAAGGGGTGTCATCCGGTCCACAGCTCCTGACTTCTGCAGCAAGGAGCAGGGGATTGGATCTTTGGGCTCCGGCTCGTCTCTGCCGCTCTGAACTGGAAGTGGGTGATGGAGCAGGAAGGTGCTGGTGCCCACAGCCTGTTTCCCTGGGCTTGGAGCTGCCCGGCTGGGGGCAGAGTGGAGCGCTTGTGAACACACCATTTCTCCTGGGTCCTTGGCCTAGTCTGGCTTTGGTAAGGAACAGCTGAAGAAACAGAGAGGCAGAGCAAGGCCCTGCGACGTCGAAATGGATTGTTCTCCTCTAGCAACGGTGCCTGTCAGCGGTGCTGGTACTACAGTCAGCTTAGAAACCGTGTGGCCATCACTGCAGCCTCAGCGTCAAAGCCTCGCTTGCCCCAGACTAAATGCTGGGGGAGATGAATTTGCCAGAACTCTGCCTCCCCTTGGAGCTGCATCAACTCAGGCTCCAGAGCCTGTCCTGGGGACCCACGCTGGCTAAAGGAGGCTACGGCAGAAAGCGAGGCCAGGCTGGGTTCAATGCGCCCAGCGTTGCCTTTTGAAGGTTCTGCTTAATCCATGTGTGCCAAGGAAGAACTGGGTGCAAATCTCTGCCTCCCCCACCAGCTGTGTGTCCTCCGGCAGCTCTTCTATGTTCTCTGGGCCTTGCTTTCCCCATCCATCAGTGAGAACAGAGCTCCTTCCACAGAGCATTGTTGTGAGGTCAGCACAGGCTACACTGGTGGCGATTTTCTCCTTGGCACCCTCGTCAGGCCCCAAGCCCGGGGCCTCCTTGTACATCATGGAAATGAGCAGTTGTCCTAGAGCTCACAGGCTCATGTCATCTCACAGCTGGGAGGGCCATGGACGTCAGTCACCTCATTGTGCAGATGGGGAAACTGAGGTCACGAAGAAGGGAGCGGCCTCTCGTCTCCATGATCCTGATGCCTGGGCCTAGGCTCTTGAACAATGCAGGCCCTCTGCACTTCTCCCTCAGCCCCCTGATTGAGTCTGAGCTGCGTGGTGACCCCTCAGAGGAGCTCCAGACCAGGGGCCGCAGCCCCCACCCACCCAGGGAGGAGCTGAGGCCCAGGGTGCCTGCATGCTTTACCTGGGCCACCCAGAGAAACAGGGAGGCACCTGCCGGCCTGGCCTAGCAAGACTGTTGGGAATGTTGCCTGGGCGAGGGACAGAATGTGGGCCGAGGGTGGAAGGATGGGGAGGCCTGGTCACAGAAGGACTTGGAAGGCCAGGCTAGCTGTCAGTTCCAAAGCGGTGCAGAAGAGAATGGACGGGGGTGGGGATTTGGAGCTCTCTTGAGAGTGAACCTGTCTTGCTTCCAGAAGGTTCTTCTCATGCCTTGTGAAGTGTGTCTTGGGAAGGGAGGGAGGAGACCAAAGCAACCTGACTCCCTGTCTATCACCCTCATCTCACGACACCCTCCTGGAACCTGCAAAGAACTTCTGTCCTCCCTGCTGTGTAGATAAGGAGCTAGAAGCCTGGAGAAGTGAGATCCAAGGTCCGGCTGCTCAAGCTGGAGAGGAATGAGGATTCGCGCCTGGGTCTGACTCCAAGGCCCTTGCGCTTCCTACCACACCACCCAGCCCCCAGGAATTAGAACTTTCTGGAAAGCTACTGGAGCCCCCCCCCCCCACTCCCCACCCGTTCCCCGTCCCCCGTCCCCCGTCCCCCATCCCCCATCTCAGGGCAGTGAGCCTGTGGTGCTCTGCACGGAGGCTGTAAAATTAGCAACTTAATTTTGGGTGTCAGGAAATCAGTTGAGGGGAAAATGTGTTTTCAAGGGATTAGTTTTCTTACAAACCAGCATGATAAAAATAAAGAGAAAGGAGAGTGGCCGGGAGAAAGGACAGTTTCTAAATTTATAGCAGGGATTCATTATTCATGGGCCACATCTGAAAAGGCCAAAGCTACAGAAGGGAGCGAGGCGTGGGTGGGAAAGTCCACGGCGGAATCCAAGGCGCCTTCACCAGGCGGGAGATGACAAAACAAAGGACCTTCCCATCCAAGAAAGTGGTGAGCGGCTGGGGAAGGCACAGGGCTCCGGGCACAACTCAGCTTATCAAAGAAGCCAGAGCTGCTTCTCCAGGCGAGGCCAGGTGCCCTGTGTCAGCAACCCAGTGCCCGTGCAGAGGTTTAGCCTTCTGTGATTGCCTGGCATGTAGGAGGGCAGGATGAAGCTAGGGTGGGTGCTCTTGCGCTGACACACGTGAGCTAATTGACTCCAAACAATAGTGTTGTGGATGGATGTTGGCTATTCTGCAGAAGAGGAAACTGAGGGTCAGAGTGGCAAAGAGAGATGGCCAGGGTCAGGTGGGTGGTGGCAGTGGCCGAAGCCTCAGGCTTGAGGATCCGCATGGCGCTCTCTTCCCTGCCCCTGCCACACTCTGGTGTTGGTGCATTTAAGGGCTAAAGAGAAAGGAACGTGTCAGGAGACCCACTGTGTGCCTCTTACCATGTCTGGGCCTCCCCTGAGGAGGGCCTCATTCAGCCTTCCCCGCAGCACAGCGTGGCAGGGTTGGTGCTGTTGCCAGAGGAGGACTGGGGCTCTGGGATGGGATGTGGGAGACTTGTCCAGGGCTGAGCAGCTTCTAAATCCAAGTCCCCTCCCAAACCCACACCCAGTGAAGGGTGAGGCTGTCTCTTACCCCCTCCTCCTAGGAGCAGCCCAGCTCCTTGGCAGGAGATGGACCTGTGGAGATTCCTTGCCCCGTGGGGGCCCAACCAGGGGTCAGGCAAGTCACACCGCCATTCCCAAAGGAGCCCACAGTTAGGACTTCCCCAGGAGTTTGTAATTCTGGTCCCTGCTGTATGTTGAGCACCAGCTCTGTGCCTGGTCCTGCACAAGGAACCACACGTTTCACTCGCTTCATCTCCACATGACCCAGGGAGGTAGGTGCTGTCATGGTCCCCACCGCACAGGTTGGGAAACGGAGGATCCACAAGGGTGAGTGAGTTGCCCAAGGTGACTCCCTTGTGGGAGAACCAGGCCTGGACCCAGATACTGTCCCCTTTCCAGAAAATCCATGGCCTAAAATGCCGAAGGCAGAGGACCAGCAGGAGCTTTGTGGAAAAGGCCAGATAACGTGCATAGTGGAAGGAACGTTTTTAAGAAATGCGTTTCACTGAAGGGGGTGAAGAAATGCATTTCACTGGAAGCGGGTGATGGAGAAGGAAGGTGCTGGTGCCCACAGCCTGTTTCCCTGGGCTTGGAGATTCATCTCCTCCAGTTTGACCAGGCCTCCGTTTCGGGACCCTCTTCCTGGATGACATCCACGCACCCACATTTCAAATGGCTGCCCTTCCACTGGGGGGCCAGGATGAGTCTGGAGTCCTGGAAAGGGAAGGATTGGGGTTCCTCCTAGTCCTCCCTTAGCCAGTGAGGTTGAGGACATCAGTGAGATGTGGACCCCTGATGGCTGTGGGCCAACCTCTCACGCCCAGGACTCAAGAGGTTCTGTGGACATGGGTGACCCAGTCCCCTGCCTTGGCTGATGTGGGGATCGCAACCCTTTGCTACGGGTAAAGGGGAGGCCCAGAGTGGGAGCACCTGCCCAGAGGCTGTGTTCCTTAAGTAACTTAAATTACATAGAGAACAGTTTCCAGAATGTACAGGCAAGACGCCAGCAGCAAATCACTGCTGGGCGACAACACCTCTGAGTGTGGTGCAGAGCTGCTCTGCCACAAAATTGAGACCCATGTACCAAAATCCCAACCCCTCCCTAGCTCTGGAAAGGGTGCAGAGAGCACGCCCTGCCAAGGCGGCCAGGCAGAGCTGGGTGAGGCCCCACCTCCTAGGGACGCAGGGCCTGGGCAGCAGGGGATCAGCACAGCTGCCAGCCTCATTGCTCTAAGCCCCTGATCCCAAGATCATATGAGGAGGAAATGAAGCCACGTGGACCAAGGCTGATGCCTGGAGCAGAGGTGTCTACACCACAGAGTGCCTACTGGGTGTCAGGGCTGCCCGGGAGCTGGGAATGCCAGCATGAGCAACCCCTGGCCCTCCCTCTGCGGGTGTCCATGGGAGTGCAGTGCCATAGAGGAGAGGGACGAGTGCCCAGGGAGCCCAGAGCCCTGTCACCCCCAGCAGGGGAACATGTCAAGCTGAGCGTGGAGTGGCTTCCTGGAGGGCAGCTCCGGGGCCAGTATCTTGAAGGCTGCAAGAGGGAGCCGGCTGAGGCTGGGGAAAGGGGGGCAGGGGGCAGCACCGTGGAGACGGGAGGGACACGGCACAGGGTGCATGTGTGTGCACAATCACGTGTGCATATGTGGGAGTGTGTGTCTGTGCATGTGGAGATGGGTGTGTGTATTTGTGTCTGAGTGTGTATGAGTGGGCAAATGTAGCACGAGTATGTGCATGTGAGTGCATGTATGTGTATGCATGTGTGTGTACATGTGTCTGAGTGTGTGCACGTCACCCCCAGGAGTGGCATGTCTGCGGTGTGCACCACATGGGGCAGGTCGGGGGACAGTGAGACGAAGCCGGACTCTGGAGGACATGGGAGCCTAACTCAGGAGGGAGTGTGATGCTGGAGGCCATGGGGAGCTATGGAAGGTGCTTGAGCAGGGAAGGGCACAGACTTGTTCTTTCCCAAGGACCCTGTGGGAGTTGCATGCAGGAGAGGTTCCAGGGATGCCACTGCAGGGGCACCAGTGAGGAAGTGGGCCCAGAGGTGGGGGCCTGGTCAGGGGAGATGGCGTGGGGCGGACTGAAAAGGATAGTTTTGAGAGGAGGATCGCAGGTGGTACCTGGAACTCGACACTGGCTGGCGGGTGGGGGCCGGCATGGGAGACAGGCCATGGGGCTGGGCTCTGTTCTCCAAGATGGAGAACCACACAGGGACACTGGCCATCCCCCCTCATTTTGCCCCAGCTGAGCCATGCCCCGGGAGACCCTTCCTGGAAAGATCCTCTCGTCTGCCTTCCTCGCTCCTCAAACGCTGGCATCTGGAGAGAAACCCCACAAGTCATTAAATCACTGCTTGGCAAGGTTCGTGCTGTGGTGATGCTGAGAGCAAACAATCGGGGACCGAGCCGGCACAGGTGGGTGGACCCCCTCCCAGGCAGCGCGCAGTGGAGAAGGGCCGTGAGGAGGAGGGTGCTGGGTGTGTCAGGTCCCAGGGGAGGCAGGCGGCTGGGGAGCCAGCTGTCCTCCTTGGAATCCTGGTTTCTAGGCCGCATCAGTCCATTCACTGGGCATTCGTGTGTCTGCTGTGCACCCAGCACCGTGGGGACCCAGCTGCGGCCCCAGATGGACACAAGCTCTGACCTCACGGGCTTTCTTTCCGGCTTCTGGCACCCCCATCCTGCCTGTAACCCACTCACCATCACCCGGAGCACACCCCTGCCCGGTGGTACGTCCAGCTCCCACCTATCAGCTCCCTCCACTCTCGGTCCCCTGCACGAGCTGCCCAGCCTGCCCGTGGAGCCCCCGGGAGTGTGGGAGGTCACGCCTGGAGGAGCCCCGAGCAGTGGTGGGCAGGATAAGGTGGATCAATACTCGCCTTCCTTACTCCAGGCATGCTCTGTGCCGGCTCTTGGAGGTCCCTGGCAGCGCCAAACCCTCTGCCTGCATTGAGGACCTCCTGCAAACAGGCCCTGGAATGGGGGCTTCCCTCCTCTGTCCTAATGTCCTGCTTTTCTGTGGGTGCTACCCACACTGAAGGCCTCATCTGCTTCTGGGTGGTCTGGGCCTCAGATCTGAGGAGATAGCCAGTATTCAAGTTAAGAAATAACCACAGAGGATGTCAGTGTGCCGGCTGGAGAAATAACCACAGAAAGCACCAGTGTGCCGGCTGGAGAAATAACCACAGAAAGCACCAGTGTGCCGGCTGGAGAAATAACCACAGAGAGCACCAGTGTGCCGGCTGGAGACTGTGGGTGTGATAGAGAGGAACCGGCTTTTACATCGCACGTCGTCCAAGAGGACCTCTCTGAGCTGAGGCTGTAACTCAGGGAGGCCCTGGCTGCTGGAGGGCGGTAACGAGTGGGAGCCTCAGCGACCTCCATGTACCCCTGAGGGTTGCAAGTTGCCTCTCACCTCGATGCTGGGAGCCAGCCTGCGGGCAGCCCCCGCAGAATGAAACCCAGGACAGAGCCCCAGGCTCCACCAGCCCCGACTCCTGTGATTCTGCCGGGAGGTTTGGCCTTCCCAGGGAGCTCGGCTCAAGCCAGCGTGGATCCAGCTCCACCCCACGTGCCCTCTGAGCCGCTACAGCTGTAGCATCTCGCACAGGTGATTTCATCTTGGGACCGTGAGCCCTGGAAAAAGCACCTATGTTTTTCTCAGGGTGCTGACCTGTGAAGGCGCGGGTGAGACGAATCTTGCCCTACCCCACCAACTGCCTCAGCACTCCCTGTTTGGACACTGTCCCCATCCCTGCAGTGTCCGCCCCACAGCCCTGCTCCCGTCACCCGCTCGGTCCCACGCCCTCGTGGGCCAGTAAAGCCCAATGCTCTTTACAAAGAACCTTGCTCTGTTCTTGGTTCCTTGGTTGCAATCAATCCTGAGCTTTTTATTGTTCTTTCTTGGAGTGAAAAACAGAAGCAGCACACATCCGTGATGACGTTACCAGACATTTGTGCTGATCCAGTCCCCTTTCAAGTCAGTAGGGCTCCTTACTGTAGGACACGGTGCCATGAGCTCCCAGGGGGCAGGATTTACGTGTTTTGATGATCCAGTTCCAGGGCGAAGGCACCAGGGCTGGCGCTGGTAACAGAATGGGCCTCCCTCAGCCTCCTGGCTTAGCACTTTGCTTCATGCCAAATACATCAAACTGAACCCTGGCAAGGCAGAGGCTTCTCGCACCCGGTCTTCCTGTGTACAAGGCAGGACGTTCAAGATGCTGCTGTTGCTGCCCTTTGCGTTGGTCTCATTGTCCCTGTGTGTCTGGAGACTGAAGGAATCGGCAGGTGTATTTTTCCTTCTCCTGCTCTCTCTTTTTAAAATGTGTCTCGACCAGGGAAATCTTTCCCCACTAAGACACAATTAAGTTTCCTGAATTAATTATGTACCTGACAGCAGGATTAGTGATTTTCTTAATTTCTACTGTAATTACATTGGAAGAACAGTCACCCCTGATCTCTCTGGAAGGAGGGCTCCCACAACGAGCACAGCTTCTGAGGCATCTGCAGTGGAGCTCCTGATCTGCAGACTTGTGGGCGCACTCCCGGCTTCTGTGGACGCTGAATGGGTCGTGGTCCCGCCCCTACAGTGCAGTCCTTCTCTGTTCAACCAAGGCTTCCTGAGCGCCAGTCACATGTGCCCAGGCAGGGAGGGGAGGGCGTTTCTGTCACAGGGACACCCTGGAGTGGCTGGGGTGGTTGTCTCATTTCATGGCTGGGGCCATCAGAAGGGAGGAGGTGGCCTCTAGACGGCCTCTGGTGCTCAAGATCTACTTGTCCATTAAAACAAGGAATGTGCCCCGTGAGAGCCGGAGGGAGGGAAGAAGTCCTTGGAAGCCAGCACGAGGCTTCGCCAGGCTCAGCACCACTGTCTGAGGATGACATCTCCCTGGTGGGGGAAGAGGATTCTGTGGTCATGGTGGTCCCCATGGGGCTGATTGATGATTCTTCACCTTGGGCTGGGCAGTGATCTCTGTTCTCAAGGGGATAATTTGTGTGAATGCGAAGGAAAGCCATCAAAAGGTGGAGATGGGGACATTCAAGGGTCTGGTCAGAGCGGCTACTACCATTTATAAATAGGAGCTGTGTGGACATGGCTGGTCTGACTGTGGGCCTCATCCCCAGCCGCCTTTGTTGCTCCTCCTCTTGATGTCCTGGCTCCCTTGATCACCTTGTCCCTTCCCATAACTCCCACTTCCCGTCTGTCTGGGACAGGAGTACACGTGAGATGCAGAGAACGGGCGTGACTTGCTTAAGGCCATGTGGACAGAAGCTGCAAGGTTCCAATCTAAAGCCAGGTCTCACGACGCTCCATCTGCCAACATGACCTCTGTGCTCAGAGACCACTGTGCGGGGAGCAGGGAAGCCGGCCTTGCCCCCACGGCATGCCCACTTCCACGCTGCACACCAGATTCATTTCTTCCGCTGTGGCGACTGAGGGAGAGGAGAATATTATAAAACTGTTAGGGTGTCAGTGACCCAGGGAAAGTGGGGCTGATTTAAATGCTATTTCACTTTAAGAATCTGTCTACTCCTTTATTTCTTGGTGCATTTATTGGACAAGTTCCACCCGATTTCACGTTTTAAAATTAACCAGCCGAGCAGAGAGGCCCTGCCAGCGGTAGCATCCTGCCTCCGGGAGCACAGGTGCACAGGGGCTGGGGAATATATCTGGGGAATATATATCAGAGGCCTAAAATATATCCATCTGTATGTGTATATATGTGTCATCTTTCCAGAAGCCCCAAACATGGAAAATTCTCCTTCATAGGGCTTTCAAAATCTGAACTCAAAAGGGGAAAAAGCCACACATATATATGTCACCCACACTCACGGCCCTGGAGTTCCTGGCCTAGTTAAAGAAAGTGGTGAGGCTGCCGAGTTAGAAATGAGTAACAGAGTTGTCTGTAAAAAGTTTGTCTCCCAGAAGTTTGAGGTTGGCAGTGACTTTGACTCACGTCTGCTACACACAGTCTTCAGCTGCAACCACATGGAGATGAGCTAGAGACCGAGATGGAGATAGAGACATAGAGAGACAGAGACGGAGACATAGAGGGGCAGAGACATAGAGAGACAGAGATGGAGACAGAGAGAGACAGAGGTAGAGATGGTGCAGGAGCTGGAGATCTCTATGCAGACGGAGACCCAGATACACCTGCAGAAACAGTAACAGCTGGAGAGGGTATACCCAGGATGCAGGGAGAGGCACAGGTGCAGATGGAGGTGGGGGTGCAGATGGATGGAGACACAGCTAGAAACAGACATGCAGATGCTGATGCAGATTGATGGGCCGTGTGCTCCCCAGAGGCTAATGCAGGCCCAGAATGATGTTCCTGCAACGTGTATGGAACAAAGGAGACCGCTGGCCCCTGGCTTGCTGGCTATCACATTTCAATCTTTCTCGTTGCAAACTTCACCAAGAACCACAGGCTAGATGCCAAGCGTAAGCAGCCTCTGGGTTGGCAGCGTCGGGGGGCTGAGGTTTTGGTGCCCTAGAGGAGAAGAGCTTTCCTCTGCCAGCCCCTCCCTGTCGGACTTGGTCTCTAGGTAACCTGCTCCCCTGCTACTCCACCCGGAGAGCAGGCCTGGAGCAGAGGAGGAGCTTGTGCTTTCCCACCCCTGACCTCAAACCCTTACAGGCCTCACCCTGGTCACTCACTGCAGCCTGGGTGCCAGGGGTAGGGCAGGGGCCTCTGTCGCAGCTCACAGCTGCGCTCTCAGAAGCTCCTTGCTCAGGGACCCTTGGGAATCACACACCGGGATCCTCACTCCCAGCTCAAGCCCTTTTCTCCTGTGCGTACAATTGAAACGGACATCTGGCGGCCATCACTGTAATTCAAACTCAAATGCCTTTGCCTGGAGAACCAGGAGTGTGGAATTCAGAGGATCTGGGTGGTTTTGGTGTTCAGCTCAGCACCCCCAGAGCTCCTGTGACTTTGTAGAGCCCGAGAGTGGGGGAAGTGGAGAGACACGAAGTCCCTGCTGGGTGCTGGGCACTGCACTGGGCCCTCGGATGCAGAGCAATTCATTTCTTCTTAGTAAGAATCCTTAAATCCTGCTCATTTTATGAGCTAGGAAACCAAACTCAGAGAGGTGAAGTGGTGCCAGTGTCACTCAGTTCGCCCATGGCTGTGGTGGGATTTGAACCCACATCCATCTGGCTCTGGACCCCAGGGCTGGCTTCCCAGCCATGTGGCCTGGGTGGTTGGTCACACAGAGCCACATTTAGGAGGGCTCTGAGCTTGTTAAATGCTATATGCTGTCGCTATCACGAGTAGTAAGTACAAACCAGGAAGCTTGAACACGGGGACCGCATTTTCATTTTGTCTTGGGCCTCACAAATGACATACCCAGTCCTGCCTGAACCATGGTATGTCTGCCACAATTTAGTGCCTTCCTGCTCTGGTCTAGCTGGGACCCGACTGTTGGGGGCCACAAAAGGTCCATGGTGAGCAGAGAAGCTCGGGAGCCGTCTGATGGCCGTAGGCGCTGATGCCCCCCGGCCACCTGTCATGCATGATGCTTCTTGAACTGGAAAAAGTCCACCTCTGAGCCAGGGGACCGAACCCTCCACCTCCTCCTGGTAAACCAAAGTCAATAGGGGTGAAAAGGATGGAAACCTGGAGCGCCGGGAGGGATGGGGAGCAGGACTGTGCAGCCCATGGTGGAACGGGTGAGTCAAATGTGCTAAGAAAGCCCGATATCATGGAGCCCTCCAGGGCGGGATGGGTGATGAGGCTAGCGTTGTGGCTTCTGAATTTTAAAATAAGCTTGGACAGCATCCGTGGAAAATGCTTCGTGATGGGAAAGGGGTGCGGATGTGGTATAGGGAGATCCAGTGGGGCAGCTGGGGCTTCCACGGAGGGACATAGGTGGCCGGCGGGGAGCCAGGCACGGGGCTGGGGGCTGTTCTCAGAAGGTCTCACTGAATTGTCTCACTGACCCCGAGAACAGCTCAGGAGAGCTCCGTGTGCACAGAGACACCTCAGTCCCCGCATCAGGAGATGGGACCACCCCTGAGATGGGAGGATGGCTCCAGCTCACAGGCATGGAAGTTGAGCCCAGAGACATCTGGGGGTCCCCCAGTGAGTCTGGGTGGCATTGGAGCCCTCTCACTGTCTCTCCTTTCTGCATAATAGTGATATTGATGCCCTCCTCATGGGTGTTCTGGAGACAGAGAAGTCACATGTACAAAGCAGTGCACACCCAGGGCCTGGCACGGAGAGGGTACTCAGATACCCCCGAGAGCCTGGCTCTGCCAGCGGGAACACGAGGACGCAGCAGCAAGGCCCCAGAGCTGGGCAGCGCCAGTGAGAAGCCTGGCCCTTCCTCTTCCTGACTCTGTGACCTTCGAGAGTGATGAACTCCATGAGCCTCAGTTTTCCCGTAGGACGAATGGGGATAATTGTCGCGGGGCCCTCATAGAGCTGGAGTGAAGATTCAGTGGCAGTCGATGGACAAAACTGAGAATCAGGCCTGGTGTGGGACGTGCCAAGCCCCTAGTCTTCTGTGCCTCCACTTCCGCGGCTATAAAACACCCAACTCCCAGAGTCATTGTGAGGAGCCCTGGCAGGGGGAACGCATAGCCGTGCAGTAGCCTAGTGAGGGGTTCAGTCCCTCTCTCTATAGGGGCACTAATCTGGGGTGGGGAGGCTGTGGAAGCCAGCAGGAACCATCAAGGTGATCCCAGTGGTAGGGACACTCCGGGGTCTGTGTCTGCTGACAGCCACAGCGTCCTGTGTGCGAGAGTCCCAGTGAACAGCGCGTGAGAAAAGGAACTTCTTTTAGTCTGAGCGGGCCTCCTCTGCCAGGGGCGCTGCCATAGTCTGGGCTTAATGAGGCCTAAATCTGTCAACAGTGGAGGCTGCTGCTTGTGGTAAATATTTGGCGTCCAGCTCCATTTGGCATGGTTATATTTGCTCCATTGGGGGAAAAAATAACTCTCTGTTTGCCATGGTGATGGATTTGTCGTTCTCCAATTAGAAGTTGCCAGCAGCTGCAGGCAGAATTGCTTAATCTGCTTGTCTGTCCATCCATTCATCCACCCATCCACCCACCCACCCACTCATTCATTCATTTGTTCATTAGCTGACATCCCGAGATCTACTCTGCTAGGGAAGCAAGATGAACAGTGGAACCCGTAAGTCACAAACTGGCCGCATGGCCCTTGGCTTGTCATTTCCCCCTGCTCTGGGCCTCAGTGCTTCTTTCCCTAAAGGGCAGGTCCTTGTCACTGAACTGGTAGGGCTGTGGGGAGGCATAAATTAAACATCTTTAAAGGACATAGGCTGTGCATTGACTAGTAGCCCAATAAACGTTGCCGGAGACTGGATGTAGTCAGGGAGGGCTTCCTGGAGGTAGCAGACCCTGAAACAGATGTCAAGGGAATAAGTAGACACTTGTCCCTCAATACACAGATACAAAACAACAAACAAATGAAACAAAGCAGCATAGGTAAGTGCCATAAATTAAAATGATACCAACCTATTAAGACATGTAGAAAGAGTGTAGGAAGATTTCCACAAAGGTCAGCTGGTTTTTACTAGACCCCTTGAGCCAGTAAATGAGCCAGCAGCTGTCACAGGAACCCCTCACTGTGATCAGTGGCAGGAGGTTGTGACTGTTAGAGTTGTGTTTCTGAGCATTTATTGGCTTCATCCAGAATTGTGGTATTTTAGACCCAACCTTTATCCTTAGGTTTAGATATTTACATGTATAAAAATGAAAGTGGATAAATTCTTTTTTATTATTATTTATTTATTTTTGAGAAGGAGTCTTGCTCTGTGGCCAGGCTGGAGTGCAGTGGCGTGATCTCAGTTCACTGCAACCTCTGCCTCCTGGATTCAAGTGATTCCCCTGCCTCAGCCTCCTGAGTAGCTGGGATTACAGGCGCGTGCCACCACGCCAGGCTAATTTTTTGTATTTTAGTAGAGACAGGGTTTCACCGTGTTAGCCAGGATGGTCTCGATCTTCTGACCTCCTGGGTCCGCCCCCCTCGGCCTCCCAAAGTGCTGAGATTACAGGCGTGAGCCACTGTGCCTGGCCGATAAATTCTTTTAAAGTTTGTGTAGAAGAATAAGTGTCTAAGAATAGAAAAATTTTCTAAAAATAGAAAAACCAAAGAAAGAGAACTTGTCTTAGAAGCCACTAAATATGCTCTAAACCAAGTGGCACGAAAGTAGACGGTGAATCAGTGGAGTGATTCCACTCAGCACCGTGACACACACACTGACGGACAGACGCTGGGAAGGAATCACGGGAAAGGTGGTTTTTCCAATCAGTGGGGAAAAATGTCAGTGGTCCATTTTGTACTTCCAATGGGGGGAAAAGTTAAGGCATGCTGTGTCTCTCATGAGGGAGCTGGCTGGAACACGGGGTTGGGTCTCTGTGTTCGAGCCATGCGCCAAAATAAATTTTAGGCAGATCCAAGACATAAAAATTTTAAAAATCCAAATATTATTAGAAAAATGAGAATATGTATAACCACTTCAGTGACAAAAAACTCATAGCTGCCAAAAGAAAATGTGGGCACTTTTGAGATGTAAAATGTAATTGTTTGTAAGGCAAAAACACTACAAAAATCAGTGGGTAAAGTGGACTCACGACGGGTACAGGTGCAGGTGTCTGTCCGTGTCGCGTGTCTGCGAGCCTGGAGGAAGTGGTCCCGGCTGGGGTGTTTGGTTTGGTTTAGCCACCTGGGAGTGGGTGGGAGAAGCTTTGTGGTAAAAAATAAGATTGAATTTTAATAAAGCATGTAGGGAGGAAGGGAAGGGGGAGAAGGAGGGAGGGAAGGGGGTGAGGAGGGATGAAGGTCAGGAGGGAGGGAGGGGGAGAGGGAAAAACAGAGGGTGGCCCTAGCACCCATCACCTCTTTCCCACTTATCTGTGACAATGGTTACCTGAGGATGCTGAGATCTCAGGCTTTTTTTTTTTTTTTTTTTTTTGACACAGTCTCACTTTGGCTCATGCTGGAGTACAGTGGCATGATCTTGGCTCACTGCAACCTCCACCTCCCGGGTTCAAGTGATTCTCCTGACTCAGTTTCCCAAGTAGCTGGGACTACTGGCATCCGCTAATTTTTGTATTTTTAGTAGAGACGGGGTTTCACCATGTTGGCCAGGCTGGTCTCAAACTCCTGACCTCAGGTGATCCATCCACCTTGGCCTCCCAAAGTGCTGGGATTACAGGCACGAGCCACCGCGCCTGGACTCAGACTCTTTATACTTATTTTTCTTCTATGTTTATTCATTACTCAAGCTTTTACAGTGCATGCGTTTGATTATATAACCAGAAATAAAGCCACAGATCTATTTTTGTTGCATTTTTAAAAATGGCTGTAGCACGCATCAGTGCTCAGAGAAGAGGCCCAGAGGACTGAAATTAAACTCAATATTGATAAATAGGAGCAAAGAATACTGTGGAAAGAAAATAAAATAGACCAAAAAAGGGAAGGCTAAAATCTGGAGGGAGTGAGCAGAAGTTCTGGAGGGGGCCCGGCTGCAAGCTGCTTTCCCTGGGGACAAGGGTGGCTCGGGAGATGCAGCCACACTGTGAACCTCGCGGAGACTGGGGCCACAGGGTCACGCTGCCTCGGCACGGCGACCTTTCGTGGGTAACCATTCATCTGAGTGCAGACAGCAAATTTCAGGGCTCAAACAGGAGATCAGTACCTGCTTCTGTACATAGAACAGAGTCAGTTACACGTGGCGGAAGAGACCCTGGGGCTGCCCAGGGCGGTGAGGCAGCCCACATTAGAGCTGGGAGCATTCGCTGCCCCCCCAGAGCAAGGGGACAAAGGGAGATGGTGAGGTCCCTGCAGCCTGGGGGCCAGGGCCACCTAGCAGGAACTAGAATCAGTGTGGGCCACAGAGGGGATGGAGAGGGAGAAAGGGAGGGATACCCACAGCCTCTCTTCCCCCTGCTGGAGCCTCCCATTGTGGAGTCCGGTGGGAGTCCTGGGCCAGGCAGTCATAGGGGCCACTTGTAAGTGCTCAGCAGGCCGGAGCACAGAATGGGCTGGGGGCAGCAGGGGGATGACGGCACAGCCAGGACGCATGTGTTGCCCATGAGACATTTCCATGTCCATACTCACCCGCACTCGCCACTCACGGGAGGACTCTGCGGTCGACGCTGGGGCCTCCATCATCCCCATTTTCCAGATGGGAAGTGCACAGCCCACAGGGGGCTGGGGTGAACCACCAGGAAGAAGGGGCCTTGTGGGGCGAGGAAGGCCACGTAGAGTGGGATGGAAGGAGCTGGTGTTGAGGGGAAGCCATTCTGCTGCCAGGCTATGCCCCATCTGGGCTCTGGAGAGAAGGCTGGGGTGGTTCAGCCTCCACCGCCCACCGGGGCTGTGTTCTGGGGCTTGGGGACCCACTGAGGATAGGCTCTGGCTCCTGTCTCAGGAGGGGCCCTGACATAGGGGGTTGGGGGTGGCCCCTTTGCCCCAGCTGTCCAAATCACAAGCTCCACAGGCAGCTGCTTCAGGGGCACGAAATTACATCTCTCTCAAAATACCCCTTTCTTTCTTCTAATTGCCATGAGTAGAATAATCCCACTCTGTCTTCTCTCTCACCCTTGACGGTGAATTTAATTTAATAGACTGTAACTGTGCTGCCTCTGATCTTTAAATGCCATGTTTATTTGCCTCGTTAGAATGGACTCGATGATTGGAGAAAGTGTGGCGATGTCTTGTGAAGTGGGTTTTGACCTGCGCGGGTTTCGGCATTGCTGCCTCGGCAGTCCCAGATTGAAACCGATGTGGATGCAAACGCCTTCCCTTCCCGTCGGGTGGAGCGGCCGGCGGGGCTGAGGCTCCCTCCGCTGAGTGTCCGGGTGGGTCCTGAACTGGAGAGTCCTGCGCCGGCCCCCGATTCGGGGTGAGCGCCCTGCCCTCCCCAGCTGTGGGCAGCCTTGTCCGTGTGGTGTCCTCCGAGCTGACTTACTCCAGGAGGGCGCCCTGTCCTGTCACCCGGCCGTCAGGGAAGGGCACTCCTCACACACCAGGTTGGCCAGGACAGCCGAGGTTAAAACCTGGCTTCATGGTTTCGGCCAGTTCCAGGTCCCCAGAGGACAGCGGCCATGGGCAGTGCAGCCAGGGAGGGGCAGTGCCCTGTTCTGTGCGCGGCATGTCCAGGAAATGCGACCCCGGGGCCAGCGGCTTGTTCTGTGCGCGGCATGTCCAGGAAATGCCACCCCGGGGCCGGCGCCTTGTTCTGGGTGCGGCATGTCCTGGAAATGCGACCCCGGGGCCGGCACCTTGTTCTGGGCGCGGCATGTCCAGGAAATGCGACCCCGGGGCCTGGGCACGTGCTGTTCGCCTTCCCAGATACCCGCATGGACCGACGCTTGCGCATCCAGGTCTCTGCTCAACGTCAGAGTGGAGCCTCCGGGCCACTCTGCACCCAACATCATGCTCTGTCCTCCTTTATTCACAGCACATTGGCCGCCTGACTTCACACTTTCCTCCTTTCTAACATCTGACTGTCCCGTAGTGGGCAGCGCCCCGGGAGCTGGTTACCTACCAGGGAGGTTCGAGGCCGGAACTAGGTCCCCTGCTTTCCCTGTGGTGGGGAAGAGAAGGCCACATATGGTCCCCAGACCTTTCTGTTGTGGGACGTCCACTCTTGACACTATCTCAGGGCGGAAGAGGATGAATGAGGGAGAGAATGGCTCACACAGAAATTCAGAGACATGTAGAGAAGGACAGATCAAGAGAGACAATGACAGACTACATCCACGCAGAGCCCTCCAAGTCACAGTGAGATGGAGGAATGACACGCCCAGAGACATGGACATGGAGAAGTACAGGGACAGAATGACAGGCCAGACAGAGAGCCAGGTCTGTGCAGAGAGAGAGAGAAGGAGGGAGATGGATGGGAGGGGAGACACACACAAATACACAACTAGAGAGAGGGAGGGAGAGAGAGAGAGAGAGTGAGAGGTACACACAAAAAGCCAGAGATCCCTGCAGAGAGAGAGGGGGAGGGAGAGAGGGGCGGGGTTGGGGAGACACACACACACACACACAGATACACACACAACTTGGGGGAGGGGGGGTGGAGAGAGAGACAGAGAAACAGAGAAAGAGACAGAGCAACAGAGAGACAGAGACAGAAGGCCCAGGGGTTGAAGAGAGAGTGAGCCTGGGGTGGGGGCAGAGAGATGGACGCTGGGTGCGTGTTTCTGCAGAGCTGGCCTGGGCGTGGCCCCGTGAAGGCCTATGGTACCTCTGGGGGCTGGGGACAGGTGGGGACAGGGCTGGGTGAAGGCTGCTGCAGCTTGTTTCCTCCTGTTGCTGAGAAAGCAGCTCCTCTGGCTTCCCCGTCTGGAATTCCAGCCCGTCAGCTGTCTGCTGCCCACCCAGACGCTCAGATGCAGAAAATTCAGGCAAGCTTTGGCCTGGCCTGTTTCCAGTTAAGACTCTGTCTTCAGGGGGGAAATGTCCCTAATGGAAAGGAAAACAGAACTGACATTACCCAGGGCCCAAATCCCACCCTTTCTCCCTTTGCAGGTCCTGGAGGGGCACGCGCTGCTGTGGGAGACACGGTGCCCTCCCCAGGAGGCAGCAGTGTGGACACCGCAGGTCTGTTCCTGCGCAATACACAGACAGCACACTGGTGCCTTTAGAATAGAAAAGTTGAGTCACATTCTGGAATCAACCTAGTTAACAGGTCCTGGGATCTAGGAGACCACATCATGGCAGAAACAGATATCAGAGGTGAGCAGTTCTCCAGGCGGTGTCGTTAAGGGAGAGCATCTGAGAGGCTCGCACAGTCACTCATCAACCCATCAGCCATGCCCAAGGCATCTCTGTGGCCGCATCTCGAAGTCCAGCCCAGGGCCAGGCTCATAATAGCTACCCAGTAATGGTGGGATTTGAGTTTGATCAATGGTTGGAAGAAAAAGCAAGGAATGGAAGGAGGGAGGGAGGGATGGAGGGAGGGAGGGAAGAAGGAGGGAAGAAGGAAGGAAGGAAAGAAGGGAGGGAGGGAGGAGGGGGAAGGGAGGGAGGACAGTCACTGAAGGAGGCAGGTAGGAAGTGTCCCTAGAGGGCTGGGGTGGCCAACCAGCAAGGAACCCTTAGTGCCACGGGTGCCACTCACTGGTCTACAGCATAGATCCTCCGGATTGGGCCCCTCCCCCAACCTCAGGCCCCCAGACTCCATCCTTAACCTCTACTTCCCTCTGGCTTTCAACAGGCAGGACAGCAGAGAAGGCCTGCCCCTCCCCACCATACCCCTCCCCGCCCTGCTCAGTCCCATCTCCTCCTCACTCCTGTCCTCGTGGGAGGAGTCAGCCGCCTCCTCACTATGGGGACCTCTGCTTGGCTCCACTCCCTCAGGTGTCACTGTCCTTGTGTGACCCCCACCAGTGGACACATGGGCCCCTTCATCTCTGTAAGGCCAGAAACCCTGCGGAGGGCAGCTTCCTTCCAAAGCCCAGGCTGCCCTGCGGGCCCTGCCCCTCCATGGCCTTGGAGCCGTATTTCTTCCTTTTTCTTGGCACATTTTCACACCTCCCTCCAGGCCGCAGGGGAAAGGAGAGGCTGTAGGAAAAGCCCACATCATTGTTCCTGGAATACAGGAGGTGCTCAAAGGACCATAACCACTGCCTTCTCTGAGGGCAGAAGGAGAGGGTCGCAGCCTGAAGAATCAGACAGACCCAGGTACCCCTGCCTCACACTACTCGCTGTGGGATTCTGTGCAAGTCCTTTCGCCTCTCTGAGCCTCAGTTTTCGAATCTCTAGAATGGGACCGTATGTAGCCATAATGTGAGAGAGCGCTACAGAAAATACCGTGCGCTACAGGTGTCAGTTACACATTAGACTGGGTTATTGCCGTGGATGAGTGGAAGCCATAGCCACAGCCCCCTGGCTCACTGGTCAACAGCTGGCAAAGCACCTGCCCCCCAACCCTGCAGAGGTGGGGCTGCTGGAAGAAGCTCCCCAGAGGGAAAACGGGGCTTCACCTTGGATTCAGGAGTGAGGGCTTGGCAGGGCCTGGAGTTTAGGATTCACCTGCAGCCCAGCCAGGACACTTGGCTCCTAAGCCAGGCCAGAGCCGGGACTGCTGGCCCCCATGTGGAGGTTGGTCCACAGCCTGGGTGCTGGGGAGCCAACAGAGACCCACTCGGTAGAAAGGGGGCAGGTCCTGCTGGTAGAATGAGGTTCCCTGGCCCTGAGGACTCCCACGTGCTTCCAGAGAGATGGATCCCTGCAGTACCCCAAACCCAGCGTTCTGCCTCCCACCTGCCCCAGATCCTCAGATCTGTGGCTGGAACAATCAATTCTGCCTGCTTGCTAAATGACAGCCTTCCTTGGGAACGACTTAACTCGTAATTTTCAAGCGCTTAAAGGCATCTTGTCATTATTTAACTCTCAAATGGGATTCTTAAGAATTGGAGAAATACGTTCTGCCAATTTCCCCGCCTTTGGTTTGCTTGCCTGGAGAGCAGAGCGCATTAAGTTATTATGGTGCTGTGGCTGGAGGCGGGTGACGTGGTCGTGCAGAGACTGAATCAGGGCTGTGGAATGTGGGTGGCTTTCCCCGTACTTTTACTGTCATTTGTTGCCTTTATGGAGCCTGTTTGGGCATCGTGCGTGCATTTCAGCAAACTTTCACTGACTGCTTGGGCTGGGAGCCGAGGACACAGGTGGGGCCAGTGGACAGACCCACAAGCTGCAAGGGGTGGCTGATGTTGGAAGCTGGAGCCGACAGCTCCATGGCATGAAGCGGGGGCCACTCAGCAGGTCCAGACCAGGCCACAGCTATGGCCACCTGACTTGTGACCAGGGTTGCTGCGTACAGCATCGAAGGAAGGAAGACTTGACTAGGTGGTTCAGGCACCCTTGGGTGGGCCTGGCTCACACCTAATACAAAACCCAAAGGGAGCTGTCAGCAATTGGTCCTTCAGGGCGGGAAGAGGCTGCTGCTGCTTCCTGGGGTGTGGGGTGACCAGACACCAGCACTCCTGCCCCTGGGAACCTGACACTGTAGAGGGGCAGACAGATAATAGCAAAACAAAATCCAGGCCTGTTGTCAGGTAGCGATATGTGCTATGAATAGAGGCCAAGCAGAATCCCTGGTAGAGTCATGGCAGGGCTGGTTATAGAGTCATGGCAGGGCAGACACTGGCATGCAGTGAGGGGCTTCCCACGGGGTGTCTGGGAAGGAGAGGAGCACACGCAAAGGCCCTGAGGTGGGACCCTGTGTGGAGGTCACGTTTCCTGGGGTGTACAATGGACAGTGCTTAACTTGAAGCAGTGATGTTGATGACACCATGAGGTACCTGCCAACCAGGGACACCCCTGTGAGCCTTGGTGTCGGGGTTTTTACTTCAGGTCAGTCACGTAGGCCCATGTGGCTGACCTTGATCTCAGCCCCTCCAGAGGTGAGGCTGTATGCCAGGCAGCTCAGGGCCCCCACCATCAATGGGACTGCTGGCATAGACTGTCCGCATGGCCTGGGGCCCTGGTAAGCAAAGCTACTCTTAACTGGCAGGATGTGTCCAAGGGCTCAGAGGTCACCCCCCAGGAATGGTCAGGGGCCAGCCAGCCTTTGGAATGTGAAGGGCATGGACAACCCAGACTTGTGGCGTTAGTTAACCCTTTACTGCTCAGCTGCCAGAGGCCTTCTGCTTCTGGGAGGGATGGGCAGGAAGGGGACCCACCACATCCCAGCCAGTCACTGTGTGGGGACGCTCCCTGCCTCTCACCCTGGAGATAACTCTGAGTGGGAGGCGTGGCTCCCTCCTCTGTACAGAAGGGACGCCTGAGGTCCAGTGAGTACAGTGGCCAGCTCAAGGTCACACAGCTTGTCACCATACTTCCTCCACGGGAGCCTGACATGGGCCTCGGGCACGCACGGCTGTCTTGGAGTAATATCATTAACCATGGAGGTGCCCAGTGGGAGACTGGGTCAGGGGCGGATGAGGCCTTCCCTAGGGCTGGCCACCTGCTGGGGCTGGGCAGGGCACTGGAGCAGGTCTGCGAGCTCTGCTGGGTGGCCTTGGGCAAGCTGGTACCTTCTCAGAGCTGTAGCCTTGGCCCTGGGCCCTCCCAGCGCCTGGCACGAGGGCTCAGCGGGCAGCCGGATGGAGGAGGAGGAGCAGCTTCCTCAGCACATTGAGGAGGCCTGGACACCGTCCATCCTGCTGACTTCCCAGGCTGTGGGGCAGATGCTGCCGCTCGGAACCCACCCGTGCCCTGCAGACGTAAGCCTTTGCTATTGATTGCTTTTCTCTCCAGCAGCATTCACGGACCAGTTTCTGCTGCATGCAAGGTGGGGGTGGGGCTCAGTCTGTTTCATCATCTTGACCATAGGTCAGAGTGGGGAATGATTTTCACATCTGCCCTGCAGCTCTCTGCCTAACACAGGCTGGAGTAGCCCTGGCAAAGAAACACTGACCTCAGGGCCAGGAGACCTCAGTTAAGATCACCCACGGGGCTGCTTGGTTGCCGTGTCACCTCGAGCAAGTGACTCCACTTCTCTGGGCCTGTGTCCTCACTCATGGGAGGGGTCCAATGGAGGCCCAGAAGTCTCAAGGGTGCTCTCGGCTCTCGCAGCAGGGTTTAGGGGCTGGGACCTCAAGTGGGCGTTAGCAGTACCCGTGATGGTGTCTGGGTGGGCACTGTGGTGCTCATTCATTTATTCATTCAAGCATTCATTCCACCCGCATTTACCGGTACTCACTCCATGCTGGGCATTGGGCTGAGAGGTGGCTAGAGAGCTGGTCAGATGCAGTCCTGGTCCTCCTGGAGCTCACAGGCAGCTCCAAGGAGAGGAAATCCATCAATGATGAGACAGGCGTCACAGGTCATTTCAAGCATGCAGAAAGGGAATGAGAAGGCCCAGCTGGGCGTGGGGAGGGACGGCAGGCCTCTTGCTCTTGTTTTCACCTTCCTAAGGCTCTGCCTCTCCTCTCTGAACCTCCCTTCCCTCCCATCTGGCCTGTTGTTAGGGGCTCTGGCTTCATCCTGAAGGTGCTGGGACCCTGCAGGTTGTTCAGAGGCTGATTTGCACCACGTGGGAGGAGAGGCACCTAGAGTGGGCTGAGGAACAGAGAACGCCGGGTGTTTGGCTGTTGCGTCTGCAGATTTTATCCGCTTGCAAAACACAGTTCCATGTGGGCAGGGACCTGGAGGGGTGGGGGCGGTGCTGCTTTTCCTTGGTGGAATGCCCTGGCCTTTTTATGCAGGACAGGCGTCGGGGCTGCACGGAGTCTGGGAGTGTGGGGAGAGGGTGCTTTCCAGGAACACGGCATGAAGTTCCCAGAAGGAACTGGGCCACACTCATCCCCTGCCTGCAGCTGAACCAGGAAGGGAGCCTCCCCTTCTCGGCATGGTCCTAGCTGCCGTTGAATTGTCACTCTCATCCACGTTTGCAGGTACAGGTGTGAGAAGTCTCCTCCCTCATCATCCCCTTCAGGCAGCAGCTACTGCTGAGGAGTTGGGGCCGCATGTTGTGAGGGCCCCATTCACAGCTTGGGAGCCAGGCTGCAGTGTTCAAGCTCAGCCCCTCTACCTCCTCCCTCCTCCTCTGGTTGGTGAGAATGTGCTAGTCCTCCGGCTGGGTGTTGAAGGGACTCAACGAGCTAACGCGTCCAGCATACCCAGCGCTTGGAAGTCGACACAGGCGTGACTGAGGGGATTTGTCATCGCCATGATTACTACTACAGCCACCCGATTTACTGCTGTCTTTAGGAGTTTTCTGATCAGACACACTGAGGACACGCATGGTGATTATGTCTGTGGGTCAGTGTTAGTGTTAGCTAGTCAGTGTTGCCGTTGACTTATCCCTTGTTTTGGATTCCATAACATCTTCCCACTCAAAACTTTCAGCCGGGTTTCCACAATCGCACGACTCGAAGCATCCTCTAAGCTTTCCAGAGAGGGGCAGTTGTTTGTGTTAATTGTGTCTTATTTCCTAATGAATTTTTGTATCTTATATGTAAATATTATCATGCATGTTTTAAAGTAGAATTCCCTTTCAGATGGCTCTGACCTCATCTACTTGTGTCTTGGGCATTTTTTCCTTCTCTTTGAAAACACTCAATACGTCATTTGGACTGCCTTCAGCAGAAACCGAATACAGTCAACAGTGCCTCGAAAAATCAGTTTAGAGTGTCAGATTCTATAATCTGCGAACTGGCATACGAAAATGTTATCATTTTGTTCCAGGACCCCCTAAGAGTAAACGGAGGCTCTCCTTTGAAAAATATTGAGTTGTAAGAGTTACTTGGATCTAAGAAGACATTTTTTAAAAAGCTGCATGGAGGCTCAGAGCATCCCACTGATGAGCCTCCCTCCTAGAGCTTAACCCTGGGAAATTACCCAGGACACAGAGGCTGGGGAGGAGTTAAAATAATGAAAATGTTGTTCACGAAGGGCACCATTGCTTGTCACAGCAATGAAGAGAAAAAAGTGGATTTCCACCACGCACAGCACGTGGTAGGCACTCTGTTTGCAGAACAGATTTGAAAAAGTTCAGCCTAAGGAATGACCTGTCAATAATGCCACACACGCTGGACGGAATATTACACAGCAGGCAGAACATGCTGAGTATTTTGTGATAAAATCAGAACACAGGTCTGTGTGTGCCTTGTAACTGAAATACTGCAAATATGCTCACACAGGGACCAGGGCTAGACAGGAACAGAGGAGGCAGTGGACCTGGTGGATGGTTAAGGTGCAGCTTCTTTTCTTCTTCTTAGCGTTGTTGTTCTCAATTGTTTCATTATTTTTAAAGGATTCCAAGAAGAACTGAGGATACATTAGCGTATCAGGAAGGGCATTTATTGATCGTATGTGGATTGCTACGTTTCTATCTAAGATAGATTCCAGGTCACAGGGTGGGTTAACCCACTGGGCTTGATCTCAAGCCCAGTCTCTGGTCTGTAACTTGGCGGCTCACACGCACCCTCTTTGGGCTTCTCCAGCTCTGCCCTGTCCATCAGCCCGTCCCACTTCACTCCTGCTGGGAATTCCTAGGCAAGTCCTCTCCACAGAAGGCAGCTGCTGGGTGCAAAAGTTCTTTTGCTGTGTGTCTCGTGGGGACTGCAGAGTCCAGCTAATTCCATTGTGTTGTTCTTTGCCTCATTCTATTTGGGTCTCCTGTTTGAAGTAACACTCTGGGTTTTAGAGTGGTTTCCATCCTCCCAAATAGGTTGGTTCCTGGGGACAACGTGGGGCCAGTGTGACTCATGCCCAGCAGCGGGAGAAAGAGGTAACTACCCTGGTCCATTCACAGGAGGTGCTCGTGTGTCCTTCCTGACCAAGTGCAAAGCGATGGGCAAGTGCCGGTTTTCTCTCAGCCCATGTGTACTCTCCACCATGTCAGGCCAGAGACTCACCTCTACCTGGCCATAAACTCAGCCTGCCCCCCCGGCCCCCCATCAAACGCAGCTTCCCCCAATTAACCCAGAAGTCGCGGGCTGTGTCCGGATCATCGGACGGCTGCTTCACAGTGAGGAACAACACAGTGCCAAGTACAGCTTCAGCCTCGCACCTGCTGCCTGTGGGAGCTGCCAAGGTAACTGGCACCTCCTTCACCCATACCTGCTGCTGCTGGCAGCCTCGGGCTTGCAGGCTCTGGCATCCCAGCTGGCTGGCATGGGACTGGAGGGTGGCTCTGTCACCCGCCGTGGCTCTTGGAAGTGTGCCCGGCGGAGGGCTCGCAGAGCAGCTGTAGAGCAGGCATATCTGCTGGAGGTTGACAAGGCTCTGCATGCCGAGGGGAGCACCGGCAGCTCTGCCTGTGCCGGGAGCATGACCAGGGAGCTTCCAGGAGCTCGGCCTCGTTCACCGTGGATGGTTATACACAAATTCTAAAGACTCCATCAGTTGGGACAAGAGCCATTGCAAACATCCCACCTTGTGCCATTTTAAGACCTCCAGACATAAAACCAGCGAGAACCACAATGCCACTTCCCTCCCACAGAGCTGGAAGCCCACAGCAGATGCATAGTTTGGAACTCAAGTCAAATAGAGTCTCGTTTCATCCTTTCTGACCCCAGACAAGTGAGTTCACGTCGTGAGTCTCAGTCTCCCTGTCTGCACGGGAACAGCTGGAATGGGGATTAAAGAAGCAACCCAGCCAGTGTCTGGAAGAGACCCAGCACGTGGCGGCCACGGTGAAGCTGTGTCTGCCATTTTCACCTTCCAGCGCTGCTGCCTGTGCCTGTAAAACTTGGCTGCTCATCACCTTTCTAGAACTTCTGCCCTCATCCCTTCATTGCTGCTGGCATGGAGCAACCTGCTTCCTTAGCCAGCACTGGCTGATCTCAGGGGAGGTCCCCGCAGCACCCACACCTCTTAGTCTGACCCATTCTGCCCCTCCTTCCCCCTCAGCTCCTGCAGCTCCTTGGCCCGGCCTCCCAGAGGGCGCACATGGGGGCTTCTGCCGTGCTAGAGCAGCAGCTGCATTTCAGTGGTCTCTGTGCCTGCTCTCAGCCCCACAGGATCCTGGGCTCCCCTGTTAAGCAGGCGGGGCAGGGAGCATCAGTCACTTGTAAAGGAGCTGGGGCAGCCTGGAGTTAGGCCCCAGGGCTCCTGCTCTGCCAGTTCCAGGCTTACCCCCTTCAGTGCTGGCCCCTGAGGAGGTGCCGGGTCAGCCTGGAGGAGGAGAGCCCTGGTGATGAGGGCCCTTGGGGGCTGTAGGGTGGCGCTGTTGGCTGACCAGGGTGGACTCACTTCCCAGTTTGAGCCACTCGTACAGTTGCACGGCACCGCTGGCTGCAGAAGTTCCCCGCCCAGCCACGTGCACGCCTGGTCTGGATGCAGCCTGGCATCGCGCCGATGCTCAGGAGAGGTCTGGAAAGGAACTCTGGCACTGGAGGGGTTCAGTTACTGCAGGAGTTTATAGATAGCGAGGGATTCGCTGAAAAGGACCAATTCTCATGCAGTCAGTGAGACACAGTTGGCGAAGAGTAAATTGAGGAGGTGTGTGCTGGTTTTCCGTGGGTCAGGTCCGAGGTCATGCCCCTATTTCCATCCCTAAGGTGTCAGTAAAAGCTGCAGGCAGGGGCACTGATGGTGGAGGAGGGGTCCTCTGGGATTGCGCCCAGCCCAGCTTCATTCTGGAACGATCTGCTAGTGAGTGTCACAGCCCCCAGCACCAGTGGGCTCAGAATACCAGCAAGCCGTGGCAGGCAGCTGAACCCACATGTGGAAGGGCTGGTTGGGAGACGCGGCTCAGGGCGTGGATGCAGAGAGGTGGGCACAGGCACCGGGGGTGGCCCTAGGGGTGCTGCCCCTGTGGGTTCAGACACAGAAAATCAGTTGCCTCTGTTGCCGCCAGCCCTCTCCGCCCACAGGGCACACTGCCAGGGCTGAGTCTGGGGGTGAGGTGGAGTTAAGGAGATGCCCAAGCCCATGGGTAACGCACAGGTGAAATGACACAGCTCCTGCACTGGGTCGGGCTGCAGTCAAGGTCCAGCTGCTGGCATTGGAGAATGTCAGAGGTGCCCAGGACGTGCAGGGTGGGTGCCATGCCACCCCAACCCCTCTGGGGCATTGGTGCACGGATCAGGGGACAGCCTGGGAAGCTCAGAGAAGACAAGCCTGGAGCCACTGCGTGGCCCAACACTGAGTTTTCTGATGTTGCTATAATCTTGGGCGAGTTACTTAATGTTCCTTGGGACTCAGTTTCCTGGTCAGCGAAATGGGAAGGTGTCCTCCTGTTCTGAAGTGATAGTAAGGTCTCGGTGAGGTTCCCTTCACTCTGTCCTCTGCTGGTGTCCAGAGCATGGTGGGCAATGATCTCGCTAACTCCTCCCCAAACAGCTTTCGTGCTGAAGGGCATCCTGCTCTCTCCCTGTATCTCTGTGGGTCGTGGGTTCAGATCCTGCTGCCTTCGCTGCTGCGTATTTGGGTGACTTGCCTGGCAGGGTCTCCTCGTCCCTAACACTGGGCACCCCCTCCGGCACCGGGCTGCACTTCCTTCCCCTCTGTTCACCCACCTCGCTGGCGCCTGATGCCCCCTTTCACACTCAGAATCTGGAGCGCCTTCTGGAATTTTATTGAACAACTTCACTGTCCCACAATTGCCCTGTGTCACCTTAGTTCCCTCTTCCTCTCTGATCCTGGGAGGGTTTGTTAGAAAGTCTGGGTACCTCTTCGCGGGTTCTGTGGAGCCATCGGGTCCTGGGCGCCACAGCGGTCTGTGTGTCTTCTCATCTCACAGCACAGACCTAGCCTGAACTGGAACGTGACCGAAGCTCAGAATGAATTCCCCTGGGAAAACACATCTGCAGCACCTGTCACCTCTGCTGAGACTGAGGTTCCAGTCTGGGGTTCCCTTTGGGCAAGTCCCTTTCCCACTGGGCCTCAGTTTCCCCATATATAAAGTGCAGGTGTGAATACATGTACCCTCAAGAGGGGTTCTGGGGTCCACTCAAGGGGCCTTGCAGCTGCCAAGTGCAGAACAGGTGCTGGCACTCAGCCTCGCAGCTGTTAGGGACACAGCGGCTGCGTCTTCAAGCAAGGGGTGGTCCATGCCGTAAGCAGGGGACAAGCTGGAGCACACCGGCTTCCCTTCAGTGGCACAGTGACACAGGCAGTGCCACCTGCCCACCACTCTGTTCCTGCTTCGTGCATGTTCTACACACACCTCTGGAATCCTCAGGACAGGCACAGGAGGTCCGCTTCATTAACCCTTTGTTCAGATAGAAAAAAATCCTAAGTCTCAGAAAGGTGTAAACCTTGCCCAAGGCCAGAGCTTGCAGGCGGGTGCTGCCTTTCACACCTGCGCGTGTGACTTCCGTGTTCGCAAGTGGGAGTGGGGCGAGCAGGGGCTCCTCACCCTGAGGAGGAGGGGTGGGCACTGCACATACGTCCCCGCCAATGGAGTAATTATAGGGGAGGAAAATGGCTTCATTAAATCATTTTTAAGAAGTGAATATGTACAAACACTCAGCAGTTAAGCAGCCGATTTGCAGACAGCAATTTTCCAACTGCGCTTGCCTTCCATGTTTCTATTTGCCCGTTTTTAGACTCTGGTTTTTTATTTTTAATTGGAATAAATGTAGATTGGAATGATCAGCTCCTGAGTTGCTGGGTGCAGTTAAAGAACTTGGTGATGGTGCAGCTACTGAATGCTGGGGAGGTCACCTGCGGGACGGCACCAGGCACAGAGAGAGGAGGCGCTCAGTAAGCGCTGTCGTCCTACTCCTCTCCTGCCTCTTCCCCTTCCCCTTTTCCCTCCCTCCTCCTCCCTCCTTTTCTCCCTCCTTCTTTCCTCCTCCCTTTCTTCCCTCTTCTTCCTCCCTTTTCCCCCATCCTTCCCCTTCTCCCGTTTTCCCTCCTTCCTTCCTTTCTTTCCTCTCCCTCCTTTTCCTCTTCCTTCCCTCCTTTATCCTCCCTCCCTTCCTCCTCCCTTTTCTCTCCCTGTCTCCCTTCTCCCTCCCTCCTCCCCCCACTTCTTCCTCCCTTTTCCCTCCCTTTCTCCCCTCTTCCCTCCTCCCTCTTCTCTCCTCCCTCCTCCCTCTTCTCTCCTCCCTGTTCCCCCTCCCTCTTCCCCCATCCTTCCCCTTCTCCCTTTTTCCCTCCTTCCTTCCTTTCTTCTCCTTCCTCCCACTCTTCCCTCTTTGTCACTCCCTCCCTCTTCCCTCCCTCCTCCCTCCTTCCTCCCCTTCTCTCCCCTTTCCTTCCTCTTCCCATTTCCCTCCTCCCTCTGCCTCCTCCCTCTGCCTCCTCCCTTTCTTCCTTCCAGACAGGCTGAGTTCTCCCAGGGATTTTGACACCATCCACAGATTCTAGGGAGAATTCCTCCCCAGAAGGGCAGGCTCAGGAGCCACTAGGACCGCTAAGGAAGATGTACAGGAATTCGATCCACGAGTGTCAGTGCTAGTGCTTAGACTCAAATACTCAAATCCAGTTCCCACATGTTCAGCGGGAAACTGTGGCCCAGGGAGGGAAACCTGTTCACCTGAGGTCACAGAGCCTTCAGGTCTGGCACCCAGAGCACCTCCAAAGGAATCCAACAAGCATTTATTGAGTGCCAGCTGTGTGCCTGGCCAGTAGAGGCTTGCGTCCCCACTCTGGCCGGGAGATCTGTGTGGGCTTCAGGAGGGGGTAGTACTGGGTTTGGAGTTGATCTGAGGGTCCTGTGCTCTGGTGAACTGCTAAGAGACAGGCCCAGCTGTCTGATATGGGGTGGTGGCAGCACCCCTTCCCTCCCTCTGCTCAGTCCACCATGAGCCGGGGCAGCAACTGAATGGGCCACAGCATCCATCACACTGACCCTGCTGACCGGCCCTCAGTGTCCCTGCCCACAGGCCGCTGTTATGTGATTGGACTATCGACCCCTAGCTGCGTCCAACACCCAGCACTGAGCCCGGCGCCCCGCAGACACTCAGCCCGTCACTGGGGGTCACACAGGCCCCTCACTGCTCCACCGTGTTCCTCGAAGCCGTACACTTAACTCCTACCATGCCCTCCAGTGGTCCCAGCAAGAGGCCCCCTCCCTCCTTGGGCCCCTGGGGCTTCCCACTGGCCTCAAACTCTTCCTGGGGATGACGCACTGGAAGCTGCCTGTCTCCATTTCTTCACTGAAAACCAGGAGCTCCCCAGGGGATTCAGGGAGATTTAATGAAGTAGGCAGGTGAGGTGCTAATTCAGAGTCTTCCTCATGTAGAATAGAAGCTCAGTCAGTGCAACTGCCTATAGAGAGGTGAATAGAGTCGCCCCCAAAATCTCTGTCCACCAGGAACCTCAGGGGTGACGCTATTGGGTCCAGGGCCTTTGCAGATGTCATTAGCTAAGGATAGAGGTGAAATCAGCCTGGCTTTAGGGTGGGCACTATATCCAATGTGAAATCGAGGCAGAGAGTGGCGCAATGCAGCCTCAATCTCAGGGACGCCTGGAGCCCTCAGCAGCTGGAAGAGGCAGGAGGATCCTCCCCTGGAGCCTCCAGAGGGAGCTCAGGGCCCTGCTAGCACCTTGACTTTGGACTTCTGACCTCCAGAACTGTGAGGGGACAAGCCACGCGGGTTGTGGTATTTGCACAGCAGCCTGGGACCCTAACCCATCACCTCAACTCACGCCCTGGCCCTGCCCTCCCCAGCGCCCCTCTAGAATTGCCTTGTCTGGTTGAGTCTTGTTGCTTGCACAACATTGAAAACACACAGGAAGAGGTCAACAGGCTGCTGTGGGTTTTGTTTTTTTTTTTTCATGTTCTTTGAAGGAGTGATGTTTAGAGTTTAGAATAATGGCCAGATAAGCAGCGCCGCCGCCCTTGTTCTTTCCCCAGGAAAGGAAGTGGGGTGCGGCAGTGCCTCCTTAACCGCATCTCTCTTCCCACCGGCCTGGCCTCCGCAGCACCCTGAGCTGTCTGCTGGAGTCGGGTGGTCCCCCTCCCCACCCCGCCGCCACTGCTTGCCAGCCAGTTTCAGGTTTTCTAACCACGATCCAAGAGTCTGAACTCTTCCAAGAGTCCAAGCTTGGCGAGTGCACCGCAGAGAGAAACATGCTCCCCATAGAAAGACGAGGGCATCCATCATTGAGGATCCTGTCCCCCGAGCACCCCTGGTCTGCAACAGAAACCTGGCAGGTTCCAGAGAGCGGGAGCTTAACTCGGGTCCTCCTTTTCTCGGACACAGCGCGGGGAGAGGCAAAGGCCGGGCACGCCCACTGGGCGTTCTCCAGCTTTGTTCCTTGCAATAAATCTTCATCATTAGATATCATCATGGCTGCACTTACTTATCTGAGAAGCAGATGCTCAGAGGAAATAATGCAGTGAGAGAGAGACTCTTGAGTTGCCCACCAGGAAAACACAGTCCGGGCAAGAGGCTTCTGGGAAGAACGGATCCCTTTCAGGTCTCTTGAAAGGGGTTCTGGGAGGCTAGACAACAGGGACACTTGCGGGGTGCCTGCAGGTTAAGGATGTGTGGTCACAGCCTTTTTTGTTGATAAGGACCCTGAAGATGCCTGATTCCAATCCTCTGATGCCTCAAAGAAGAAAACTAATGTTAAAATCCACAGTGGGCTGCCCAGGGAGCAGCAGTGGGCGGACATGAGCCCAGACCCCCCAACCGTGCTTCACCCGGGGGCAGTCCTGACTCCCAGCCCAGCCCTCCACCTTCCCCCAAGCAGCATGGCACCTGAGCAGTGTCACTCCATCTTCCATGTCACCTGGTGTCCCCTCCTTCAGCCTGACACCTCGGGCAGCCCCAAGTCATGCCAACTCCACTTCCTGGGCCTACATCCTATTCTTCCTCTCACTCCTCCACCTCCTCAGTCACCTGTCCCCAACTCAGTCACCTGTCCCCACCTCAGTCACTTGTCCCTTCTTGCAGTCACCTGTCCCCTCCTGCAGTCACCTGTGCCCTCCTGCAATCACCTGTCCCCTCCTGCAGTCACCTGTCCCCTCCTCATACCTGTTCCCTGCAGTCACCTGTCCCCTCAGTCACCTGGGCCCTCCTGCAGTCACCTGTCCCCTCCTCAGTCACCTGTCCCCTCCTCAGTCACCTGTCTCCTCCTGCAGTCACCTGTCCCCTCCTCACACCTGTCCCCTCCTCAGTCACCTGTCCCCTTCTCAGTCACCTGTCCCCTCCTCACACCTGTCCCCTGCAGTCACCTGTCCCCTCCTCAGTCACCTGTCCCCTCCTCACACCTGTCTCCTCCTCAGTCACCTGTCCCCACCTGCAACTGCAGCACTCTTCCCAAACAGCAGTAATGATGAGCCCTGCTATGCAGGTGCCACGACCCAGGCGCCATTCAGGCAGATTCCACATGGTCACTTGCTCATCTGCTGGGACCGCATTTTCCAGGGGTCACGTGCCCATCCACTGCAGAGCCCCACACCTTCAGAAGACGCCCATCGCCTTGGCACGTTGTCCAGACCGGCGTGTCCCTTAGGAATAGAATCGGAGCCATTGGGGTCTTTCTAAATGTTCTAGTGGCCACATTAAAAAGTGAAGAGAAACAGGTGGCATGGAAAAGCGTGGAAGGACCTTAATGCTATCACTAAGCGAACGGAACCAAATGAAAAGGCTGTGAACTCTAGGATTCCTGGTAGATCACCTTGTGGAAAAGGCGTAACTATGACGATGATAAAAGGATCGGTGGTTGCCAGGAGGCGGGCGGGGTGAGGGGGATGAATCGGCGGAGAACAGGGGATTCTTGGGGCAGTGACGCTGCTCCGTATGATACCACAGTTGGGGGGGCCCTGTCATTCTACAGGTGCCCAGACCCATAGAGTTCAGGAGCCCCCCAGCTGGCCCTGACCTGAACTCTGCACTCTGGTGGTAATGTCGCGTCAGGGCGGCCTCCCTCACTGATTGTAAGAGCGAGTCTCTCAGCTGGGGGCGCTGACGGTGGGGGCCGAAGGTGTATGGGGATGCTCTCATTTCTACTCCATTTGCTGTGAACCTAAAACTGCTGTAAGAAATAAAGCCTATGGGTTTAAAATAAAGAACAGGTGAAATTAATTTTAATCACAGCTTTTAATTAACTCAATATATCCAAAAGATGATGTCAACATGTAATCAATATAAACATTATAATGAAATATTTTACATTCTTTTTAATGCTAAGTCTTTGAAATCAGTGTATATTTCATAGTCCCAGGGCATCTCCATTCGAATGAATTCACCCTATTTCTAGTGCTAGGCGGCCCTGCGGGTCAGTGGTGCTGCCCGACAATGCGGGTCCAGCCCTCTCTGTGGCCCTGGGGACCGCCCGCCCCACCCACCTCCGGCCGCCCTGTTGTCTCTCACAGCTCACGTGGGGACACTGCTCCCGAACCAGCTCCTACACATACCTCGGACCCGGCTCAAATGCCCACTTGTGGTCGGCAGAGCAATGCCTCCCACAGACGTCCACGTCCTAATCCCCGGAAACTGTGACTATGCTACCTTACATGGCAAAGGGGACTTTGCAGATGGATTAAATGAAGGATCTTGGGATTATCCTGGATTGTCCTCGTGGGGCCTTTGTAATCACAAGGAGGGAGCCAGAGGGACGTGAGACTGTGGTAGTCGGCGCTGTGACGGGAGGCTGTGACGGGAAGCAGAGTGGAGCGATAGACTCTGCAGTGGGCCTCGGGGCCTCGGGGCGAGGACTGCAGGAGGTCGCTAGCAGGTGGGAGAGACAGGGCATGGGTTCTCCTCTGGAGCTTCCAGGAGGTGCCTACACCTTGATTAGCCCTGTAAGACCCCCTGCAGACTCCTGCCCTCCAGAACTGTAGATAATGAATGTGGCTGGTTTTAAGCTGCTGAGTCTGTGGGCCTTTGTTACAGCAGCCATGGGAATCTCACAGGCCCCCCCACCAGGTGAAGTCAGCCTGCCAGTGTTTGTGCCCCCTCCGCTGAGCCTGGGGCCCTCATGCCAGGTGCTCCTTATGCACAGATGAGAGAGGAAGGGTACCCAGACTAAGGTGAGCAGGGAGATGTAGGGGTGGAATTTAAAAGCTTTAGGAGGAAATGTCAGCTGGTCAGTGCTGGATTAGACCTGGCAGTGGGGGCAGCCTGGGGGGCTGAGGATGGCACCTGGACCCCCTCAGTTTGATGTTCCCCTTAGCGTCTCCCAGGACTCTCTGGACGTGCCTGTTGGCATCGCTGCTCCCGGCTGCAGTGTCTGTCTCCTTGTGCTCTCTCTGTCTCTGTCTCTCTCTCTGTCTCTCTCTGTCTCTCTCTCCCCCCAACACCAGCCAGCCTGTCACCCCCATGATAGCAGGGCACAGTGTCCACGCTGCCCATGGATTCCAGCCTCAGTGTAGTGATGGGACACACAGCAGGTACTCAGTATGCACACATCATGTGAAAGAATTTGAATGAGGGGGTGAATTTGAATTCCTAGGCCCGTAGTATGGGCCTTAAAGCATAAAAATTTAAACAAATGGAATGAATGGGTGAGTGGGTGAATCAATGTTCCTAGTGTCTGCAGGAGTTGGACTTGGGAGTCGTGGATATCTGAGGAATTGGGTTTGCATTGTCTGCAGGGTGAGGGGCTTCCTAGGCACTGGCAGCTGCTACGTTTTTTTTTTTGTTGTTGTTTTTTGTTTGTTTGTTTGTTTTTAGACGGAGTCTTGCTCTGTCACCTAGGCTGTAGTGCAGTGGTGCGATCTCAGCTCACTGCAACCTCCACCTCCTGGGTTCAAGAGATTCTCGTGCCTCAGCCTCCTGAGTACCTGGGATTACAGGCGCCTGCCACCTCGCCCGGCCAATTTTTGTATTTTTAGTAGAGACGAGGTTTCACCATGTTGGCCAGTCTGGTCTGAAACTCCTGACCTCAGGCCTCAGCCTCCTGAAGTGCTGGGATTACAGGCATGAGGCGCCGTGCCTGGCCTGGACTGTGTTTTAAATGGACCTGACTTCCTTGTCCTCAGGGCCCTTGTACCTGGAACGCAGCTGCCATCATAAAGTACCACTGTGGCGAACTCTCTCTCGGGGTCCTGGAGGTCAGAAATCTGAGAGTGTTTTTTTCAGAGGCTCTGAGGGAGCCTCTGCCCCCTGCCTCTCTCCCAGCATCCGGTGGCTGCCCAGGTCCTTGGTACCCTTGGCCTGCGGCCACATCACCTCACTTTGCCTCTGTCTGTGCGCGGCCTTCTCTGTGTCTGTGTCCCAATTTCCAAATTCTTATAACACCAGCCATACAGGACTCAGGGCCCACCCTCACCCAGCATGACCTCATCTTAACTAATTGCATCTGCAGAGACCCTGTTTCCAAATAAATCCACACTCATGGGTTCTGGGTGCACAGGAATTTGGGGAACACTACTCAAGCCCGTCCAAATGCCTTTCCCCAGCCAGGCACAACCTCTCTCCTTCCTTCCAGACTCTGTGCAAACATCACCTTGTCTAAGGGGACTTTCTACCACTCTGTCTGCAACCCAGCGGCCCCACCACCCCTCCCTCACCCTCCACCCGCACCCCTACACCGTTGATTCTTCTTCCCACCCTCATCACATTTGATGCTGTTGTATTTTTGCTTCTTTCCTTATCGTCCATCTGCCTCCTTCCATCTCCCCTCCTAGAACAGACGTTCCTAGAGAGCAGGGGCTTTGCTCATGGGCTCCTAGCTGCAGGCCACTCCTGGCAGGAGCTCTGGAGTTTGCAGGTATGAGCAGGCTCCTCTGGCCCAGGGCGGGGAGCAGGACTGAGGCCAGGCTGGATGCTGGGCTAAGGCGAGCAGAGCTGGGAGTGAAGGGAAGAGAGGATTGAGAGGTATTTGGGAGGCGGGATCGATAGGCAGGTCTTGGAGATGGCTCAGCAGGGTGGGGAAGGAAGGGGAGGCTTCCCCTGTGTCAGGCTCGTAAACACAACCATTTGTTTCTGCAAGGGCCTTGGAATTTTCTGGGTCTCTGGATCAGATCGATCCTCTGCTAATGGGCCTCTCTCTGCGTCCTTCCCAAAGAAAATCAATTCTCTGAGATTTGAGAGTAAGTGCGTCCTAATTATACCTCCACTGGGCTTCTTTGTTCACTCCAGCCTGGTCCTCCCTGGGGAGACCAGGGGCAGACAGAGGCCAGACAGGTCCTGAGGCCCCCCGCCATCCTGGGGAGGGGCTGGCCCCTGGGAGTTAGAGGGCTGGGGGTTGGGGGTCTGCTCTTTGTCCTGGCCTAGGAGAAACCTTGTGACCCTGAGGACTGTGAGGGACACACATTCTGGGGACCTGTGGCCACGTGGCCAGCATGCCCAGAGATGATAAACAGTCCATTTTTCTGGAGCCTCAGGTTCACTTGAAGATGTAGGGAGGAAACGTCTCCAAGTAGAAACCACCAAAGATGTGTTCTAGAAGGGCGTGAAATAGCTCCCAGTGGGGTGGGGCCTTTATGCTAAAGCAGCTCCAGGCCTGTCCCCTCGGCCCCCAGAGGACAAACTAGGTGAGTCTGAGAAGCACTGGCCCCACAGTCAGGCCACACACGTCAGTGCAGGCCGGGCTCAGAGCCAGGTGCTGGGGTCTGAGGCAGGAGCACTGAAGCCTGGCTCCAGCCCAAGGCCCCCTTGCCCAAGCTGGAGAGTTGCCCCCAGTCCCCTGAGCTCAGCATAGCTCAGCAGTGATCAGACATGGGGAAGCCCCACAAGGCATGCTGCCCACGACAGGAGCCCCACGGCCGTGTGTTCCACCCCTGTGCCTCTCCCCACCTTGGGTCTGTGTCTGGATTCTGCATCGATAGAGCAGGGGTGAGATGTGAAATGCTTCCCCGAGCACCTCTGATCCTCTCCAGTACAGTCGGGGCATATCCTGCAATCCCAGTATATTTTAATGGCTGATGATAAGAGGTGTTGGTTTCAGGATCTCTGGGACTTAATCTTCAATGGAGAATTAATTCCATATCCTGATGGATGGATGGCTTCCAAACAACAGATATGAAGTTGCCTTTGTGGCTTATCTCCCTCTTCTTGCTGGGCAGCCAAGGCGCTTTAAAGCTCAGTGTACTCTCAGATTCTCACTTGGCCAGGAGGGCCTTGCCCAAGGAGGTACCGAGTGGACAGCCCTGTCTCCCAGCACGAGTCCAGCAGATGCCACTCCAGGGCGGGCATAGTGCTTGGGGTCTGATTTCCAGCAGCTGCCCGAACTCTGGTACCTGCCTGCGGTCTCCTACCATCCTGTGCTGCAGGTGGTGGCCAGGGTGGAGGATGGGGCTCCCTGGAGGAGCTCAGAGTCCAGAGAGGGAAAGAGGCAAGCAGATAGGCCACAGGAATGCCTCGGCACAGCCACCAGCCTGAAATCAGACGGGCCAGTCAAATCCTGAGTCAGCCACTTATTAACTAAGTGATTTCAGGCAGTGAACTATCCCTTTGGAGGCTTCTCTGGTCACCTGTGAGATGCATGTGGTAACCTAGAGCTGCCCGGCTCATAGGAGGCATGGGGGAGGAATGACTGGCTGGGATTTGGAGTCAGAAGGACCTGACTTTGGATCCTAGCTCTGGACCTAAGCTCCACACCTGTGTGAGTCCTCAGTGTTCCTGAGAGAGCCCAGTCTCCTCTCCTGCCTTGTCGGCATACACTGCCCCCAGGCAGAGTGCCCAGGACTGTACTCAGGGTGTCTGGGGCACTCGGCCCGCACGGGCACAGGGCAGGGGCTGGACACCGTGTGGGCTGACGAAGGCCACACTTGGAGGGTACATGGCTGACGGCTGTCCCCCTTTTCCCCCAGGTCATCAGATTTCGGGACGTCCTACACCAAGCTCACCCTCCAGCCTGGTGTCACCACCGTCATCGACAATTTCTACATCTGCCCGACCAACAAGAGGAAGGTAGGTGCTGGCTGGGGGTGGCCGCCACTCTGGCTCTCGCCTTGTGCCGCTCACTCTGCAGAGCAAGGAAGCTGCTGCCCTGCCCTGCTGTCTCCTACTTTGGCCCAGGCCGGAGTGTGAGATGTTTCCCTCCCAGCTCTCACTGCCACCCTTCCCGGTGCTACCTGACACCATTCTGTGCTTTAAACCAGAGGCCAGGCTTTGGAGGAAGGCACCGCCTGCATACCTAGGGCACATTTGTCTTCCCGCTGGTTGGGGTGGGGGCATGCATCCATCAGAGCACAGCAGGGAGGAGCTGTGGGCCTGGAAGCAGAGACAGCAGCAGCTCTCTTGGGCTGGGAGCCCTCGGAAGGCAGTGCTGAGCAGGCCCGTTCTTCGGAAGTTAGTTGTTGATCCGGTTTTGATTATGCTATGATTTCCATCTGAGCTCTCCTTGCTGTTTCCTGGGTCTGGGGGAACTTCCTGACTTTGCTCTCTGGCTGGCTGTACAATAGGAGAGAGGGGTCTTTCCGAGGCTACCCACCGTGGGTTCCGTGAGAAGAGCCCTCCTGCAAACGTGTGTTTGTGTCCTGGCCCACCCCCTGAGCCCAGATCAAGGTCGGCAGAGGCACCAGGGCAAAGCTGTCCTGTGAACCTGACTCCATTCAGCAAAGCAGTTCACGGTCACAGAAAGGGACTCAGACCAGTGTTTGCATCCCAGCTCCCCTCTCTGTGCCCCAGTTTCCTCAAATGGGATGTCACCCACACCTCGCACAGGGAATTGTGAGCTCTAGGATCAGGCACCCAGAGCCCCTGCATGATGCTCGGCATGAGGTGGGCACACAGGCCCCTGTGCTCAGCTCTAATGGTGACTTTGAAGGAGAAATCTGAGCAGCTTGGAGTCTGTGAGAATGTCCATGAATCAACAGAACATCCAGAAAGGGAGTTGTGCGGGATGGTGATGATTCCAAGGGTGCTGGAGTGTTTCGATGGTTGCGCTGGTGGCAGGTTCACAGGGGCTCAGAGGAGCTGGGCGCACTGGAGCTTGGCAGCTTCTGCTGAGACCACAGGCCTGGCAGCAGCAGTCTATGGAACGAGGGGGCTGAGATGCGTGCAGCCTTGATTGGGCCGTCTCGGTGGTCTCAGCCACGTTTGTTCATGGGATGTCCTCTCTCTTCCTAAAGCAGGTTGCTTTGCTGTTTTTGTTTTGTTTTGTTTCGTTTTTTTCTCTTCTTGATTTCTGCTGTAGGAGCTTCCAGCTGGACAGACTTGGAATGCAGAGGTGGGGAGGGCTACAGAGGGGAGGTGAGGGAGACCTGGCCCTGGGGACACGAGAGGCGCCTGCTGGAAGGCCATGTCTCGGCGTGTAGGGAAGAGAGGTGGGTTGACCTGAGCCAGCCCCTGCTTCTTCCCAGCCCCAGCCCTGGGGATTCACACACCCGATCTCTTTCCATCCCACAGCAGCCCAAAGAGGGAGGCATCATTATCCCCCTTTCCAGGGCAGGACATTGGACGAGAGAGGTGAGATTTGCTCAGTCTCACACCTGGTGGTGCAGGGGGCCTGGATTTGAACCCAGCTTCACCGAGCCCAAAGCTGAGGGTGGAGGGTGTTGTCCAGGCTTGGCAGCAGTGAGGCCTGTACCTGCTGGAAAACCCAAACCCTATGGAAGCAGGGGCAGACACTCTGCCTTCCAGCCCGACCATCACCCCTTCTTCCTGGGGTTGCTGTGATTCAAATTTGAGACAAAGATGAGTGGCTGGGGGCTGGCGCTGACCCAGATGAGGGCCCACACTGACCCCAGATTCCAGCTGGCAATAGAGGAGGCCACGCCCCCCACCTCCTGGCCCAGCTTCGAGTTCCTGTCCATCCAGCCGATCTGGTCCTGGTGGCCTTCCAGCGGCTGCCCTTCTCCACTCCATGCAGGGGACACTCCGCTCCTGTCTTTCTGGTCACCAGCTGGGAGGGTCCACAGGCACCTGGGATGTGATGGTACCTCCAGGGTCAGCCCTGCAGGCCACGTCTGTGTTTGGAAATGTGAAGGGCAAGGCAACAGGGGCAGTAACGGAACCAAGAGAGACTCTGAGGCCCTGAGGTCAGGCAAGGTGTCACATGGAGACTGGGTCAGACAGTGTGAGGTCAGACAGAGCTGCTTCTGCATGCAGCAACCTGGGGACATGGCCGTGACCTCCGCTGAGCCTCAGTTTCCTGGCCTGTAAAGCGGGCAGGTGGAAGGGCCCATGAGATGATACATAGAATGCACAGGGGATCAGCAGAGGGGTTCCTAGGCAGCACTGGGCCTTCTGTGCGGGCCAAAGGCTGGGGCTGCGATGTGGGGTGCTCAATAGAACTTCCTCTACAGGCAGCACCGGGGAGGTATCTGCAGTCTTGAAAGCAGACAAGCCCTGAGACAGGTTATTTGAATCCCTGGGCACAGGCTGGATTTCAGAGCCAGGAGTTTGGACATTTAGCCTAGAAATATCACTGCGGGTACAGGATTGGGTCTGATGGTGGCCTGGCACCCAGCACAGAGGCTCAGCTGACTTTAAAGGAATGGGATGAATGAATGAGTGAATGAATGAGTGTCACAAACAGTGTGTGCTGCCGAGTGGACACTGTAGCCGCATCAGGTTTGCCTGGGTGCAGACACTGGATTTGCAGGGTGGTGTAGAGGACAGTGCCTGTGCTGGGGAGTCCCTATCCTCAGTCCAGCTCTGCCAGGTCCCCCCCCATCAGGGAGCCACAGGTGTCTCACCTGTAAAGGGGACAGTGATCAAGGGTGGGCTTGACAGGTGAGTGCCTGGCAGAGCCTCACTCAAAATTACCATTTACTGTCAGCTGAAGAGAAGCCCCCAAAGATGTCCCAGTCCCGACCCCTGGAACGTGTGAATGTCACCTCTATGGCAAAAGGGACTTTGCAAATGGGATTAAGTGGAGGATGTTGTGATGGGAAGGTTCTCCTGGGTTGTCTGAGTGGGATCAGCTCAGTGTCATCACAGGGTCCTTGTGGAGGGCAGCAGGAGGGCCAGGCCTGCAGGGGGAGCTGGGAGATGGAGCAGAGGCTGGGGCAGGGCCTGGTTGGGGCCACAAGCCAAGGAAAGCAGGCGCCTCCGGAAAGAAGTTGGAAAAGCCAAGGAAATGGACTTGCCACTGGAGCCTCCAGAGGAACCAGCCCTGCCAACACCTTGCCTTCAGCTTTGTGCCCTCCATGGCCAGAGGAAAATGAATTTCTATTGCTTCAAGCCACGGAGTGCATGGTGATTTGTTGCAGCAGCCACAGGAGGCTGACACAGCTGCTGTTTTGAGGAGGGGCTGCAGGGGTTGGGGCTGGGAGTAGGGAGGCCGAGGCTCCTGCTCTCCCCTCACCCACATTGTTCTGCCCACCCCACAGCCACCCAGATGGAACTGGCCTCCCGTGGGCCCTCCTCCTCCTGCTGACACACCGATCCTGATTCCTGTTGGACCCCAGGTGGCAGGAGCAAAGTCACAGGTGCAGACAGGGCTGGGCTTCTGGGTGCCCCGGTTTGGGCCTGTTCTCACCTCTCCCTGCCCACCTCCTCACCACAGGACAAAACTGATCTCTCTCCGGAAGGCCATGATCCCCTAGGTTGGAGGCACCAGGAGGCCCACCAAGGGCCTTGCTGAATCTGAACTTGTTGCTTCCAAAGCCCCTGATGCTGCAGGAACTGCTGTCTCGGAGGCAGGCAGGGCAGTTACGGTGCGGGGCCAGGAGTGCAGCGGATGTGGGGCACCGGGGAGCGGCAGGGGAATGGGATGAGAGGCTGACCCCCTGGCTTCTCTGGCTGGGGCATAGGGGCCTGTTCCTGGGTCTGAGTCTGGCCCTGTAGCCTACCCGCTCTGAGACCTTGAGCAAGTGTGAACCGCCCTTGTTCTGGGCTTCCTCATTGGTGAAATGGGGGTAGTAGCAGCATCTATACTGTAAGGCTGATGGAATTAATGAGGTGCTCCTTGTCAAGTGCTCAGATCCGGGCCTGGCCCGAGGGAAGACCCCATGAGTTACTCGTGTGACCCACCGTTATCCTTAGAGGGAAACACTGACGCCCTCCTGGCCAGCCATCTGAGACTTTAGGTTAGGAACTGGCTGCAGGGTGACAAAGCCTCACACGTGTGGCCCCAGTGGGCTGTGTCTGTTGGAGGGACCACACATGGCCATGGAACAGAGGCCTCACCTGGTGGCTGTGCCAGGCATGGGGGGCATTGCCCTGGCCCTGCTGATCTGCACCCACCTGGTTCCCTCAGGCCCGGGTCAGGCTGCTTGCTCGTGGCATGTCCCGCCCACACCTCTGTGTTTAGAGAACAAATTAATTATCAGTGATGGGAACCGGGGCAGCGATTTGTTATCTAACTAACAGGGCGGCATATGTTTCCCTGTGATGCTGCTGGCAGTGCGCTTCTGCCTCAGGAGAATGAAACATTGGCTCCTGTCTGCAGAGGTGTGGACGGGCCACGTGCTGAGTGGGGCTAGGGACGCAGGTCAGGGAGGGCCAGAGAGCACGTGGACTCAGAGGCCGAGGGCATCAGAGGGCCCAAGCTCTAGGCAGCAGGCTCCACTGTTCCTTCTCTAGTGGTACAAACTGTAGGCAAGTTCCTAATCTGCCTGCACCTCAGTTCCTTGTCTGTAGAGTGGGGTTGCGGTGGTGAATAAGGATTACCTGGGTTAATGCATATACGGTACCTAGAATCAAGCCCGGCACACAGTTTGATAGTGGTCTTTGCAACAAGTGGGAACTCGGGCTGATTTGGTTTTAAATGCATTTAGATGCTGAAAAGCCATAGTTACGATTCCACATAAAACAAATTTGACTTTACATGTCAAGTAAGGAGTGGGGCAAGCCAGAGAAGCTGGTTAAGGCAGAAGAAGAGACTCAGGAGGTACAGGGCTGGTCTTCAGACACCTGCATGGTGGTCCTAGGGAACAAGAGCAGCCCATGACTGTGGGGCAGAGGTCAGGCGTGATTCCTCCCTACTCCTCAGCCGTGCACGGCCCCTGGCACTCAAACAGAACTCACGAGAGAAGGATGTGATGGGCTGGGCTGGGACACTTCTGGGAAAGATATTTCAATGTAATATGAAGCAAAAATGGCCTTTATCATTGCATGAAACTTATCTACTTGGAGTTTCTTGATCCCTTCTGCTACCCCCTCGGTGATCATTTTTGGTGTATCACACTTTCGGCCAGAAGCGGATGTCCCCATACTCAGATGTGGGGGGGGGGGGCGGGCAGGGCCCACCTCGAGGTCACCATTTGTTCACTTCCATTAGCCAGAGCAGAAAATGGAGGCTCAGGGAAGCTCGGAGAGTCTTCCAAGGTCACCCAGCCGGTAGAGAGAACAGAAGCAATCACTGACACATGGTGCTTGAACCCAGGCCTGCCAGCCCCTAGAGTACCCCTTGTCATGCTCCGGGCTCCTGAGGCACCCTTGCAGCTAAGTTCTAGCAAGCTGATGGGGCTCCCTGTGTCTGCGCAAGCACAGCCCGGCCCGCTTGGCTGGGGGCTAGAAATCAGCAGCTCCTTACTGCACACCGGGCGCAGTCTGGGGGCTGCTGAGCTGTGTAACTCTGGGCAGATCCCATTTCCTCTCTGGGCCTCAGTTTCCCCATCCCTTAGATGAAGCAGCTGAATTGAAGGCTCTCCAAACCCCCTTCAAGCTCCACTATCCTAGCTTCTCCTGGTCTCCCAGGGCGATCCTCTGGGAAGAGTAGCAGCCATGAAAGAGGATGCCTGTGGGCAGATCCTGACTTGGCTCCATCTACCCTGTGCCCAGGCCATCTTCGTGGTGAGAGGGCAGCTTGAACGGGGTCTCTAAGCCCCTCCCAACACCCACACCCACCCATTCAGCAGAAATGGGGGTGAGACCCTACTAGGTGCTGGGCTGTGTGCTTGGTGCTAGAGAGAGAGAGCCCTTTGCTTTGTCCAGTCTTATAGAGAGCAGATACAGATTATGTACCTACTATGCACTGGGTCCCTTGCTGGGCACTGGGGAGCAAAGGTGAACTGGACAAACAGCTCTAACCTTCTAGAGCCTCTGAGGGTCTGGTGGGGCCCTGAGAAACTGAATCTCTCTGCTGCAAGTTTATAGAAAGAATGAGAAAAGGGCGGCCGGATGCAGTGTCTCACACCTGTGATCCCAGCACTTTGGGAGCAGAGGCTGGAGCATCGCTTGAGCCCAGGAGTTTGAGACCAGCCTGGCCAACATAAAAACATAAAAATAAAAAATAGCCAGGCCTGGCACGTATGGTCCCAGCTACTCAGGAGGCTGAGGTGGGAAGATGGATTGAGCCCAAGAGGTTGAGCCTGCCGTGATCTATGATCCCACCACTACACTCCAGGTTGGGCGACACAGTGAGACACTGTCTCAAAAGAAAGAAAAGGGGGCAAAGTCAGCCTTTAGCCAATAGAGGATTGACCCGGGTGACTCTGATTGGGAAAAGATCACTTTGTTTACAGGGGCAGTTGCATGAGTGTGTGCCTTGCCAGGTCTGCCTCTCTGTTATTGGATAATGGATAGGTTTTGCAGGAAGACGTGAATACTATTAGGACTCCATTTAGCAACAATTACAGGCCGAGCAGCACTTTATAGCTTCTTGGAGACCACTTTGCAACCTGTCTTAGGGAATGAATTCCCTTTTATTTTTGTCTCGCCTGCAGCAGAATCAGCAGTCCCTGGCCTTGCTGCTCCTGGCCAGGCAGCCTACTATTGTCATGGCTGGACCCAAGGCCCTGGGGGCCCTGACGACCCCCACACATCCCCTGCAATGCTCAGATCAGCTTCGGGCCGACAGCAGGTTTCCTTCCCACTTGGCCCCAGGAGCCCTGTGGCATGGGGAAGTGTGAAGGCACGGCCCAGAGGAGCTGGCCCAGGCATGGAATTTCTTCCAAGCATTGTGTTTTATATGAAAAATTTATGTGAATGGGCATCTTACTCCATTATATATCAGTGTTGGCTTGAATATTAAAATCACACACACACACACACACACACATTTTCACCAAAAAATCTTTATGTCAAGCTGGTGATCTGGGAGAAGGCCAAGTCCTGGGACACCCTGGCCCACCCACCATATCACCCGGGCCCTTGACCCCAGATATGAGAAGCACAGGGTTAGGACAAAATCTCCCTGAGTTCACCTCTTCCCTCATTCCGCTCACTCGCCCGTGTCTTCGTAGGGGAACTGCCACGTGTTAGTAAGCACTCAGGACTGAGCAATGAATCAAGTGAAAATTTTGTTTTTAAGAAGCTCAAAGTATTGCGGAAAGTGAAAACCTCCACTTGGCAGAGGCGGTGTGGTCATGATAAAGCATGGCCCTGTGTCCTGAAGGCCTTTTATGAAAGTTCAGCCCTGTTCTCTAATCTCTACAGCAGCCCTGCAGGGTAAGGATGCTCATGGGCCATTGCACAGGTGAAAGAAATTGAGGCCCAGAGAGGCCAAGTTGTTTCCCCCAGGCCCCATAGCCGGTGGGCTGCTGAACCAGGACGCGCCCCAGGTCTAAGGGCCCCATCAGTGCTGCCCTGTCACCACCCCCCAAAGCCTTCCAGCAGCTCTGTACAGACACCAAAAGCCTGTGCTTTGGGCACAGGGCCCTGCCCCCCAGGAGGAAACCTGAGGGATGGGGCACAGATCCTGGAGCTGTGGACCCACTAAGACAGGTTCCCAAGTTCTCTGGACCTCATAGTCCTCACCAGGAACACGGGGTGGTGGTACCACCTGCTCTCCAGGCCCCAGCTTCACAGGACTGTGCCATTCAGGCCGAGCCAAGTCCCAGGCTCCTCTTGAGGCTGTGCCCATGTCCGCTTCCTGTGGACTCTGTGTGCTTGCCAGAACACAGAAGTCCAGTACTTTGTTCTGCTCTTTGTCTGTGGGTCTCTCTCCCACCCATGTGTAGGGTAGCTGGCTGGCTTCCCCACCACACTGGGCTCTAATGGCTCCCTCTCCCTCCCTCCTTGTTTTCTTCCTTCTCTTTGTCTCTCACTCTCTCTGTCTCACTCTCTTCCCTCCACTCTGAACCCCTGCCTTCAGCCCTACAAACTCCTTCCCAGCTGCAAGGCCCCGACCCCCGTTATGGAGGCCCCGCCCCTTCCTGCTGTGGAGGCCCCGCCCCTTCCTGCTGTGGCGGCCCCACCCCATCCCTGCTGTGAGGGCCCCACCCCTTCCTGTTGTGGATGCTCTGCCTCCTTCCTGCTGTGGAGGCCCCACCCCTTCCTGTTGTGGCTGCTCCGCCCCATTCCTGCTGTGGAAGCCCCATCCCCTCCCTGCTGTGGGGGCCACGCCCACTCCCTGTTGTGGAGGCCCCACCCCCTTCCTGCTGTGAAGGTCTCACCCCCTCCCTGCTGTGATGGCACCGCCCCTTCCTGTTGCAAAGGCCCCACTCCCTCCCTGTTATGGAGGCCCCGCCCCCTTTCTGCTGTGGAGGCCCCACCCCCTGCCTGTCGTGGAGGCCCCGCCCCTCCTGTTATGGAGGCCCCGCCCCCTTTGTGCTGTGGGGCCCCACTCCCTCCCTGCTATGAGGGCCCTGCCCCTCCCCGCCCCTGCCTCTCCCTGCCCCTCCCTGCCCCTCCCTGCCCCTCCCTGCCCCTCCCTGCCCCTGCCTCTGCCTCTCCCTGCCCCTGCCTCTCCTTCCTGCCAACTGCTGACCTCTTGGCCCGCCTAGGGTTTTCCTTCCTCTCCTTCTGGACCTGAGCTGTGCATGATGGTGCTCAGAGGCAGCTGAGATTAGCCCGGGTCCCGTGGACATAGGACCCCAGCCTTCTTCTGTGGCTAGGAAACCCTGTGAGTCATGTACTATGTCCAGCGGGGGATGGCAGCACCCTGTGGCTGCTTTGCCACCGCCTGTGCTTTGTGGGACCCACACTCTGTGTGCAGTAGCTTGGGAAGTCCCAGAATCTGCCCTTGCGCTTCACGGCTTTGCCCTTAAGGCGTTCTGAGCAGCGAGAGCCAGGCTGCATGGTCCCATGGTGCCGAGATGCTTTGGCGCTGCGCTGCATCCTGCTGCGCAGTTCTTCCTCCCGAGGGTCTGGCCAGCATCACCCGCTCCCCGGCCCACACATCTGATGAAGAGAGTCATGAGGGAGGGCGGGGGAGACAGAGTGGGGAGAACAGGCTTTACGGAGACTCAACCCCAGGTTCCCTATTTCCTGGCTTTCCGACCCCCCTGCCCCCCGCACCCCGGGTGTGAAGTGGGGATGAACATTACCCACCTCATCTGGTCATGTGGACTGTTAAATGGGAGGATGCCTGACTCAGCAGCTCAGGCCTGGCCCTGGCAATCAGTGTCGTAAAGTGGCCAAGGGAACCGGCCAGCGCCCCACCCACGAGGCTGCCCTCAGGTCAGAGCCAGTGCGTGAGGCATGGGGGTACAATGCCAGGCACACAGCTGGGGCTCAGACAGGACCAAACTATCCCTTCTGTCTCTTACCCTGGACCTGCCATCTGTCATGACCATGGACTGACACTCCTGAAAGCCAACCCATCCTTTCTGTCTCCCTGTGATGGGAAGTGAGGGTGAGACTGGCATTACACTTCGGGAGGGGAGCCAAAGGGTGCCATGTCTGGGCCTGGGCTGCTGCAGGGCTGCCATGCGTGCACCTGTGGCCTCCGGTGGTGTAGGGGTGTGGGCGCCATTGTGGCACCCTTGCACACAGTCTCATCCATGGTGCTCAAGCTCAGGGTGCCTCGTGGGACCCCAGGACCTGGGCACATGCTGGGGCTGCCACCATCATGGGAAGCCTTGCTAACTTTCCATTCTGCTGGTAATTTGGGCTGCCAGGGAGGATTCCCAGTGCTCTGTATGGACATGCATTTGCAAATTGAGATCATTCTCTGATGATGGTCTCTGGGCAAGACTGGCCATCAGAGGAGGGGTATCCCTAGCCTCCTCAGGAGGGGCGATCACTCAGGAGCCCTGAGCCAGGCTTGCTTATGGGCAGTGGCTCACAGCTGTGGCCAGGGCCTTGCTCGGGGGCGCCCAGGCAGCCAGGCCTCTCCCTCAAGTGGTCTGCCCTTTTTCTTGAAGAGTGGACATCAGAACCATCTGCGGACATGGCTGAAAGACCACCTTTTAAGCATCATGTTGCAGACCAGAGGCACAGCCAGGCTGAGAGGTGGGGAGAGTGTGCAGGGTCAGCGCCTCCACACGGAGCCCTAGTTTCAGCCTTAAACATGCAGCACACGGGGCGTGTGGACATGATGGTGCAGCTACACCAAAGAAAAACGCAGATAGAAACCAACAGGAAAGCCGGAGTCAACTGTTTTGATTCCAGGACTCCAGCTTGAAGGTCTAAGCGTGGCCAGCAGCAAGGCAGCTCACCAATGAGCATACTTTGGGTGCTTCTGGCCCCCCAGCCATGTGCAGGACCCCCTGCCAGCTCCCCACTTTTTGGCCCCATTCCCCTTTTGTAACAGGGGTGAGGGCAAGGCAATTGCCCAGCAGAGCTCCAAGACCAGGAGAGCTCCAGAGAGAAGGAGCTTTGCCTGCTTCAGCCAAACCAAAGGGGCCCATTGGCAGCCCCTCCTCCTCACCCCTCATGGGCGGAGGGTTGGGGGGTGTTCCTGCCCCGCCTGCCCTATCTTAAACAATCAGTGATTATCAATTATTAAGACAGCCCTGCTCCTGGGGCTGCATGCAGTGCTTTGGGCTGAATTGTGCCCCCCAAAAAAATATGTCCGTGTCATAACTCCTCATCCCTGCCAATGTGTCCTTCTTTGGGAATAGGGTCTTTGCAGCTGTAATCGAGGTAAAATGAGGTCATTTCCAACATGACTGGTATTTTTATAAGAAAACGAGAAGAGACTCAGAGACAGACAAGACAGAGGGCAGGTGACACGAAGACATATGGGGAAGAGGAGAGGGCCAGGATGACAGAGGCTGAGGGGAGTGAGGCAGCTGCAGGAAGGGGAGGCCTTGGAGCCCACGACACCAAAAACTAAAAGGAAAGCTTGGAATGGATTCTCTCCCAGAGCCTTCGGGAAGCATTGTTGACACCTTCATTTTGAACTCACAGTCTCCCGAATTGTGAGAGGACACATTTCCACTGTTTGAAGGCACCAGTGTGTGACACTTTGTCTCGGAAGCCCCAGACGCTGATGAGAATGGAGTCGCTCACGTGATCCTCAGAGCAATGATCAGCGATGTGGTTGCCCAGTTTTGCAGATGGGGAGGCCAAGGCTCACAGGGGCTGAGTAATTTGCTCAGGGTGGGTGGCTGGGGATCCAGGTTCCCACCTGTGAGCACAGCACTGCCTCTTACGCTCCACCCACGCTTCCTCTTCCCTCTTAGGAGGGATGAAAGCAGGAGATGCCAGCCCCCTTCAGACACTCACCGGCCCAGTGACCCACAGGGCCAGGCCATTTGCAGGAGGGAGAAGATGGTCCTCTTGATGGAGGAGTGGCCTACATGGACAAGGAGGGCTGGGCTGGCCAGCACGTGTCAGTGGCCAGCACATGGCAGTGGACAGCCCAGGTTTTGGGGGGCCTTGGAAACCAGGCTGAAGGACACAGGATGGCACAGAGCCCTGGAGGCTTCCACATGGTGGGTGATGAGATCACATGTGCTGGTTGGTTGGTTTGCCTTTTAAGAAAGTCCACTTGCTGCAGTTGGGAGACAAACGGGGTGACAGAGAGTGAGAGGCAGGGAGGGTCACCCATCCATGCATCCCTCCGTTCATCTGTTGACTCATTCATTCATCAGTCCACTAATTCATTCATTCATCTATCCACTTATCCATCCTCCCACCCACCTATCCGTTGATTCATACATCCACCCACCCATCCATCCATCCACCCATCCATCTATCCATCCATCCGTCCATCCATCCACTCATCCATCCATCCATCCATCCACCCACCCATCCATTCACCCACTCATCCATCCATCCATCCATCCATCCATCCATCCGTCCATCCATCCACTTATCCATCCGTCCATCCATGCACCCACCCATCCATTCACCCACTCATCCATCCATCCATTCCATCCATCCATCCGTCCATCCACCCATCCATCCACCCATCCGTCCATCCGTCCATCCATCCACCCACCCATCCATCCATCCACCCATCCACCCATCCACCCATCCATCCATCCACCCATCCACCCATCCACCCATCCACCCATCCACCCATCCACCCATCCACCCACCCATCCGTCCATCCATCCACTCATCCATCCATCCATCCATCCATCCATCCATCCATCTACCCATCTGTCCATCCATCCACTCATCCGTCCATCCATCCACCCATCCATCCAGCCACCCACCCACCCACCCATCCATCCATCCACCCATCCACCCATCCACCCATCCACCCATCCACCCATCCATCCATCCATCCATCCATCCATCCATCCACCCATCCGTCCATCCATCCACTCATCCATCCATCCATCCACCCATCCATCCATCCAGCCACCCACCCATCCATCCAGCCACCCACCCATCCATCCACCCATCCATCCATCCATCCACCCATGCATGCATCCACCCATCCATCCACCCATCCACTCATGCATCTACCCATCTGCCCATCCATCCACTCATCCATCCACTCACCCATCCTCCATCCCTTCATCCATCCACTCGTGCATTCATCATGCATCAACTTATTTATTCATTCAACTAATATCTATCCCATGGCCATCTATGCTGCTGCTGACACCTGTGAGGTGACATCAAGGTGAGAGATGATGAATTGGTGAGCAGGGACAGGGTTAGGATATTCCTTGTTGATTAGGTGATGTGTTAGCTGTGGGTGAAGGGGATGCTGTTCCCTGAGATGGAGAGCCCTGGAGAGATGGCAGACCTTAGTGGGAGCATATGGAGGCTCTAGGATGGGACAGGCAGAGTTCACCAGCCTGAGCATCCAAGGCAACATCCAACAGGCTCAGGGCGGCCAGCAGGAAGAAGAGCTATATGTGCCCCCTGCCATTGCAGATTCCAGGGGTGAGCTCTCAGGGGATGCTTCCTCCAGCCTGGGACAGGCTCCCTGGTCTCTTTCCTGGCTCCACCCTGAATTCTCTGTTCAGCTCAGCACAAAACAAGAGACAGAGGGAGCTGGGGTATTGACCCCCTAGCTATGGGTGAGCTAGTTCAGGGCCCTTGCAGGCTCTGAGCACCCACAGCTCCCTGAGAACGAAGCCAGGCTCCTGGAAGTCACCTGCCATCCCCAGTCTCCCCCATGGCTGAACACTCAGGGTGTGGCTGGTTCCTCTGAGGGCTGTTCCTGTGAGGGGTGGGAGCCCCTGCCTGGTGGGAACAGAAGCCTGAGTGTGGAGCCCTGAGGAGGGCTGGGAAACAGAGCTGGGGCTAAATGGGCCATCCCTTCCAATCAGCGATGTTCTCCATTTCCCTTGATAGCCAGGCAGCCTCCCCTGTGCAGGAGAAAAATGGCTCAATTGGGCTTGTTGGTATACAGAGCTTTTGTCTCAGAAATAGAGTGAACCCTGGAAACTTCAGCCCTAATACATGGAAAATTATTCCCTCTTAAAGTCAATAGGTTATTGTAGGAGAGGAGGGAAAAGAAAAAAAAAAAAAAACTCGAGCTTTTCAGAAAACAAGTCTCCTGAATCTCCTGCCCCTGGAACTAATAAAACAGAGAGGAAGGGACTCTGGAGTTCCTCCCTCTTCTGAAGAGCATGCAGAACTGAACCAAAACACCAGAGCCAAAAAATAAAATAGAAAGTGCAAAGGCCCCCAGGCTCAGGGGCACACATACAGAGGTCGGGGAGCTCCAGGCCTCTTCCTCAAGTGCTCTGGGGACCCACCTGATGGAGACTTACCATGTGCTGGGTGCTGAGCTCAATGGCTCTTCACCTGTGTCATCCATCAGGGCTGGAGGGAGTGGCAGGGGGACCTAAGAGAGACAGGGACCTGCCCATGGGCGTAAGCAGCATCCCCCAGGACAGTGACTGTGGCCACCATGTTAGAGACAAGAACACAGGCTCACCAAGGCTCAGGGACCCATTCAGGATCCCAAGTCAGCAAGGGACTGGGTGGTGAGTGAGATTTGGACCCACGACTCTCTGAGACCCAAACCCAGACCCACCCCGCTGCATCAGCAGACTCCAATCTCACCCCACAGGCCCTGGAGAGCCTGGTGTTTGTGGGCACCTGCCTGCCTTTCTGTGATTTATAAAGTAAACCTTCTGCTGCCTCTGTCTTCAGGGAAAACCAGAGTGCACGCTCTGCCTCCGTCAGCTCGGATGGCTCTCACGAAACACTCCAAACTGGGTGACTTAAACAACAGACATTTATTTCTCATAGCTCTGGGGTTTGAAAGTCCAACATCAAGGTTCCAGCAAGGTCAGGTTCTGGTGAGGGCTGTCTTCCTAGTTTACAGGTGGCTGCCTTCTCGTTATCTTCACGTGGCAGAAAAAGAGCTAGCCAGCTCTCTGGCCTCTTCTTACCAGGGCACTAATCTCATCACAAGGGCTCCACCCTCATGACCTAATTCCTCCCAAAGGTCCTGCCTCCAAATCCCATCACCTTGGGATTAGGGGTTCAGCCTGTGAACTGGGGAGGAATACAACATTCAGTCCATTGCAGCCTCCTTTGTCCAGACCACTTTTCTTCTATCGTGGGAGGTGGGAGGTCACGTTCCAGCAACAGCTCAGAGGCATCCAGGGACCAAGCCTGGGTCACCCAGCAAAGCCAAGGCTCAATTCACCAAGGCCTCCCTCCAGGTCCTGTGTCTTCTCCCCTTCCCCGGCACCGGCGGGGCTTGCTAGTGGCAAAGCTCAGCCTGCCCAGAGGGAGGCCTGCTGTGGGAGGGCTCTCTCCTCTTCTCCTCTGCGCTGCCCCCCACCTCCCTGCCATCTTTGCCTCAATATTGCATGTCGGCTCCATCGCAGTGAGGAATCCCCAGCTGTCTCAGCCCACAGTAAACAATAAATGGTGCTGTCCTTCAAGCGGGAGAGGAGGTGACAGGTTCATTCTCTTGTTCCTGAGAGCAGCTGAGGGAACCCACGTGTGCAGGGTGACCGTGACACCTGGCCCCCAAGGTCATCGAAGGTCAGAGGTGCAGCCGGTGATGGTGGGCCCCTGCCTCCTCATGGGGACGCTGCCGTGGGATTCCCACAAGAGCACGTGTAGCCTGATTCCATTTTCCAACACTGTGGTCACGCAGCTTCCCTGTTAAGCAAGAAGTGGGATTTAAGGGAGCTCCCTCTGATAGGCTGTGCTTGCCGTAGCCAGAATTTCATCCCTCTTCCCTGCAAAAACACATATTAGAAAACTGACAAATCACTTTCTTATCCCTTGTGCAGTAGGGACTCTTAGAAAGCCCGAAAGATCATTGCCTGGTAAAAATAGCTTAAATTCCAAAGTGATTTCTGCAATGGGGAATCCCCAGGTCCAGGGAGGCCCTGGTTAGGACAAGTGTAGTTCCAGATGCTGCTGCCTGTTTTTTAACAACCCCTGCTTTCTGGTGCCGAGAAACACCACCCCAACACTGCAAATCCACTCATCCCCAGGCTCTTACAACTGGGCTTCTCCAGGCATTTATCACATGAACAGTGCCACATCTACATGGGGACACAGGGCTTCAGCATTGCCCTCTAAATCTCATTCATCCTGGACACCCAAGAGTCTTAATACTGGGCCTGTCTCCATTTCCTCACTGCTGCCAGCCCACACTACCTTCGCTACTGTCTCCTCTCACCAAGCTGACTCCAGCAGCCTCCCCACGGTCACCCTGGTCTTCCCTAGCCCACTTCCCTCCACTTCCAGAGCCCAGCTCTGCCTGGGCCACTGCCATCCCCGGTCGCATACTTGGAGCCTTTTGCCAGCCTTCTGATGTCGGTTACTGCAAAATCCAGGCTGCCTGTGCTGTGCCTGCTCACCTCTGCAAATTCATCTCCATGCCTGCAGGCCTGTGCCCGCTGACTAACCAGCCATCAGAGGTGGGTCCTTTCCAGACTGGGGCCTTGGCCCATGCTCCGACACATCTGGCCCCACCTTCCCCACCCCATTCTTTGTGGCCAATTCCTGTTTACCCTGCAGCTTTTGGTTCAGATCCTGCCTCCTTCCACCCACCTCCCTCCCAACCCCAGATCAGCTCAGGACCCCAGTCACGGGATCTCTGCTCTTCCCTGCATGCACAGACCAGTTTGCCGTGAGACCTGCATGTGCCTGTCTGGGGCTCTGCATCTGTCTTCCTTACCCCACAGATGCACCCCAGGGCAGGAACTCTGTCTCTTGCCTTTCTGTCCACCGGCACCTGGCACCCTGCCTGGAACATCAATTTGAACAAACAAACGCATGCACAAACAAACTGATTAAAGAGCAATCATTAATGAAACCCAATCTCAACATGCCACGGCCCACATGTCTGAAATGTTCACTGCAGGCCAACATCTGTGGATTCTGCTTTGGGCAGTGAGCTTTCTTCCTGATTTCTTTCATCATGAGCAATGTAGGATCACACTCCTTTGTGCCAAGAATAGTAATTATATTTTCTGAAAGCAAGGAGGAGAACATTCCTCCAGATACTTTTCCTTGGTTAGAATTGCTGGGCTGAAAGAGGAAGGCCTTTGAGGGCTCCAACACATATTACCAACCTTGCTTTTTCAAAGTGACCCCCATCGCCAGCAAAGAGGAATGCTCCCGCGACCATTTGTCTGGAATACATTGGGAAGTCACCTTTGATTTTACAGGTGAGGAGTCTCTGCAGGGCTAATCCTTGGCCTCGTGGGCAGTGAGTCCCATTCCTTGGATGCTCTGGCCAAGCCTGAGGTCTGCCATCCACTTTGGTGCAAGGTGGGGTCCTTCCTTATCACGGAGCTGAAGTCAAAATGGAGCTCACTAATGAGAGCCGCCATGTACTAAGTGCCCGCTGGAAGCTGAAGCCAGGCACTCTGTGGAGTGCTTCATGTCAGGGGGGTTGGTGGCATACAAGCGTTATCATCCCCACCTACAGACAAAGGGAGGCCCAGCACAGGGAAGTGGCTCCTTCAGTGACACACATGGGAGCTGGGCTTTGAACCCTGGGCATCTTGTGCCAGAGGGCGGCTCACAGTCATGTGACAGTGTGCCTCACCGTGGAATGGTGGGTGTGAGGCAAGGGCCATGTGTCCAAGCAGAGAGGGCACAGCAACAGGAATGGTCACACCCAGTGGGCTGGCCAGCATCCACGGTGACCCAGGGAGGAGGCCATCAGATGCCTTTCAGCTGCCATTTTTCACCAGACAAGCAAAGAGCAGCCACATCTAACATGAGACACTGAGGAAGGCAATAGCCTAAAATCCTACTCTGCCGGATTGACAAAAGAGCTGGCCTTCAACACCCAGCAGGCCACTTTCTGAGCCAAGATGCCCCATTCCCGAGGCATCAGCATAGCCTGGGGAGCTGATGCTCTCATTGGCTGGGCTTGGGTCGCATGTTATCCATAGAACATAGGGTGGGGTCCACCCACCCACATGGCCATGGCAGGAGTCAGGGAAGGAGGGTTCTCCAAGCCTGGGGAGGGCAGGAGCGTGCCCCCAGCAAGGGCAGGTTGGGGAATGAGAGCAGCTTGTGTCCCTGCATCCACAGAGGAGCCCAGCAAGCGATGCTGCTCTTGGTACATTTCTTCTATCTCTACTGGTTTTTTATTAAAAAAAGAAAACATTCCTTATTTTAGGACTTCAAAAAAATCTCAAACTCCTCCTTCCTGCTTCTTTCAACTCAGCAGCAAGTCTATCGATTTGAAGCTTGAAAGGAACTCCCAGCCTGCCTTTTCAACCCACCTGCTTTCCGGGGGAGATGTCCCAGCTTGGACAGCATTCTAGATGTTGGCCTTTTATTGATGTGGTGGGGCATTGGGTGGGGGACTGGGGCAGGGAGTGGATCCCCCAAGCCAGAGGCCCCTGAGGCCAGGCCAGGCTACAGGGCACTGATAATCCACCAGTCACTGGTCGCCTAAGGGCTGGCCTCCTTCCCCTTAACCTGCTGGCCATGGGCCACTGGGCTTCTCCAAGACTCTGTGTTCTTATTGGGACATGGATGCTTTCTGCACAGAAAGGGAGAAATTCAGTAATGCTTATGATGAACCCAGCACTGGTGCAAGCACATAGTTGGTGCTCAGTTAATTCTTGTTCCTTTCTGCCTGCCCACAGCCCGCTGCGCACACACAGAGTTCCTCCTTATCTCACGAATTCTCTCCTGAATGAGTTCGAACCCCTTGGGGACCAGCACCGTATCTTATCCCTCTTTGCCCCCAGGACACACCAAGGGCAACCATATAACAGTACCAGTGAATTCACTAGAATGAAACACATGAGTCCCACCCCCATGCCACAGGGCCTGTGAAAGCTGGCCCTAGACAGTGGGATGGGTTAGGGCAGAGGGAGATGAGTTCTCATATTTGCTCCCGAGGACTGAAAGGAATTCGATGTAACTAAAATATGAATCCACAGGCGGATGAACAGAGCAGGGCCGGGGAGAGCTGGTGGCAACTGGAAATAGCAGCTCCTCTTCACACCTGCCGGGAGCTGGTGTTTTTTTTTTTCCGTGTGTGTGTGTGTATGTGTGTATGTGTGTGTGTGTGTGTGTGTGTGTGTGTATTTCAAGCAGCTGAGGCTGCAAATGTTTGATGGTCAACTGCAGTTGCCTCCCTGCCTGTGAACCGCCCTGAGACTGTGCTATCAGGGAGCTTGTCTCCCTGGGCAAAGATGGGGGTGCCCAGCAAGGCACTGGGGGCCTGAGTTCTGGGCCTGTCCCTGTTTGCTCCCGCTGGGGGCCATCTGCAGAGGACAACACTTCCCAGGGCCTCAGTTTCTGCTTCTGCAAAAGGAAATGGAGCCTCCTGGGACTCCAAGGTGCTCTGGCACCACTGCTTTGTGTGGTGGGCAGCCAGGCGGCTTTGGTGGTGATCGGCAGACACCAACGCAGGCTCACAGCCGCAGAAAGGGGTTTTCTTGGAAAGACATGAGATAGAATTGAAAACAGGTGTGTCTGGGGAACCCAGCTGGCAGAGGGCAGGGGACACAGAGGCTTCAGGAATCTTAGTAGCCACACAGCTGCTGTTACAAAGAACCCAATGTCTGCCCACCCTGTGTCTCTAGTAGATCATGGACTTGTCCCTTATGAAGGCAGGAAACTTGATGGACTCTTCCAACAGGACAATCCACTGTAGGGGAGAGGTTATCCTTCACGAGGAAAATGGAGTCATTTTACCAAACAAAGTGGGGAGTGTGTGCTCAGTGCTCATATGTTCATTACCACTTGAGGTAAAACAAAGTGTCCAAGTCTCTGAGCCCTTTTTCCATCTGTCTCACCCGCTCATCTGCTGTCTTGGCCTTTTCTTCCCTCCCAGGGCTGTGAACCAGCTGAGCTTGGCTTTCCTGCGGGTGTCTTTTTGGTAAGCCCATCTCATTTCAAAGCCAGGCTTGGTTTACTGCACAAAAGGGTGCAGTGACCGCTAGTGCCTTGGCCTGATCTTTCCTGCTCTGGATTTGTCCAGGGAAGGCCACTTTGTTCCTAGAAGTTCTGCCTAGCCCATTGATTGCTTGCCATTTGTCATGGCAAAATATGCTGGAGCTGTATTTTCCAAAGTGATTGAAATTCTTAAGGGAAAATTGGTTTGATATTGTTGGTCAAGATCTCTCAGCGGAGCCTCCTCCCCATCTCACTGCAAATAAAAGGATTGCTTTTATCAATGTAATCCTCAGGCCAGAGTTCCATGGGTCTTCTTCTTCCAGTTTGGTTCATCAGACATTTCCTGAGCCCCTATTCTGACTTGGCATCAGCTCCCTTGTGCTACTGTAGAAATAAGGACCAGCTAGGGATCCTACCATTGAGAAATTCAAAGTCCAGCGGGGAAGACAGGCAAGAAAATGGGTGATCCTTATGCCACATCGGCTGTGCATGCTGAGCCAGAGGGCAGTCAAGGGCTATGAGATGCAGAGAGGCCTTGACCCAAGCTGATGCAGAGGAGATGATGCCCTGGGCTGAGGCCACTGCCCCAGGAGAGAAGCAAAGAGCCCACTGGAGTAGGGACAGCTCTGAGTGTCACTGTGATGGTTTCTTACTCTACCCGTGACATGAGCTGGGTCTTCTCTGCTGTCAGGGCCACAAGGTGAGGCATGTATCCACAACACCCTCACCCGGAGCCTTCCCTGGCTCTCCATTCAGCATCGAACTCCAGGCAGCACGCGAGCCAAGCTCTTTATCAGATGACTTTTATGTTATTTAAAAACATTGATCAGTGCCTCCTGGGCTGGGTCCCAGTTTGTGAAAGGAGACTTTGACTAGGTATATGAACAAATTGTAATATACAAATAATACCACCGTGTAATTACTCTGGTGTAAGAGAATAATTACATGGGTAATTGTGTGTCGTAATCGGCAGCGTTGCCTGCTCTGCAAATCATGGCGTCCTTAATGGTTGCAACCACATCACTGTGCTCCACACGGCTCATAAATAGATGCCTAAGGATGCTGCCGAGATATGAATCCTAATTGTCATGTAATTAGAGAGCAATTAGTTATTTGTCCCATATCAATTAGCCATTATGCATCCTCCAAAGTCCTGCTACACTTTGAACAAAATGTGGCTCCCTCCCTCCCTGACAGGGAAACAGAAACCTGTTTCCCAAGATCCAGGGCCCATGCGAGGTGGGGCAGGTATATTGCTGAGGGTCCTTGGCTGTGGTATCTTTGGGATCTCTGAACTCAGCGTTGACTATTTTCCTGGTCATGGCTGGAAGAGAAAGAATCCCAGGAAGGTGTCTCTGTCCCCTGGGGCACCAGCACTTTCAGCAGGGCAAAGAGGGTGGCTTGGCCCTAAAATCTGGACCAGGATGTGGAGGGCTGCCCACACAGAGGCTCCACTAGAGGGTAGCTCTGATTTCTCTGACAAAAAAGCACTGGCCCCAGTCCAAGCTTCCCCAGGTTCCCTCTAAACTGACGATGAAGGCAGAGCATAAAATAAACAGCCAGAAACAAAGAGAGAGACCATGCCAGCAGCTGAGGCCTCCCACTAGGTAGGTAGAGAAAGCTCATGGAGCAGGGATACCCTGGCCCCCCACAGGGATCAGGAACAGTGCTTCAACCTCCTGCCATGGCCGTGGCTGCCCTCAGTGGGGTGGGCATCTCCTCACTCATGCACGCTGGTCCTGGGACAACTAGATGACTTTTCCTCCCCACCTTCCTGCCTCTCCACTCCAGCACCCCTGAGCTCTGTATGAGCTCTGTATTTGTACAGTCTATAAGGGAGGAATCAGGGTGTGGAGGGGCCTCTGGAGAGAGCTTATTCCCTGCAATGTGTGGTCTCTGTAGAAGTATAGTGGTGAGGAGAATGGATGGAAGGTTAGAAAAATGGATGGAGAGGAGAGGCAGCTCTCAGAGAGGAAGGCAGAACTAGGAAGGGAGCGAGGAGTGGGGGTGGAGTGATCGTAAGACAATAAAAGTTTCAACCATAGAACTAGAGGCCATTTTGGAAGCCTGAGAGCACAAAATGGACACTGCAGGAAAGAGTCAGTGATGTGGAGGGGGCGCTAAGCAGGGGTCTGGATGGCTGGGTAGCAGTATGAAGATGCTGGGCTGGGAGGGCAACAGAGCCAGCCTGAGATCCACAAGGTCCTAGTGAGATCCAGACCAAGTCACAGATGTGTGGGTGGTGGGGTGGTCAGGGGAGAGTTCCTGAAGGGGAACAAAGCCCTGGTTAAGCCAATCCTCATATTCTGATTTTTTTTCTTTAATTATGAGAGGGGGGAAAAAAAACCATGTAATTTTTCATCAAAAAAGGAAACATTCTGTATAAAAGATAAAAATGGGCCATTACAAACATATTTTCAGTACTGAATTTCAAAATGATAAAATGGATTTGAATGTCTGTAGATAGGTGCAGAAAAAGTCTGATCTCAGAATTTTATACCCAGCTAAGCTGTCATCTGCAGACTGAGATAAAGGCAACTTCAGATAGCAGAACATCATGAACTGTATGTCCAGGGACTTGTCTTCAAATGAGACTGCCTGGAAAACATCTCTTGCCAACAGAGAGATGAGTGAGGCTCCATGTGGGGAAGGTGGAGGTGTACGAGCCCAGGTATGGATGGAGACCAGGTGGGCACCAGGTTCAGCTTCAACAGCTGTTGTTGTGAGAATGGATGGAAGCCCAGCACACATATCAAAAACATGTTTCTGGAAAAGAAAAGCTATTGTCTCAAACCTGGTGTATGTCAATCATGACTGATATTCGGGAAGGGGAGAGGAAGGTGAAGGTGGGAGGAGAGACAGCTGGGCCCCTTTCCTGATACAGAGGGAGGTCAGAGGCACAACTTCATCACATTAGTTGATGTGAACTTGAAGTTGAGGAATATTTTGAGAAATCCCAAACAATCTTTAGTTAAATCCAATTAGGAGGTTCATCGCCCACATTGCTGGAAAAGAACATGCAAGGAAAACAGCCATGGGCGAGAGACTCAGGGCCTATGAAACAACCAGGAAGTGTCACAAATCAGAATGTTCATGAAACGAGGGAACAAATGCAAGGCCAAAAAATCATACGGAAAGGCCATAAGGAGATGCTGATTCCTTGCCTTGATCTCCTAAGGGGGCACTACATATCATGGGGAGGACAGGACCAGGGAGGACGGTGCCAGAGGGGAGCTGCACCCACTTTCAAATACTCCCCAGAGTCTGGCAGGATGCACTCCCAGTGCTGGAGGATTGACTGTGATGAACCCAAAAGTGCTTTGCGAGCTGTAACATAGGAGAGTTGTTTATTATTATTGAGGAGGAGGCCACCTAGGAGTATAGACCACATAAGTGAATGACATCATGGTATACTTGGAGACACTACATGTGGGACCTTCCTCTTCCTGCTCCCATGTCCTCTCTGTGCTGACACTCATTGGCCCTCCCCCAGAGGCCCTACTCCTGACCAAGAATACCTTCCCTATGAGACAGTCCTGGTGCTAGACAGCCCACCATTAGGATATTAAGTCCCCCCATAAATTCAGCAAACACCATTAAAGTGTTTGGAGGTGAAGTGTTAAGAATATGTGTAGGTAGAATGATGAAAAAGATGACTTCCTTGTGCTCAGGGCATCTTTGATGCCTGTCAGAGATGCATAAAGATTCTGCAAGGTAAGAGGAGTGCCAGGATTGAGATTTGTAGAGCACAGCGGGAGCCCCGAGGAAGAACATCCCAAAGAGAAATGCTGTGTGGGCTGAACCCTCCAGAGAGGGCAATGCACAGGAAAGCAGGAAGGGGTGCACACAGGACCCCGTGAGAAACATGCTGGCTCCAAATGTAAAGGCATATTGGAACACCTGCCTCCAGAACACTAGGGCAGAGTTCTCAGGAGAGCTGAGGAAGTAGGGCAGGTGAAGTCCAAGGCATGGAGGCTCAGGTGCAAGTGCATCAAAGTCATCACAGTCGAGGTTGTGTCTGGAATCAGCTGCTCAGCCCAGCCGTTCACCTGGCAAAACTCCTGAGGATGGGAGCAGCACTGTCCACAAGGTGTCCTTGTTCAGGTTTCTCTCTGGATACTGGAGTTCAGGTCTAACCTATGCAGGCAACCTCCAAAGACCTCTTCAGGGTAAACACTCCCTCTATGTGAAAGTGATGGTAATTGCATGAGATGGACCATTCCAGAACCTCTGGCTGTGTGAGCCAGTTGCTATTAAACTGTCTTGTTTTAATGGCCACTTTCCCAAAGAGCAGTTAGGTGCAATCGCTGTGAAATTGCCTGCAAGTAGCTAAAAGCAGGCAGCATCCTGAGGGCACTTTCTGGCAGGGGCCATTTCCAAAGACACCCCCAGCCATGGTCCCTACCCACCTGTGTGAGCCCATGTAGCCTGTGCAGGAGCACAAATGCCCTCCACCAGCCCTTGCTGGCAGAGGAATGAGGAGGCATCTGAGACACAGCCCAGGCTGTGGTGCCTCAGCTCATCTCTCTACCCCACACCCACAACTGGGGAGAAGCCCTCATTTCTTCATTTACGCGTGCAACTATTTAGTGTCAGGGTTGGGTATCGGATGAAAACAGACATAGCCCCTGCTCTCATTCCCTGAGGGAAACTGACGTTGATTTAAAAAAATGCATCAAATTGCAAACCTTGGTTTGGTAAAGGAAATGTGCAAAGTGTCAGGAAAAGGCACGGGTTTAAAAGTTGCTCTAGAAGGGGATCATGGGGGATTTTTCCCTGCAAAAGTGGCATTTGAGCCTAAACCTGAAGGTAAGAGCTACATAGGTGAAGGGAGCAGGTGCAAAGGTCCTGAGGCTGGAGAGACTTGAAGAAGGTCAGTGTGACAGCAGGTGGCAGAGGCAGAGCCCCCAGGAAAGCTGTTCACAGGGACAGATGAGAAAGGTGTGGAGCTGACATAACAAGTGCCCACTAGTCCAGCACAGGGTGCTTCTGCAGTGGGTAAGAGTCCTGGAAACAGTGCCGATATTCAACACTCAACTCACATCGCGATGCTCATTGACTCCTGGGAGAAATGGGGAGCCAGTAAAGGATTTTAAACACAGGATGCCAACGTTAGGGTTGTATTTGGAATGATCCTCTATGGCTGGATAGGAGGGGACCCACTGGAGGCCATTGCCACCATCCAGGTGAGGGGTGATGGGGGTCTGGACAGTGGGGCTGGGTTTTGGCAATGGGGAGAGTGGAGTTCCCGTCCTCCTTCCTGAAGCCTGAGACACTGGAGGAAGAGTGGGCTTGTGAGGACCCATAATGAGTTTCCTCTGAGGATGTTGATTTTAAAGGTGCCTCGAGGCATCTGAGTGGGGAGCTGACGTTTGGTATATTAGCAAAGAGCTCCAGGGGGCGCTGGGCTGGAGACACTCGCGCAGCCTCTGTGGCTGTAACCTGGGCCCAGAGGAGCCCACCCAGAGGGAATATGGGGAGCAAAAAGAGAAGGAGGACTGGTCCTATCACTGGCACGGACTCAGCTGGACACATGGAAAGACCCAGGAGGCTGAGACCCAGTCTTGGGCTCATGGGAAATCTGCACAAAGTTCACTTTTCATAAGAGTATATGTATGCTTGAAACATGTAGTCATGTAACTAGGATCTAGATTTTTTTCCATGTACCCATCTGCCCATCCATCTATCCATCCATCCATCCAGTCACCCACCTACCCTTCCACCTACCCATCCACCATTCATCCACCCACCCACCATCCATGTGTCCACCCATCTACCTACCACCCATTCACCCACCACCTACCCACCCACACATCCATCCACTTACCTGCCCATCATCCATCCATCTACCCATCCATCCACCTACCACCCATCCATCCAGTCACCCACCATCCATCCATCCACCATCCACCCACCCACCATCCATCCATCCATCCATCCACCCACCCACCCACCCATCCATCCACCCACTCACTCACATATCCATTCATCCAACCACCCACCTGTCCATCCGTCCATCTATCCATTTATCCATCCATCTGTCCACTCATCCATCCATCCCTTTACTTTCCTCCCTTGTACCAGGCATACCATGATATGCTCTCCTCTCAGTGGGAAGACAAGTGTGCAAAACACACAAGGAGGGCAGTTGTTGTCACAATGCAAATGCTTCTTATGGGGACACTGAGGAAAGGGCGGTTGAATTTACCTTTGTTCAGTCAACCAAGAAAGTGCCCAAGGTCTTTTCCTCTTCCTTTCTCTTATAGTGATCTTAGCTTCATTACCCAGTTGGGTGGAGGGACGGTGGCAGGGATGGCTGGGGGCACGGGCAGATTGGGGAGAGTGGCAAATGGTTTCTCATATCTGAGCCTCAATTACTTCATCTGTAAATTGGGGTTGGTGACACTGCTCTGGCATTTGATTATTGTGAGATCTAAATTACATAAGGATAAGAAAAGGCTTTGAAGATGATTGTGTGCTTTATAGACTGCAAAATGTCCTAGCCACGCAAGGATTCGTTCTCTTTATCACACTTTTAAGTAGATAGAGATGAATAACCAACTATGGAGACTGAGAATTGGATTAACTGCTCTGGACTAGATTCTGTTATCATAGTGATCATCACTGATTCATCCAATGAGTTTTTACCCAGGGCTTTTCCATCTCCAGTGCCTTTAAAAAGGATCATTCCTATGTATGAGTCATTTGAAGCACGTTGCTTTGCAAATGCCCAGGGAAAAGTACACAGGCAATCCCCAAGGCCTCTGAAAGGGGCAGTGGTTTGAGCTGAGACTTGGCCTGCCCCGATGTGATGCCTTCCTTGGGGAGGAAATGGAAGTGGGGGCACGGTGCCCCATGCCGACGTGAAGAGTAGCCCTGCACCCACGTTCCAAATGACCTATACCCACCAGCACATTTCATGCTCTGACACCTGCTTCGCAGATGAAGAAAATGAGGCTCAGAGAGGCAGAGCGACCTACTCACAGACACCAAGAAGACAAGACATGGACTAACAGTTCAGCCAGATGCAGTTCACAGTGAAGCCTCTGAGGTTTCCTACAACACTAGAGCCGGAGGAGGTGTTGAGTGAGGAGGGGTCCTGGAGCTCTGTCACTGCCCACTGTGCCCCCAGGGCTGCTTTGGGGTCCTGTAATCAGTCACCTCTTCTTCAAGTGGCCAAGGTGTCCAGAAACACTTATATGGGAGAGGAATGCATAACTGACTCCATTTGAGAAACAGATTCTCTTAGACCAGGCTCTCTTGACTTTGGCACTGTTAATATTTGGGGCTGAGGGATTCTGTGTTGTGGGACAGAGCTGTCCTATGCATCGTAGGGTGGCCTTGGCCTTGGCCCACTAGATGCCAATAGTACCCCTCTATCAGTTGTGACAACCAAAAATGTACCCAGACATTGCCAAGTGTCCCTTGGGGGCAAAACCTACTGGGGTGGAAAACTACCACTTTGGGCTGAGGAAGACCCAGATGATCCTGCCCCAGGCAATTGGGGCCCCACTCTCCTGTAACAGGGGAAGAACCTGGCTTGGGTCATAACTACAGGTGAGATGCCAGCTCCCTCTGTGCTGGTGCGGTGACCTTGAGCATCTGACAGTGCTGCCTGGTCAGTTCATTCCCACGCACATGAGCTGACGTGAGTGATGTGCCAAGCCTATGACCGGCACAGGGACACCCACGCCCTGCACCGCTATCCTGTGCCTGCATGGTGGGTCTGCAAGTTCACCTGGTGCCTACCCCAGGGGGCTTTTGGTCTGGCCCAGGAGGCCAACTCATACACCCCCTCAGGTTCAGCTTTCCCAAGGGGGCTGTCCCTGGCCCCGCCTCACCCTAGGGCCTCTAGTCCACGGGCCTCTGGCTTTACCCCAAAGCCGGCCCATAGAGCTGTGGCTCACCTTCCCAGGCCCCCACATGGCTAACCTCCGAGGACCTTTTCTGTCCTCCTGTGCCCTGCCCTGTCTGCCCTTGGTTTTTGCCCTGCCCGATGTCCCTCCTGCCCCTATCTGGGCCTCAGCATTCCTGGTCTTCTCTGTGTTTTGAGCCACTACTCGCTTCCTCTGCATCATTTGCTCTTGTTGGGGGATGAGTCCCCAGTACTCTGGCCCAGCCCTCACTTTCCCGGGGAGGGGTTCCCTCTGCCTGGAATGGTCTTCTCCCATCACCCACTGCTGCACTCTGCCCTGGCCTCTGAGCAGCTACGTGCCCCCCTCCAAGAGGGCTGTGGCCCCCGTGCCCGCAGTGCCTCGGGCTTCCATGGCTTTTTGTTTGGGACCCTGAAGCCCCTACAAGCTCCCCACAGATCCAACCACACCTGGTTTATCTCGAGCCTGGCCCAGCTCTGTGAAGCTGGATTGAAGCATCCTGAGCCACTCTAGGGGACCGATGGTGACATGGGCACACAGAGGTCAGGGCGCACCTGGAGGAGGCCCAGAGCTCTCCTAGCTGAGAAATTATGCAGGATGTCGTGGAGGCCGACCCCGTTGGTGGGTGTGTGTTCTTGGACAGACAGGAGCTGATGGGGGCATCAGAGGCTCTAGGGAGTGGTGCCAGCGGGGGCCCAGGTTAGGCAGTCCTGACCTGTATCATGAGCTCCAGCCTCTGGAGCAACAAATGTGGCTGGGATCGAGGCATCAGCTGGAGGAGGCACAGGTCCAAGGGGGCCTGGGTCTGAGCCTGTCTTGCACCTGCCCACTGTGCCATCTGGGGCAAGTCCTCATCCCTCTCCATGCCTCAATTTCCTCACCTGTGAAATGGGATGACAATAGTTTCCCCCTCCGGGTGGTTGTACAAGATGAACAAACGGCTCTCCACAAGGGCATAGCCCAGCACAGGTGCCCACTGACCACTCGCAAATACCCATTGCTGTCATCATTGTCACCCATTGGGAGGCATGACCTGCATTCATACTGCAGGGCCGGAGCCAGGCGCTATGGAGTTGAGACTTTATTTCTCACTATTCTGGTTGGGGAGCAGGGAGGGGACCTACCCGAACCACTGTCCTTTAGATGTGTGCCGGTGGCCACCCGCTGAATTAAAGGCGGGGAGGCTTCTGTGGAGGCCCTGGCCTGAATTCTGGGGATAGGCGACAGTCTGAACAAATGCTCACATCCTCGCAGGTTAGGAGCACAGGAAAAATGCCGGCTGCCAAGCCCACGGAAATGGCTTGTAATTACCTTTATTGATCTGTTTGTTCTGTCTCACTCATTCCTATCCGAGGTGGCTGGGGCCAGGAAGCTTCTGGCAGACTCTCGGGATTTGACAGTCTTTATTAACTCAGCTCCTAAAAAGAGCCTCAGAGAATACACTGTATTATGGGGTGGGATGGAGGGCGAGGGATGAATGGATTTTCACCTGGAAGGTCATTTCTGAGGAATCCCTCTACTGGAGGCAGGTGGTGGTAGAAAGAAAGAAGACAGACCCCGCTGTCAGGTAGACAGGGGCTGTGCTTTGTCTCTCAATGGCTTGGGCAGGTGACAGTGGCCATCTCTAAGGTGGAGGTGACAGTGCTGCTCCCGGGAACCATGTGGAAGAGCATAGGAGAAGTGCTCGTAGGGTGTCTGAGACTGTGCCAGCCCAAGATGCGCCCCCAGCAAACCACAGGCTCTTCCACCCCTGGCCCCTGCACTGACATCTTTGAAGGACAGTAAAGAAATAGGGACGGCTCTGGGTACATGGGGCTCAGATGTCAGGACCACTCAGCACCTGAAACCCTCACACTGTTGTCTTCTTACCCATCCTCAAGCCTGCTGGAGAGGGGAGGGGAGCTTTGCCCGACATTCCATTCTTCTTTGGATATTGATTCTTGTAAGGCTGGGTAATGAGGTCTCCATTAGCATGTTGATAATCTCTGAGAGTTAGACACTTGTTTCCCTATCGACAGAGGTTCCTGTGGGTGCAAATGTAGCCTTGGGAGGTAGGGAAATCAGGTTTGCCAAGCGAGATGGGATGGAACACTCTTGTCCATGGCTGCAGAAGCAAGATGGAGCTTGCCGCCATATTTGGGGACTGCAGTTAATGTATGGGGGTGGCAGTTGGGGCATCTTGACTGGACCCCAGGCCCTCTGATGCTGTGTCTTTCGATGTCACCTCCTCTCCATAGCTTTAGGAGATCAAGGTCAGAAGCTGGGTGTCATTCATCCCTGGGTGTCTAGAGTCCTACTCAGTATAGATCTGGGCCCAAATGGGGGCTTCGTGGCCCTTTATTCAAACCCACTCAGTTTTTAATTTGTCATACAGGGCTACTGAGACATGGGAACAAGAGAATCACTTTTATCTATTGGATCTGAGGTCTAGGTGGGACTCCAGGCCAGGTAGGAACCTAGGACTAACTACAGACATGGAGGGGAGCGGCTGGAAGTCCAGACTAGCCTGGGGAGCTCCTGAAATTATGTTTGTTCATCCATACATCCATCTACCCATCCATCCATGTATCCATTCATCCATCTACCTATTCATCCACCTACCAATCCATCTATCCATTCATCCATCTACCTGTCCATCCATCTACCCATTCATCCATCTATCCATCCATCTACCCATCCATCCATGTATCCATTCATGCATCTACCTATTCATCTACCTACCAATCCATCTATCCATTCATCCATCTATCCATCTATCTACCCATCCGTCTATCTACCCATTCATCTACCCATCCATCCGTCTACCCATTCATCCATCTATCCATCCACCTACCCATCCATTTATCTACCATCCATTCATCTACCCATCCATCTATCCATCCATCCACCTACTCATCCACCCATCTCTCCCTCAATCCATCTGTCCATCTGTCCATTTGCCCATCTGTCTACCCATCTATACATCCATTCATCTGCCCATCCATCCTTCCATCCATCCATCTACCCATCCATCAGTCTACTCATCCATTCATCCATCTACCTATCCATCAATCTACTCATGCATCCATCTACCTATCCATCCATCTATCCATCTACCTCTTAATCCATGTATTCATTTATCCATCTACCCATCCGTCCCACAAATATTTCTAGAGGACGTACTTGATCTGTACAAAGCACTGTGGTGGTTACTGGTGACTTAGCCCCTACCCCATGGAGTTGACAACTTAGTATGGGGGCAGGCAGTAAGTGAATGATCACCCAGTTAATTGAACTTCTCGATTGATTATAATTCATTATCACTAGCTAGTAATTGTACTTAATTACCCCATGATTGTGTTGGGAAAAGGGAGGTCAGGGTTCTCTGAAGTAGTGTCACAATGTGCTCGACCCAGGCTGTGGGGAGATGGGAAAGAGGCTGCCCTGAGGAAGTGGTGCATGAGCTGTGATCAGCTGCGTACACAAAGGCCCTGAGGCAAAAAAAAGGTGGATGGTCAGTGAGTGAGACTGAGCATGGCAAGAGTGGTGGCTACAAGGAGGAGGGATGGCCTGGGATGAGGCTGGGGAGACAGTAGGCTGTGAACGCTGGGATAGTGATAGGGAGTTTGGATTCTACTCAAGAACAGGGGTTGGCAAACGTTTTCTGTAAAGGGCTAGATGGTACATACTTTAAGCTTTAGGGGCATACGCTGTCTCTGTTGCATGTTCTACTTGGTTTTGTTTCATTTTGGTTGGTATTGCTTTAATATACAACCTGCATCTGTGTCCCATGGCTGCCATAATGAAGGACCACAGATTGGATGGCTTAAAGTAACAGAAACGTATTCTCACACTGCTCTGGACCAGAGTCTGACATCAAGGTGTGGGCAGGCCCCAAGCCCAGGGCAGTTTCCTTCCTTGCCTCTTCCAGCCTCTGATGGTTACTGGCAGTCCTTGGCTTCTTCTTGGCCACCCCACTCCATCTCTGCAGCTGCCTTTTTGTATGGACTTCTCTGTGTGTGTTTGTCCAAGTTTCCTGCTTCTTATAAGAACACAGCCATTGGATTTAGGGTCTAGCCTATTCCAGGATGACCTTGTCTTCACTAATTATATCTGCAAAGTCTCTATTCCCAAATAAGGTCACATTCTGAGGTTCGAGGTGAGCATAAATTTGCATGTGTGGAGCACCATTTAACCCAATATGCCATGCTTTAAAAATGTACAAAGAAATTCCTAGTTCCCTGGTCATACCAAAATCCGTTCTGTGGATGGGAGTCTGCTGACCCCTGGCCCTCTCTCTGCATTGGCTGGGGGTGAAGGGTGAGATGGCAGAGTGGGGAGGAAAAGGAGAAGGTCCCACACCAGGCATGCCCAGATGTGCAGAGCTCTTCTCTTCCTTTGTTGAGGGACTCTTCAAACAATGACTGCATGCCACCACCGTGGGCCAGGGACTGTTCTTGGTCTTGGGCGTGTAGCAGATAACATCACCAGCAAGAGGCCCTCAGGAAGACTTCATCCTTCATTTCCATTTTCCTGGAAATAAAACTGAGGCCCGGGGGAGTAAGTGACCTACCCAGGGCAAGTCTAGTGCAACAGCCATCTCTCTGTCTGCCAGAATTTCCCACATTCGCAAATCAAGCAGGAGTTTCGTGGGGGCATTATTTTCCCTGCCACTTGGACTCTTCCATGCCACTAGATGGTCATGGCTGAATGAGAGGAGTGCCATCTCAGAACTCTGGGGTTTGGAGGGGAATCTGACCCAGCTCCCTTTCTGGGAGCACGTTCCTTGACAAGATGCCATCTGCTTCTGCTTACATACCTCCATTGATGGGAGCCTCACTGACTCTAATACACAGCTCAGCTGGTTAGCTCTGTGCTGCAGGTTCCAGATTGCACAGATGGAGTTTATTCCCTCTCTGGGCATAATCAGAGAATCATGCTTGTTTATCTCATGTGCACGTACTGTTCTAGAATTCAAAGTGGTCTAGTCATTCTTTTAACTGCTGTGAATTCCGAGGGCCTTGTTGCTTTTGACTATCGCTAAGCAATGTAAGTGAGAACAATTGGGCTAAAATTTAAACAACCTAATTCCAGGAAAATGGTACTTGTTAGAAATTACTTTATGAAACATAAGATGTCAGGTTAATTTATGTGAGAACACCTTCCTCCTTTGCTTTCCACATTGGGTATTTTTGCATTCCCGCAAAAGAAGCCTGCCAGGGAAATTGCACAGTTGTTAGCTTCAGCCCAGGAAGACATTTCTAATGGGGATGGAGGGACAGGTGTCTCCCGGCTTCACTGAGAGAGGTTGGCTTGTGGGCCATGAGGCTGCAGGCCCAGCTTTAAATCGCTGCTTTTCTACTGTCACACACACACTTGAGGCCATTTGTCCCTCTATGAAGTGGACATTCATATTCTCTCTACTTCTCCAGCCACGCTGCCCCTGTGGCCCCCTCTAGGACAAGGTCCTTCCTTGCCTCTCCTGGTTCTGGTGGCTGGCTGACTGTCCCTGCCCTTCCTCTCCGGAGAGCTCTCTGCCTTCATTGTCACATGGTGTCAGCCCCGTGTGTGTCTCTGTGTCCAAATTTCCCCTTTCTGTAAGGACACTAGTCATGTTGGATTGGGGCCCACTCCGATGACCTTGTTTACTCAGTTACTGCTATAAAGACTGCAAATAGGGTCATGTTCTGAGGGAGTGGAGGTTACAACTCAGCATGTGAGTCTGGGCACATTGCTCCCAGTGTACTGGGTGGTGGCATGCCTGCTTCACATGGAAGGAAGGCAGCTATGGGAGCGATGAGGAGCTGGGCCCGAGCTCACCAGCCGGGAGGTGGCTGCTGTGCTGGGATTTGAACCCAGCATCCATCCCAGTTTTCATGCTGTGCTTGTTTCCACGGCAGCCACAGCACAAAAGCTCTACAGAAGACAGGCCCCATGCCACAGTCGCTGTTACAATGAGTATTACAAACATTTTATTCGAGAAAGAAAAGAAGCAAATGGTCCCAATAATTCCCTGATTTCTAGGCAGCTGTCTGGCTTTTTTTTGTCATTGCTTGCCTTAGTTACCTGTATCAACAGGCTTACTTTTTCTGACCTCACCACAGGAGCTGAACTTTGGAAGTGGCCACTGGCCACTCTGAATGAGATGCGGTGCACCGGCAGGCTTTGGAAATTAATTTCCTTTGGATGCTCCTCCTCATGTTACGATTGAGGCCCGTGTGTTAGCTACCTCGAGCCAAAGGTGCTCAGAGGGAGGGGGAGCAAGGGCTTCCTGGCATTTCTGGATTCTGTGGAGACTCCACTCGCTCAGGCTGCGTTTGTTTCCTCTGACCGAGGATCGATAAGACATGATTTTAAAAATAAATGACTAGTCCCTGAAGAAGTACTGTTTCCAAACAACTTCCCCGGCTGACCCTGAGACAGAAACTCCCACCCTGCTCCTGGGCTCAGAAGTGAGAGGATTATTCTGCTCTTGGAATAAAAGCTGTGGGTTCCATCCTGACCAGAAGATGATGAGGATAATGCAGATGGTGATATTGTGCTGATAGTAGTATGGTGATTAGAATTATGAAGATGAAGATGATGATAAAGGAGATCATAGTGATTAGGATGATATGATGATGCTATAATAATGATGATGAAAATGATTAGGAAAATATGATTAGCATAATGATGATAAAGATGATGATTATGATAAAGAAGATGATGGTGACGTGATGATGATGATACCAATCACGATGATGATGGTGATGAAGTGATGATGGTGATGGTAATGATGATGATATAATGATGATAATGATGGTGATGATGGTGATTTTTATGGTGATGATGTGATGATGCTGATGATGTGATGATGGTGATGTTTATGATGATGACGGTGGTGATGGTGCTGTGATGGTGATGATGATGATGATGTGAAAGTGATGGTGATGGTGTCGGTGGTGATGATGTGATGATGGATATGATGATGATGGTGATGATGTGATGATGGCAATGGTGATGATGATGGTGATGGTGATGATGGTGATGATGGTGATGATGTGATGATGGAGATGATGATGGTGGTGATAGTGATTATGGTGGTGATGGTGATGATGGCAATGATAGTGATGATGGTGATGGTAGTGATGGTGATGCTGTGATGATGGTGATGATAATGGTAATGGTGATGATGGTGATAATGATGGTGATGATGGTGATAATGATAGTGATGATGGCGATGGTGATGATGATGATGGTGATGACGGTAATGATGACAGAGATGATGATAATGTGATAATGGTAATGGTGATGGTGATGATGGTGGTGATGATAGAGATGATAATGTGATATTGGTGATGGTGATGGTAGTGATATTGATAATGGTGATGGTGATGGTGGTGATGATGACAGAGATGATGATAATGTGTTAATGGTGATGGTGATGATAGTGATAATGGTGATAGAGATGATGATAATGTGTTAATGGTGATGGTGATGATGGTGATAATGGTGATGGTGATGATGTGATGATGAGGTGATGATGATGATGATGACTCTGCTACTGCTGCTGCTGAAGATGAAGATGACGGATTGATGATGAAGATAGTGATGGCCATCACAGTTAATATTTACTGAGCCTCTAATGGATGCCACATAACATTCTTATTTTTACCACCACTTTACAGATGAGGAAACTGACTATCAGAGGCCACACAGCAGGTTAGAGTTGGAATAATTCATACCAGCTGCAGTGACAAGCAAAACCCCAAATCTCAGTTGTTCAACACAACACAAGATCACTTCTCACTCAGGGAAGCCCCAGGCCTGTGGGTGGTCCCCCCTTTGGCTTGGAGGAGACACTCTGGTTCTGAGCTCCCTTAGGAAGTGACGTGCATTGCTCTTGCTCACAGCCAACTGGCTAGAGCTAGTCACATGGCCTGGCTTACCTTAGTGGATGCTGGGAAATGCAGAGGGGGCACATGGGTATCTGGTGAATGCTTACAACTGGCTAGAGCTAGTCACATGGCCTGTCTTACCTTAGTGGATGCTGGGAAATGCAGAGGGGGCACATGGGTATCTGGTGAATGCTTACAACTGGCTAGAGCTAGTCACATGGCCTGGCTTACCTTAGTGGATGCTGGGAAATGCAGAGGGGGCACATGAGTATTGGGTGAGTGCTCTCTGTCACCCAGTTAGGAAGGACCTGAACTTAGATTTGGACATAGGTCTACTGACTCCAACACCCCTATTTATTTTTGTATTTATTTTTCAAGTGCATTTTAAAATAGTTTAAAATTTTATAACTGTTTTAGGTTTACAGAAAACCTGTGAAGGTAGTATAGAGTTCCTATATCCCTTGCCCACAATTTCCTGTTATTAACATCTGACATTGGTATGTACATTTGTCATGACTAAGGAACCAATATGGATGCGTTAATGTTACAAGTGCAAACTGTATTCAGATTTCCTTAGTCTTTACCTAATGCCTTCATCGATCTCAGGATCCCACCCAGGACTCCACGTTACATGTAGTCATTATGTCTGCTTCGGCTCCGCCTGGCTGTGACAGTTTCTCAGACTTCCCTTGTTTGTGATAACTTTGACATTTTTGAAGAGTGCTGGTCAGGTGTTTTTTAAAGAATGTTCCTCTGTTGGAATTTGTATAGTGTTTTCCTCATGATTGCACTGGGATTATTCCTGGGAGGAAGACCACAGAGGTGCAGTGCTGTCCCCATCGCATCACACCAAGGCCACACCCTGCCAACAGGACTTACCACTGTTGACACTGACCCTTGTCACTGGCTGAGGGATGTTTGCCAGGCTTCTCCACCATAGAGTTTCTCTTTGGCGCCCTTTGCACACTGCCCTCTTTGGAAGAAGGTTGCTATGGGCAGCCCATGTTTAAGGAGTGAGTCTCCCTCCCCTTGAGAGCAGAGGACCTGCATAAATTATTTGGAATTCCTCTGCATGGGAGGTGTGTCTCTTCCCCCCATTTATTTATTTAATCATGTATTTATATGAGGATGAACTCATGAATATTTATTTTCTCCTTTCAGCTATAATCCAATAGTACCTTATTTTATTGTTTAAGCCATTCCAGCTTTGGTCATTGGGAGCACTTTCAGTTGGCTGCTGTGTCTCTTTGACATATTCCGATCACTGTAATTTTTATTTTGTTTATGAGCACGTCCTTGCTTTCTGGCGCTACAAGATGCTCCAGGCTCATCTGATATATTTCCTACCCAGTCCAAGCATCAACCATTTCTCCAAGGAGCTCTGACTGCTTTTATTGGAGAATGGTATTAGAAACCAAGGTCAAGATGCTAGGCAACATCCCTAATTATCCCCACTACACCAGAGGTTCCAAAACTTTCTCAGCTCACAGTGCCCTTCGTGGCTCAAAAATCTTTCACAGCACACCTAGGCCAAACAAGAAACAACAGCAACAACCAAAACCTAAAAGCTTCACTTGTGAAGCAATTAGGTTCAAACAAGTTAGCAAGTATCTATGTCCTAATAGCATAAGTATTTATGTCCTGATACCTAATAGCGTAGGTATTCTTTTAAAATGGTACACATAAATCAAAAGGAAAATAGTGTTTTTCTTTCATTCTTCACCACTGCTTAATGACAGGCTGTGCACTTGCGATGTGCTACATACTCTCTCCAGACCTTGGAACCAGACTCAGTTAGATGCTTCCATCCTCATTTCATGTTCCACATTGATTTTCCTTTTTATCACAGCGACCACCAAAAACCTGACTTTGCAAAGAGTTGGTATCACTGAGAGGGATGTGGCATGATCTAAGGTGGAAACCGTGAACAACCTGACTGGTAATTGGTGCAGGATCCAAGAAATGTTGGTCACTGTGTTTCCCTCAAAAACTTAAAATATCCCACCAGGTTCCTGTGAGTTGACTATGGCTAGGATGCTCAACCCACAGTTTGGGAACCATAGTGCTATCCAGTAGAAGTCTATTGCAATTACAAGGTAGTGGGAAGGAATTCCGTGGAAAGTGACTGATCTAGTTCATCTCTTCCCGTAGGGGTCAGAGATGAGCATGGCACAAGATGTAAACCATTCCTAGGCCTATTCCTCAGAATCTCAAAGGTGGTATGGGAACAGCTCCCCAAGGCTGGACTCTACCTTGGCTCAGAACTCCCACCTCACCTCTCTTGGATCTGTGTCAACTCCTGCCATCCTATCAGGGATCTGTGTTTCTTGGGGATGTCTGTATCAGTAGCTGTGTGGCAAGCTACAGGAGCTCTGGAAGCTGCTTCCATTTCCAGGGTGTTTTCCAGGACTGTGCCATTGCTGTTGCCCAGCTCTTGGGCCACCTCCCAGGCAGAAGTGATTACGGCAGGAAGTGAGAGGTGAGAAGGCCTGTGCCTTGAAGAGCCTTTAGAAATATCCACAGAGGCTGGGTGTGGTGGCTCATGCCTGTAATCCCAGCACTTTGGGAGGCTGAGGTGGGCAGATCACAAGGTCAGGAGTTTGAGACCAGCCTGGCCAACATGGTGAAACCCCGTCTCTACTAAAGATACAAAAAATTAGCTGGGCATGGTGGGGCACACCTGTAATCCCAGCTACTTGGGAGGCTGGGGCAGGAGAATTGCTTGAACCTGGGAGGCGGAGGTTGCGGTGAGCTGAGATCGCATTACTTCACTCCAGCCTGGGGGACAGACAGGGCAAGACTCCGTCGCAAAAAAGAAAAAAGAAATATCTACAGAAGGAGGAGGATAGTGCTGTGTGTGTACAATATGCCCATTTTACAATAGCCTATCCTATGTGCAGAGAACATGTGTGTGTGGAGGGCACGGGTGCAGATGCTCCGTGACTTCGCCATGGGTTTATCAGGACGTGGAATCATAAGTCCAGCCACCACAGGGCGGGGCCGTCTGCATATGGGTGCACGTCTTCTCTACACATATAATACAACATGTACATGTATACACAACACACGTCTGATGAATGCAGTGAGGTGCAGTGTGAAATAGATGCTTCTGCAAAACTGTGAGGCACTAAGTGTCCTCAGCCCAAATAAATGTCCTTCGGAGCCACTGGGTGGATGTGGCCTCTCCGGAACTTCCTCCTCCCCACCCCTGTGGATGTGGCTTTTAGAGACACTCAGGGCTGCTCTGGTAGCGGCTGGATGAGGTGCTTTGTTCTTCAGCTCTCCTGGGCAGGGGACGAGGGCTCCCAGCGTTTTCAAGGGGAGGAGATGCAATCCACTGCAGCTGAGAGCAGGGCCCCCATAAATCGGATCCTGGCTCTAAATGCTAATTGCTTGGTCTAAGGTGTTATTGATAGAGCCGGAGAGGGGAGCGAGGAGATTCATTATTTTGGATTTCAGTGGCTGCGGAGGGGAGGGTAGTGAGTGATGGATTAGAACGCAGCCCGTCTGCTGTGGAGTTCCGATTTATAGGCCCATAAAGCAGAGGCCGGTGGAGCCCAGGCACAGGCAGGCCGCTGAGCCTGTGTCCCACTTTGTACTCACAGCCTCGAGGCAACCTCCACTCATGACGGTGCCTCCTCGCTAGGGCCTCCTGGGACGCAGACCCTCCCACTCCCGCTGCCAGAGGCTGCTTCCGGGTGGGCCCTGTCACTAGTCACTGAGGGTTCGCTGGGTGCTCTGCCCTGCAGGCTGGAGGCGCCCCCAGCAGCTAACAGGACCTTGGTGTGTGTCCCCATCTGCATGTCACTGTTTTCAAAGGGAAGCCAATCTGCTCCCACCTGCCTCCCACACCGCCCTGTAGATCCGCCACCCTGCATAGAGGGCGGTGCCCATGGAAATGGGAGGTGGGGCCCAGGGTTGAAGTGAGAGTGCCCAGGGAGGCATTGTGACTTGGAAAGTGGCTTCCTGGTTCTGCTTTTGTCCCCTTCCCTCCCTGCCAGACCCCATCTGCCATGTCCTGTCAGCAAGCCTTTTCATCTCCAGGAACCCCCAGTTCTCATCCAGAGGGGAGGGTTTTAATCAGTGCCCGAAGCCAGGGTCCAGGCCTCAACTATTGGCAGGGGATGGGGGTGGGAGGGTGACAGCTATGAATTTGAGAAAATAACACCATGAGTTCATTGTCATCCAACAAGCTGGGGGAGGGGCCGAGTCTCCTGGCTGTTGGCTTTGCTGTTCTGCCCCTTTTCCAGCCCATGGCAGCCCAGGGAGACTTCAGAGGCGCAGCCACTCTCCAAGGAAATCCCTGCCTGTGGCTTTAGTGAGAACCCCATCACACTGTCCCCATCTCCCCAGCTGGAGCGTCCTGGATTTAGTAAAATAAGCAGTTACAGCAGCCCCCAGCCCTGGACACCTCTCATGCTGGTGTTTGTTCAAGAAACAGAAAGAATGCAGTGAACCTGGGCAGCATTTACTCGTTAGGTTTTTCCGCAGATGCTCTCTGCGCATCGCCCCTGGGCCAAGCCTTGTATTGGGTGCTGCAACCACAGAGTCTAGCCAGACATGGCCCAGCCTTAGCAGAGGGCTGGCTGGAGAAGCAGGACCCCTGTGCCCGGTGGAGAAGAAGGGAAAGGGCATCCTGGGTGGTGGGTATGACAAGGGCAAAGACTCAGAGGTGGGAAACCACATGGCAGGACCCTGGATGGGTTGGGGACGGGAAATTGAGTTCACTCCCCCAGTGTTTGATGAGAATAGCTCTGGCCATGCCCCGTGTGGGTGGGGTAGA